>NC_000017.11:11703232-12006262 GCF_000001405.40 Homo sapiens | reverse complement strand
TCCTGATTGCCAGTTAATTGTATTACTCCCTGTATTATTATCCTTCTTGCCCACATAAGTTTTGGCAACTAACATCTGTTTGTGTCCTGAAGTTTGAATTAATAGACAATTATTTATGAACATGGATTTGAATGCCACTCACAGATCAGTGCCAAAAGCATCACTTTGGAAGTTGTTAAAAAATCATACTTCCAGGCTCTACCTCTCAGATAATCTGATTCAGGAAAGAAGTCAAAATAATGTGGAATTAACATGCCCTCCATGTGAGTCTGATCTGCAGCCCAGTTTAAGAAGCTCCCAGATCTAGAACAGGGAGATCTACACTTTTTTGATCAATCATTCTTTTCTAGTAAAAGTATTTTGAGACTATGTAGCCACTGTTTGTATATGTATTTATTCATAAATAATATATACAGGTATTATTTTGCCTACATGTTGTACATTATAAAACATATTCAAAATTGAAAGTTAAAAAGTCTATGGTAAAAATGGAAAAATAATATTTTAAAATATGTATCTTATTTATTGAATAAAGTTCTCACCAGAAATATAATACACCTCATTATTTGAGCAAATCTTTAATACTCTGTGATACAGGAGTTTTAAAGTCGGGTTCTAAATTCAGTTTATTTTTGACACTTAGTTATAATGGTTGTCAAAAGTGAAAAAAGAAACCTCCCCAAACCTCCAAATGGATAAAGTACATCATTGGCAGCAGATACTAAGAATGATATTTGTTTTTCAATGCCATCTGGTAATTAAGCAAAAAATTTTGATGAAATGTGGCTACTAATTTCCATAGTCACTGATGTGAGTCAGTAGCTCTTGCAAACTAATTGGAAGAGACATTACATTTTCATAATTTTTACCGATGGGCTTAAAATGAAAAGCACAAAACTTTTTATACGGAATATTTTGTGTATTGATTTTCATGTATGAGAACCTCAAAAGAGGCCACCAGTTTCCATTTGATTTAATGAAGTTTCATAAAGTACTTGATAGAATATGACTTTAAACTTTGTTGAATTTCCTTCATGTTCTATATATATAATATATATGCATATATTAGTATCTGTGTATATGTATTATCTGTATATATAATCTGTATATATATAACTTCTGAGTCCATAACATGCATAAATATATATACATCACACATACATGCATATATATTTATATATACTTATATAAAGGTACAAATATATACACACGTATTTAAACTTAGTGTGTGTATAAATATATATTTAAACATTTAAAATCTAATTTACAAACTCAGTGTAAATATACACATAAATATACATCTTGTTAAGGTGCCATTCAGTATAGTGATAGAGATATAAATGCACATTTCTTTTCTTTTTTTTTTTTTTTTTTTGAGATGGAGTTTCACTCCTGTTGCCCAGGCTGGAGTGCAATGGCATGATCTTGGCTCACTGCAACCTCTGTCTCCTGGGTTCAAGCTATTCTCCTGCCTCAGCCTCCCAAGTAGCTGGGATTATAGGCATGCGCCACCACACCCAGCTAATTTTTGTATTTTTAGTAGAGACATGGTTTCTCTATGTTGGCCAGGCTGGCTTCGAACTCCCAACCTCAGGTGATCTGCTGCCTCGGCCTCCCAAAGTGCTGGGATTACAGGCTTCAGCCACCGTGCCCGGCCATAAACGCACATTTCTAGTAGATTTCTTAATATTTGAAATTATTTTGCTTGGCTTTGGTCGGATCTGATTCATTGGCATTATCATTACCTTCCAATGTATCTGCAAAAGGACTCAAGTTAGAAGTGTAACTATGCTATTTTATTGCTGTTTACATGTGCCTGCATTATTACTGTTATCTTCAAACTGAGATTATTTTGTTAAGAAACTTTAAACTAGGGTTAGTTAAATGTTAAGAAACATTTTGCTAGGGTTAGTTTAGTTAAAACTAGGTAATATAATCCATAAATCCACTGATTCCTGCACATACTAACTTCAGTATGTCTCAATATGTTGAATAAGTGAAAATGTAAGGACCTCACTTTTTTTTTTTTTGAGACACAGAGTCTCGCTCTGTCACCCAGGCTGGAGTGCAGTGGCGCAGTCTTGGCTCACTGCAACGTCCATCTCCCGGGTTCAAGCGATTCTCCTGCCTCAGCCTCCCGAGTAGCTGGGATTACAGGCGTGTGCCACTGCACCCGGCTAATTTTTGTATTTTTAGTAGAGACGGGATTTCACCATGTTGGTCAGGCTGGTCTCAAACTCCTGACCTTGTGATCCGCCCGCCTCAGCCTCCCAAAGTGCTAGGATTACAGGCGTGAGTCACTGCACCCGGCCCAGGCCCTCACTTTTAACTGCTCCATGGTGTGGGCCTCCTCACGTTCCCTTATGGCACCTTCTATATCCTGACTCAAGCCTGTTCAACATATGTGCAAACTAAGGAGCTGGCCAGTCCGTTGTATTCAATACCAGTGAAGCTTAACTTCTTTGTCGTGTCTCCAGGCCCATGGATTCAAAAGCTCAAAGGGGTCTGCCTAAGCATGGAATGACTTTTTAAATTTGAGAAAAATACCCATACCTACAAACACTTGCATACTGGGGAGTTAGTCATTGAAATCCTGAAGTCTCAGATTGAGAATACCTTGTCTAAAGACATTTTACGGCCTCAGGGAAAAATTTCATTTGGTGAGAGATGCATCAGGATTTATCCACCATATATACTTTTTTAAGGTATGCACTTTAGGGCTAATCCAGGCTTCTGGCCCTGTGTGTCACTTGTAGGCACTATAGGAAGTCATTTCCTAGCCCCACCTGAACCTTCTTGAACATCTTTTTTTTTTTTTTTTTTGAGACAGAGTCTCACACTGTCACCCGGGCTGGAGTGCAGTAGCACTATCTCGGCTCACTGCAACCTCTGCCTTCCCAGGTTCAAGTGATTCTCCTGCCTCAGCCTCCTGAGTAGCTGAGATTACAGGCGCCTGCCACCATGCCTGGCTTATTTTTTGTATTTTTGGTACAGATGGGGTTTCACTATGTTGGCCAGGCTGGTCTCGAACACCTGACCTTGTGATTCCAAAGTGCTGGGATTACAGGCGTGAGCCACCACGCCTGGCCTCTTGAACACCTTAAAGATCTCCTCTAGGACATCCCACATAAAACGTGATGTATGTTAGTATTTCTCCTAACTAGAGAAAAGCAGTTACCATCTTGTTTAATTCTCTGTTCTCTCAATAGTCCTTAAAAGACAATTCAGTTTCCTTCTGCCATGAGTTAAATCACTCTTTGCTCTATTGAAGTCAACAGGATACAAACTACATCTTGATGGCAGAGGGAGGGTGTCGGGAGTGGTTTCTGTTCTGGTCTCCCTTCCTTGTCCGTGTGGTAAGCCATTTCCACACAGCTTACACTGATATCCTCCATTGATGCCCAGGTTCCTTTCACCTTGAGTCAATCCGAATCTTTCTGCTCCTCAGTTCCAGGGAATTTTTGTTGAAATAACTGATCTGGCCCACAACAATCTCATGTAATTTAACTTCATCAATATATTCATTTCAAGTTCTCACAGTATCTCCCATGATAGTTTGCCCAAACCTTATACAATTTCTTTGAACAGCTTGTCCTGTTAGCCCTACTTTATCCTGGGACAAATGCAGCAGACAGAGGGCAGAGTATGGGATCTGCAGTCAGAAAAAGCAGAGTTTAAATTCAGCCTCAGTAACAATGTCTGCAGCTTTCAGTTACGCTCTTACACACTCTGGATCTCGATTTTCTTATCTCTACAATGGGAACAAAGATATTTGCCATGTCTGACTCTCATCAATGTTAGACTATTTTTTTCCCTAATTAAAAAAGTTAATATCTTTTTTATTTTTTTATTTTATATATTTTTTTGAGACGGAGGCTTGCTGTTGCCAGGCTGGAATGCAATGACACGATCTCAGCTCACTACAACCTCTGCCTCCCGGGTTCAAGCTATTCTCCTGCCTCAGCCTCCTGAGTAGCTGGGACTACAGGCGCACACCACCACGCCCAGGTAATTTTTGTGTTTTCGGTAGAGATGGGGTTTCACTATGTTGGCCAGGATGGTCTCAATCTCTTGACCTCATGATCCACCCACCTTGGCCTCCCACAGTGCTGGGATTAACAGGCGTGAACCACTGGGCCCAGCCAAAAAGTTAATATCTTTTAGTTTGTAAGAAATAGACTTGATCCTGCAGTTTTATTTTGTTTTCTCCCTCCCACCTTTCATCCTTTCTTTCTTTCTTCTTTTTTTCCCACAAGGTTCTTTTGCTCTATTGCTTTTACTTTTTTTTAAACCTCTTCGAACAACTCAGAATTTTTATTTTAAAATATCTTTCAGATTGCTCTATTATCTCTGAATTTTGGAGTGCATGTGCTTTCATTTTTTTAGTAACTAGTGATTTTCATTTATAATAGATTTTTAAAAATTTATTTTTAGTTTTAATTCATGAATAATAATTATATATTTATGGGGTATAATGTGACGTTTTGACATAGGTATACATTGTAAAAGTTTAAATCAAGTTAATACATTCATCACCTCACCTACTTATTTTTTATGGTGAGAACATTTAAGATCTACTCTTTTAGTGATTTTGAAATATACTTTGTTTGTTTGTTTGTTTGTTTGTTTGTTTTGAGACGGAGTCTCTCTGTGTCCCCCAGGCTGGAGTGCAGTGGCGCAATCTCGGTTCACTGCAAGCTCCGCCTCCTGGGTTCATGCCATTCTCCTACCTCAGCCTCTAGAGTTGCTGGGACTACAGGCACCTGCCACCACGCCTGGCTAATATTTTGTATTTTTAGTAGAGATGGGGTTTCACCATGTTAGCCAGGATGGTCTTGATCTCCTGACCTTGTGATCCGCCCGCCTCAGCCTCCCAAAGTGTTGGGATTACAGGTGTAAGCCACCGCGCCCGGCCCGAGGTATGCATTATTATTAACTACGGTTACCACACTGTGCAATAGATTGCTAAAACTTACTCCTCTTGTTTAACTGGAACTTTTTGTACCCTTTGATCAACACCTCTCTATTCCCCGTTTTCTCTGTACGAGGATTTGTTTTTGGTGTGGCTTGTAACTTTTGACTTTAAGCTCCTCTTTAGTGGAGATTGTTTTCTGTGAGTGTTCCATGTGGCCTAGATTATGTGAGTACCCAGAAGCCTTGTTATTCAAAAATCAATCTCTACTCAAGAACATTTTTCAGTAATTGTCACTTTTCTCCCCTTCCATACAAATTTTTCCTCCCTACTGGATCATTCTAATCAGTGTGTAAGCATGCTGTAAGATCTCCTAATTTGTCTCATTTTGCTATTTCTTTTTATAGCAAAACTTCTTGAATGACTTGTCTATATTTGCTGCTCTAATTCTTCTCTTCTCGTTCCTTATTGAACTTATTCCATTCAGGATTTCTCTACTCCCAACCACTCTTATAAGGTCAAGGTCACCAGTGATTTTATACTCCTGTTGCTCAGTCAATTCTTAATCCTCATCTTACATTTGATCATGGCATTTGATTAGTTGATGATTCTTTCTTTCTTCCTTTCTTTCTTTCTGACAGAGTTTCGCTCTTGTTGCCCAGGCTAGAGTGCAATGGTGTGATCTAGGCTCACTGCAACCTCTGCCTCCTGGGCTCAAGCGATTATGGGTTTATACCTTTTCTTAAGGTGCCAGTTTGTATATTACAGGCGTGCACCTCCACGCCCAGCTAATTTTGTATTTTTAGTAGAGACAGGTTTTCTCCATGTTGGTTAGGCTGGTCTCGAAGTGCAGACCTCAGGTGATCTGCCCATGTCGGCCTCCCAAAGTGCTAGGATTACAGGCGTGAACCACCACACCCAGCAATTCCTTCTTTCTTTGAACACTTTATGCAGTTGGCTTCCCGGATACCACTCTCTGTTTTCCTGCTACCTCAGTGGCTCCTCAGTTTCTTTCTCCTTTAATAGATTTTTCTTATTACCCTGACCCTATATGTTGGCGTGGTCCAGGGCTTGGTCTTTATAGTGCTTCTCTTTATTGTCACTCATTGTTTCATGGCCTAAACGTTTATGGGTGGGCCTGGTGGCTCGCACCTGTAATTCCAGCACTTTGGGAGACTGAGGTGGGTGGATCACCTGAGGTCAGGAATTTGAGACCAGCCTGGCCAACATGATGAAACTTCATCTCTGCTAAAAATACAAAAAGTAGCTGGGCACGGTGGCAAGCATGTGTAATCCCAGCTACTCAGGAGGCTGAGGCAGGAGAATCACTTAAACCTGGAGTCGGAGGTTGCAGTGAGCTGAGATTCTGGCACTACATTGGGCAACAGAGCAAGATTCTGTCTCAAACAACAACAACAACAAAAACTTTTGCAATTTCCTCTGCCTGGAGGTTCCCACAGATACACGCAAGGCTTGCGTCTTAATTAACTTCCGGTCTGGATTCAAGCCTGTTTTATCTGTTAGTCCTTCCCTGACCATCCTATATAACTTGCACTCCATCTCTAACAGTACCTCTCCTCCTTACCCCAATGTAATTTTCTTCACAACACCTATAATTACCACTTGTGCACTTATTTATTGTCCAGCTCACCCTACAAAATATAAGTCTTGGGAGGGCTGGGACTTTGTGTGTTTAGTTCATTCTTGCATATATAGCTATTGGAAGAGTGCTGGGCACATCATCTGGTAAATATTTATTGAATGAGTAAGTGAATAATAGAAATAGATGACACCTTTTCATTATTTCCTAAGCTGAGGTAGATATCTCCCTATTTTAAAAAATATTTTGATTGTTCAGCCTGTTTCGAAATAAGTGTTTATGCCTTTTCCTAAGGTGCCAGTTTATAAAGAAATTATTAAACTTCAAAGTGTCATTTTCATATCAGGAACCATCTACCAGGATTAGAGTTCTCAAACTGAGGTTTGTGGGTTCCAAGGATGGGTTTCAAGGCTGTGTTAGCTCCCTGGATTTGAGTGCAAAGTGTTGTATGTAGATGTGTATGTGCATTTTTCTTGGGAAAAATTTTACCTTCCATCAGATTCACAAAGGAGTCAGAACCCAATTAATGGTTTTGAATTACTGTTATCTTCCTTGGGTGTTGATCAGCTAAAAGCGAACACATTGAAGATAAAACTCCTATAATCTTCCCCTCTAAACCACCTTATCTCTTGACTTTCTTAGAAGCAGAGCACATTGATGTTGGAAGCAATACCCAATGAAGGTGTCCCTCTAAATGTGCCTGGTAAATTGTTAGCCATGCTGTCCTCAGGAACTCAAAGCAGCGCCATCAATCACATGAATGTTAGAAACGTCCAGCTAGGTGCCATGGCTCATGCCTGTAATCCCAGCACTTTGGGAGGCCAAGGTGGGTGGATCACTTGAGGTCACGAGTTCGAGACCAGCCTGGCCAACATGGTGAAACCCCGTCTCCACCAAAAATACAAAAAAAAAAAAAAAAAAAAAAAAAGACTAGAAACTTCCACCTATGTCAGGCTGAAACAGTAGTTTCACACATAGGATCTTGTTCAGACCCTGGGACTTAAGAGAACATGTCGAATCCCTTTTCCGCTGGTCACTTTTCAGGTACATGAAGATGTAATCCCATCCCCGCATCAAGCTTTATTTCTCCAGAGGAGGATCTTTAATTCTTGTAAACATGGGACAGGTACAGGACATGTTATGATAATGACAGGTACAGGACATGTTATGATAATGACAGGTACAGGACATGTTATGATAATGACAGGTACAGGACATGTTATGATAATGACAGGTACAGGACATGTTATGATAATGACAGGTACAGGACATGTTATGATAATGACAGCTCTTCTTTAAATTTTTATTTTTTATTTATTTTATTTCCATAGGTTATTGGGGAACATGGCAGCTTTTTTTGAATACCCTCCTCTTTGCCAGTTGCCCAAGGTGGAACACCCAAACTTTGACATGATACTTCCATTAATGCAACTTAGTATCACAAGTTGATGTCGTGGCCCAGCACAGGATGGCCTGGAAACCGGCAACACTGGACGCTGGGGAAAGGGTAAGAAGGTCTTGACCATTACAAATGGTGTGGAACTGAGCCGAGGGAGGGATAGTGAGAAGGGAGAGAGGGTGAGGTGTCTGAGAGACAATGAGGTCAAATCAGAGGATTCAGCCATTGTTGGCGTGTGGGAAAGGGAAGGAGAAGGGAAGAGTCAGGGATGACATTTGTTGAGAGAGAGAGAGAGAAGAGAGAGAGACGCAGGTGGAAAGAGGATGGCACCACATTGGACTAGCCCCAACGGAATGGGGAGAAGTGGGAGAGGACCCAGGGGATGCAGAGCTGATGAGAGTGGGAGAACCAAGACAGAGGAAGAAGGTTGGGGCAAATCAAGTGTCTCAGGGAGGCCCAGTGAGGCAAGAACGGAAAGGAGAAAGGCGGCGGTTAAGAATCAGGGATAATGGCAGAGCGTTGCAGCTCTGCGGGTGGGACTGGGCGGAAGGGTTTGGGAGAGACAAAGAAATGATCTTTGAAGGCCTCGCAGTGCTTGGCCGAGTGCCTGGCACAGAATAGGTGCGCAATAAATGACGGGTGAGAAGTGAAGGAACTCAGGAACAGTGATTAGTGAGTGAGTGACGGAAGGAACGGAGGATGGCGTTGGCTCGGGAACCTCGCTGCCATGTCGGTGGAGGCTCCTGGGCTGCAACGCCAGAGAGAGGCGGGGCGTCCCCGACGGCCAATAGGAGCTTCGGTATCAGCTCCGCCCCCGCCCCCTAGCTCCGCCCGGTGCCGCACGTCGTTCGCCTGCCGCCTGAGGCGCGCGCAGCCACCCAGCTCCCGGAAGTGCGCCCGGAGCCGGCGCCGCGGGCCGAGGTGAGCGCGCTTGCGGGGCGGTCCCGGCCTCCGGCCGCTCGGGGTCAGGCCTTGCGCTATCTGCGTCCGCACCTGACTCAGCTGGGCACCCCGGAGCTACGGAGGGGCCAGCGGGCTCCCTTGCCCATGCGTCTGGGAGCGCGCGGGGGACGTGGCGAGTGCGGGGCCGGGGCAGCCATGGCTGGGAGTGGACCGTGGGTGCGGGGGGATGTGTGAACCCCGTCCCGGCTCTGCATTCCTGCGCCTCTGCGCCCCGCGGGACCGGCCGGGTCTCTGCACTGGGACCGAAAACGGGCTCCTCCCCGCTGTCTTCCCCTAAGGGCTGAAAATGAGTCTCTGGAAGAGGAAACCCGATGGGATGATGCCTGGAGTCTCTCCCTCTCTCATCAGAGTGCAGTCGGCATTTGGGGGGCGCATGGTGGAGAATACATATCCAATGAGCAGCGCTGCCCTGGCCTCGAGCACTAAATGCCAGTTCCCCTAGCTGCTTGTGACAACCAGAAAACGCCCCAACAAATCACCAGACGTTGGCAGTTCTCCCCAAAGCAAAGGCTTTAGAGCTTCCTGGGTTAATCTGGCTGCCACTTGTGAGCCTCGGAGGTTCCTGATCTGTACACCAGGGTAATTGTGGGAATTGGAAATACATGAACCGAGCTTAATAATGAGCCGATACGTAGTAGGTGCTTAACAAATGGTTACTTATATATGTAACCATGTATGTAACCACTTGTGTATATTACACCTAGAATGCACTTTTAAAAATTCATTCTATTTGTTAAAGGTTTAATAACAGGTATAACAGACAACCTTATTTTTTTTTCATAACTAATGGGGGCAGTTCCTCATGAGGTTATCGGAATATAAACTCTATTAAATTTTTAATACTATATAAAGTAATTTAATTTTGAATAATCGAGACATTTTTCTTACACACTACCTGGGAGTATAATATTACTAACAAAAGATTTAAGTATTTTATAAAATCTGTAGTTTTTCCAAAATGTCATTTCTCTTAAATATTATCTAAACTGCTATCTTAATTTAGGAAACAGATAAATTGCAGTAAGTTTACAGGTCGGTATCTTGCTATCTAAAATCTTGCCGCTTGTTATTTGAAACTCTTGAGCCAAATAGGTTGGATTTACAAAGCAAGGTATTTTTAAAAATATATTTATTCGTTTTTTAAGATGTTATTTGAAACTGTAGGTTTACCTCTGAGCTAAAGCTGCTTTTCAGGTGGTTTGATAATGCTGTCATTGTCACTCAGTATGAAAACATATTTTAATTTCCTTTGTGATTTTTTTCTTTGACTATGGGTTAAGAGCATTATTTAGTAATTTCCATAAATTGGGATTTTCTAGTTATTGTTATTGATTTCTACTTTAATTGCACTATGATCAGAGAATATATTTGAACCCAGGAAGCTCTAAAGTTTTCCATTTGACCTTTCTGGTTTTGTTTCTCTTGTGTTCCTTTTCTATCAGATATTGGGTTTTTGAGTGTTTTTTGGTATTGCTTTAATGGCTTTTTAGCAATACCACTTTGCGTAATATTTTTAGAGCTAATTTTAAGATATCAGTCATTTGAAAATTATGCATATGGTCTGTTTTGATGAATACTCTTTGCACTTGTAATGAATGTATACTCTGCAGTTCTTGGGTCTAGTGTTCTGAAAATGTCAATTAGAGCAAGTCGGTTGATAGTGTTCAGATTTTTTGACTTCACTGACTCTTTTTTTTTTTTTTTTTGAGATGGAGTCTCCCTCTGTCGCCCAGGCTGGAGTGCAGTGGTACGATCTTGACTCACTGCAACTTCCGCCTCCCAGGTTCAGGCTGTTCTCCTACCTCAGCCTCCTGAGTTGCTGGGATTACAGGTGCGCACCACCATGCCCAGCTAATTTTTGTATTTTTAGTAGAGATGGGGTTTTACTGCGTTGGCCAGGCTGGTCTCAAACTCTTGACCACAGGTGGTCCTCCCGCCTAGGGCTTCCAAAGTGCTGGGATTGCAGGCGTGACCCACCGCGCCTGGCCTGGGTTTCTTTTTTTTTTTCTTGCAGTGGTGTGATCTCGGCTCACTGCAACCTCTGCCCCCTTGGGTTCAAGCAATTCTCCTGCCTCACTCAGCCTCCCTGGTAGCTGGGATTACAGGCATTCACCACCACGCCCGGTTAATTTTTGTATTTTTAGTAGAGATGGGGTTTTGCCATGTTGGACAGGCTGGTCTTGAACTCCTGACCTCAAATGATCCCCCTGCCTTGGACGCCCAGAATGCTAGGATTACAGGCGTGAGCCACTGCGCTCAGACCTGGGTTTCTTTTTAAGCAAAAAATAAATTTAATGAGGACCACATAAAAAACATTTGGTATTGGATTACGGTTGCAAGGGTCCATTTATACAAGGATTTTCATCTGCCTCTGTGACTCCTGCGACTGCAAGACCAACCCTTCCTTCTCCTTCTCCTGTTCCTTGTCCTCTTCAGGCTACTCAGTGTGAAGATGATGAAGGTGACCACCTTTATGGTGATTCACTTCCACTTAGTGAATAGTAAATGTAGTTTCTCTTCCTTATAATTTTCTTTTTCTTTTTTTTTTGAGACGGAGTCTCGCTCTGTCGCCCAGGTTGGAGTGCAGTGGCACGATCTCAGCTCACTGCAAGCTCTGCCTCCCAGGTTCATGCCATTCTCCTGCCTCAGCCTCCCGAGTAGCTGGGATCACAGGCGCCCGCCACCACGCCTGGCTAATTTTTTGTATTTTTAGTAGAGAAGGGGTTTCACCGTGTTAGCCAGGATGGTCTCGATCTCCTGACCTTGTGATCCAGCCACCTCAGCCTCCCAAAGTGCTGGGATTACAGGCGTGAGCCACCTGGCCTGGCCTCTTCCTTATAATTTTCTTAATAATATTTTGTCTAACTTACTTTATCACAAAAATACAGTAACATGCAAAATGTATGTTAATCAACTATTTAAGGCATCAGTCAATAGACTGCTAAGCTTTTGGGGAATCAGAAGTTATATATGGATTTTCTACTGTGTGGGGGGTTGGCGCCCCTATCTCCTGCATTATTCAATGGTCAACTGTAATTCTTTTGACTTCGCTTTTTCCTTTCTCAGGCCCTTGAAAAAAAATTGTTTTTCTTTTTTAGTTTTTAAATGATTTTCCAATGTCGGATAAATTATTTTGGTGAAACGGTAAGGATGAAGACATTGTTTCCTACACCTTAAGAAATAAGCAGCTACAAAAAGCTAGAGTATTGTACTGATCTCTGATTAAGCCAGATCCTCAAGTGATGGGGTATCTTTTTTTAAAAATTGCTGTGATTAGTCTTAGGGAGAAATGATGACCACCAAATTCTTCATAACATTTAAGGATTTACCCAGTAATCCTATATTGTGATTACTTGCAAGAAAGTTAACTAGAAGTAGTGGATGATCCTTTTTAGAATAATATTATTTGCGATTTAATATTTCTCTTTCTACTGTCTTAGTTGTGATCTTCTAAAATTTGATACCATTCACATAAAATAGTGATTATTTATATCAACACCATAGGAGTATTTTCAAGGTAGTTAGTCTTCTCAACCCTCTTTTTTTTTTTTTTTTTTTTTTTTGTGAGACGGAGTCTCTCTCTGTCCCCCAGGCTGGAGTGCAGTGGCGCGATCTTGGCTCACTGCAAGCTCCACCTCCTGGGTTCACCCCATTCTTCTGCCTCAGCCTCCTGAGTAGCTGGGACTACAGGTGCCCGCCACCATGCCCGGCTAATTTTTTGTATTTTTTTTTAGTAGAGACGGGGTTTCACCGTGTTAACCAGGATGGTTTCGATCTCCTGACCACGTGATCCACCTGCCTCGGCCTCCCAAAGTGCTGGGATTACAGGCGTGAGCCACCATGCCCAGCCTTCTCACCCTCTTTAACCCCAAGGTTGAAAGTGTCAGGTATGATACTTGTTTTTTTCATAAATTCTCAAATAGACCTATTTTAATATGGCACTCAAAAGACCTCTCTTGGAAGTTTCATTACACCTTTTTGGTATACTTTTGGAAGTACTTTTGGTACCTTTTGGAAGACTTAACTTGTTCTCTTTAACCTCCTATTTATTACAGAAGCATGTAGGCATTAGCTTTTATTCCTAGGGCATTAATATCTTTTTCCAGCTTTATTTTTTAGTATGCAGATATATAGATGAAGATGTAGAAGTGTTTTGTAGAAGAGCCGTTTACCTGGAAACCTATAGTGAAAAAGTTTCGTATGGTGCATTTTATTCTTCATTTTGTCTGGACATTTGAAGACCAAGAAAGAACATTATAAAATGGGCAGGGAAATGGTGGCTGTTTAGATACAGTATCAGTAGTTTGCTTTGTGGCTTCAAGTTTATAATCTTTCAAAATAGAATCGTGTATCCATTGAGCAATTTCAAAAGCTCCATAGTTGACCCCATGGCTTCTCGGGTAGGGCATGTGAATTTGTTCTTTCTGAAAATGTGTCCCCTTCCTCTGTGTAGCACTCAATCTCATTCCCTTTTTAGTGTCCTGGTGAAGACCTAGTTCTTGCCGGAGACAATTCCACTGCAGAAGCACTTTACTTAAAAGGACTTGCCAGGCTGGACAATGCCCGTTGACTTGGGGCAGGCCCTAGGCCTGCTGCCATCGCTGGCGAAGGCCGAGGACTCCCAGTTCTCAGAATCAGATGCTGCCCTTCAAGAGGAACTCTCCAGCCCTGAGACCGCACGCCAGCTTTTCAGGCAGTTCCGTTACCAGGTGATGTCTGGGCCTCATGAGACCTTGAAGCAACTTCGGAAGCTCTGTTTCCAGTGGCTACAGCCAGAGGTTCACACCAAAGAGCAGATCCTAGAGATCCTCATGTTGGAGCAGTTTCTGACCATCCTGCCTGGGGAGATCCAGATGTGGGTGCGGAAACAGTGTCCAGGAAGTGGAGAAGAGGCAGTGACCCTTGTGGAAAGCTTGAAGGGGGACCCCCAGAGACTGTGGCAATGGGTAAGCAGAGGGTATTATGATCTGCGAGTGAAACACAGGGCTCCTCTCTGGTCCCATCAGGTGTGTTGTCTTTTTTCTGATACCACTTATGACACAAAATGGGTGGGGCTTTTCACACCAATGGCCAATTCTGTGATTCTCTAACACCAGTACAGTGTCCAGCAATTCAGTTCTGAAGCTAACTCTGGAGGTTCAGGGCTCAATCCAAGACTGCTCCTGTTCTCAGATGCCAGTCACAAGTCCCAGGGGCCACCTGTACTTCTGACAAATTGGCTATAAATTCGGAGGTTCCCACAGTCTTCTCTTCAAGTTTGATAATTAGTTAGAATGACTTACAGAACTCAGGGAAGGATTTTACTTCCTGTTACTGACTTACTCTAAAGGATACAACTCATTAACAGCCAGAGAGAAGAGCTGCATAGAGCAAGGTGTGGGGGAAAGAGCGTGGAGCTTCCATGCTTCTCCTGGCGTGCTACGTTACCAGTACCTCCATGAGGTCACCAACCTGGAAGCTTCCTGAACCTCATGGTTTAGGGATTTTTATGGAGGCTTCACTGCTTTGGCACACTTGATACAGTCATTTGCCGTTGGTGATTGAGTATCTCCAGCTGCCCTCCCCTCCTCAGAAGCTGGGTGGAGATACTGAAAGTTCCAACCTTTTAATCTCAAGGTTGGTTCCTCTGGCAACCAGCCCCCATCCTGAAGCTATCTAGGAGCCTAGCATAAACTCAGGTGTGGTTGAGAAGGGCTCCTTATGAATAACAAAGACTCTTCTTTCACCTGTCCCTCAAGAAATTACCAGGGTTTTAGGAGCTCTGCGGGAATGGGAACTGGGGACAAAGACTAAATGTGTATTTCTTATTATACCACAGCTGGGTTCCCCCATACCTCACGTAATTCTAACACTCTCTGACTCTCAACACTCTTTAGCTATTGAGGATTGAGGGTAAAGTCTCCCAGCGCATTCCACCTTTAGACTAGAATGTTTGAGAAGTTATTTAAAAGATGCCTGAGTTTTCATTGGTGGCGCATATCCAGTAGAAGCACGTTAGTGGCATGTCTTGAAGGTCTCCCACGCCTGATTCGGGCCTCAGCTTTTGGTGTCTTTTGGGACGTTTCTTTCCCTGGTTCCTGCTGGACTAGAAATAAAAGCTGGTTTTCTCTTTCTCCACATCCTTAGAAATTGTCTTATGATCTGTTGTAGAGAGTAAGCTTTGTGTCTTTTAGAGATCCTTACTCTGGATTCTTCAGTAATTACTAATTAATATATGGTCTCTAGATCAGTATCCAGGTTCTAGGACAGGACATCTTATCAGAGAAGATGGAATCTCCAAGCTGCCAAGTGGGGGAAGTGGAGCCCCATCTTGAAGTGGTGCCTCAGGAGTTGGGACTTGAGAATTCATCCTCAGGGCCTGGGGAGCTTCTGAGCCACATCGTGAAAGAGGAATCTGACACAGAAGCAGAACTAGGTGAGGATGGTGCTGTGTGGTGTTCTCTTGGAGAGATTTTGGGATTGTGATTAGTAGGCCTAAGTGAGTTGAAATGGTATGCTGCTCAGATTGGCGTATCCCTGAGAGGTTTGCAAACAGGTTAGACCTAAATAAACCGCTCTTGTTTGGAGAGTCAAAGTCTGTGTTTTAAACTGCTTTATGACTGGGCCAGACCATTTGGATTTTGGCTCTGAGGAAGGAGGTGGGAGAACATATGGGTGAGACTGGAATGTTGGAGGGGGTTGGAGTGTGTCAGGGAGATAAACACAAGTCTTGAAATATAGATGGCAGTACAGGTATTGTTCAGGTATTGTTCTGATTTGTGAAGATTGTTATCTGCGCCCTCTGGGGAGTGGTTAAGGAAGACATCCAGATTCTGAAAACTTCCTCTCCTCACTTCAGCCCTGGCTGCCTCCCAGCCTGCCCGACTGGAGGAAAGGCTGATCAGAGACCAGGACCTCGGAGCCTCACTGCTCCCAGCAGCACCTCAGGTGAGCTGACGTACAAAAGCGATGAAAAGGAAACTTTTTACCTTTTATAATCTCATCCTCCTGCTTCTCTTCACCCCATTCTCCATCCTGAGGAAACCTCTGATCTGCTGTCTGTCACCATATGTTAGTTTACTTTTTCTAGAGTTTTGTAAAAATAGAATCATGCCAAATGTACTCTTATCTTTGTTCTTATGCATATAATGTGTATATATATACATATATATATATTTGCTTATTTCAGTGTATTCTCATTTTTTAAAACAATTTGATTTTGATGTGCCTTGGAGTCATTTTCACATTTCATGTAATTGGGATTTATTGAGTTTCCTAGCTCTGTGGGTGTATGGTTTTCACTAAACTTGGAAAATTTTTGGCCATTATTTCTAAAGCATTTTTTTTTCTGTCTCGCTTATTTCTCCTCTCCTTTAAGGACTTGGGAAATAATACCTGTGGAATGTGTATAATGATAATGTATATACATGTATCAGAGCTCTTCAAGTTGTCCCACAGCTTACTGATTGTTTTTCTGTTTTTGAAGTCTTGGTGTTTTATTTTGGACAATTTCTGTATGTCTTAAAGTTCATTAATCTTTTCTTTTATAGTATCTGATCTGCTGTTAATCTCATCCAGTATATTTTTCATTCTGTTATTGAAGTCTTGGTCTTTTATTTTGGACAATTTCTGTTTGTCTTCAAGTTCATTAATCTTTTCTTTTATAGTATCTGATCTGCTGTTAATCTCATCCAGTATATTTTTCATTCTGTTTTTGAAGTCTTGGTGTTTCATTTAGGACAGTTTCTATTTTGATGTCTTTAAGTTCATTAGTCTTTTCATCTCACAGCATCTAATCTGCTGTTAATCTCTTCCAGTATATTTTTCATTTTAGATGAATTTTTCACCTCTAGAAGTTTGATTTGGGGCTTTATTGTATCTTTCATGTCTATACTTAATGTGTTCAATTTTTTCTCTAGCTTCTTGAACATATGGAATATAGTTGTATTTGTATTAATATCCTTATCTACTGATTACTACCTGCATTGGTTCTGGGTCAGTTTTGATCAATGATTATTCTCATTATGAGATGTATTTTCCCACTTCTTTGTATGCCTGGTAATCTTTGTCTTTTTCGTTTGTTTTGAGACAGGGTTTCACTTTGTCTCCCAGGCTAGAGTGCAGTTGTGCAGTCATAGCTCACTGCAGCCTTGACCTCCCGGGCTCAAACCATACTCCTGCCTCAGCCTCCTGAGTAGCTAGAACTACAGGCATGTGCCACAATGCTTGGCTAATTTTTTTTTTTTTTTTTGAGACAGGGTCTTGCTGTGTTGCCTAGGCTGGAGTGCAGTGGCGCGATCTCAGCTCACTACAACCTCCGACTTCTTGGTTCAAGCAATTCTCCTGCCTCAGTCTCCTGAGTAGCTGGGATTACAGGCGTGTGCCACCATGCCTGACTAATTTTTGTATTTTTAGTAGAGATGGGGTTTCACCATGTTGACCAGGCTGGTCTCGAACTCCTGACCTCAAGTGATCCACCCAGCTGGGTCTCCCAGAGTGCTGGGATTACAGGCGGGAGCCACCATGCCCGGCCTGCTTGGCTAATTTTTAAATTTTTGTGTGTCTTACTATGTTGCCCGTGCCTGGTAATCTTTGATTGGGTATCACATTGGTGGGGTGCTATATATTTTTGTATTACTATAAATGTTCTTGAACTTTGCTATGGGGTGCAGTTATTTGGACACAGTTTATTACATGGCACCAGAGAAACATTTAGTCGAGGATTATTCTTTCCATGCTAAGGCACTTCCCTTCTGAGTATTCTGAGTAATCTGATGCCCCTTCATATACCAGGTTTTCCACTTTGCCTGGTGGAAATACGAACTGTTTCCAGCACTGTGTGAACTCAGGGGATTGTTCCCTCTGATTCTTTTGGGTGGTTATTTTCCAGACTTTGCGGGGACGCTCTGTAGATCTCTGGAGCTTTCTCTTTGTGCAGTTTCCTTCTCTCCAGTTTTTCTACCCTGTCGATTCTAAGGATCTTGGCATTTCCAGACTCTGAGCTCCTTCTGCTCAACTCAGGGAGGCTGCCTGGCTCAGCCTGGGTTTCCCTTCCTGTGCTGCTGCCTGGATCCTCTGTCTAGGCAGTAAGTTTGGATAACTAGAGCTCACTGAATTTGCTTTCCCACTTTCAGGGATCTTGTTCTGCTCTGCTTGTGTAATGTGAAATGTCTGAAAACTATTGTTTCATACATTTTGTCCCATTTTTAGTTGTTTCAGGCAGAAGGTAAATTCAACAATTCCTAATACTTCATTTTTGCTTGTACATAAAAGTCTCTGGGACAGATTTATGTTGATATTTAGTTAACAATTTTGAAAAGTTGTATTTTGTAAAAAATTTTTTTTTCACGAACCTATACATCTTAATTAAAACATCATTTAAAACGTTGAAGGAACTCCTCTTGGGACTTGCCTTGCAATCTGCTGTAGCGTGAATATGAAAATAGAGAAGGCAGTAGGTAATGCTGTGTTTCAGACCAGGGTCTGAGCTTCAGCTCTCCAGGCTCAGATATATAAAAACTAGAATACCAATTTCATAGTTTACTCTGGGGGAAGGTGGATGGGGAGGTGGCAGGGGAGAGAAATATCTTTTTAGTGAATCAAAGGTACCCTTCTGCCTGCTTTCAAGGTGCCCAGAAACCAAATTGTTAAGCAAGATGTTGCTTGGTGAAAAAGATTTGGGTGTTCTGTGGAATATGTCAACCAGGCTTGGAGGATTATTGTTGTTTCTGTAGTAGGTACAGAGTATCCTCACCTGTTCTGGATAACTTAAAGTCAAAAGATTTAAAATGCTCATCAGCACCAATTTGTTTTTTACAACCGTATTTACATATATATGTGTGTCTGTATTTCCCTACCTTCAGATGATAACTAGTTAGCAACCATTTAAGTCAAATGAACAAAAGTTGTCCCTACCCAATCTGAATATCCCCTCCAAACTAACAGCAATTATTTGCATCAGAAAGACTTTGATATTTAATGGAATCCTTTGGAAGTAAAAGGAATTTTTAAATTAATCACTCCCTCTAATCTCTTAAATAAGTGAGGAACTTCATAAATAATGCCAGAATAATGATACGGTATTACTATCAGTACACAGTAGTTATTTCATTAGTGGAAACCATGACTCGGTTGGAACCTCACATAGACTCCAGCAGTGCATTTACTCACCTTCCCCTGTTTTCAGACTTAAAGGAAAGGAACAGCGTGTAACTAAGTGTAAGTCAGTTGTAATATCTTATAAACCCACAAGATGGTGCCAGTTCCACACAAAAATAGAATTTTCCCATCAAATCCCATGTGTCTGTCTTTCAGGATAGAAAGTTAGGTTTTTCCGTCTCTTCTAAATATGAGAAAGAGGCAAGCTGGCTGCCATTGGCGTCTTGCCTCTTCAGTAGGAGGTTTTATTCGAAGTACCCAGCTTCTTGGCAGTTTCTTGAGTAAATTTGTGTTTTTAAGCTGGAGGTACCCTGTTAGTGCTCCTGAAGCAACTTTTCTGGTTTTTGAGTGAGCTGATTTTGACCCTTGGGGGTTTTGGTGGCTGTATCCTTTTCTGCCTTGTACTCTTCTTGGTAGTTACTGTTCTGGTGTTCATGGAATAGATCCTGTGTCAGCAAGCCAGGCAGCCAGGCAGATATTACTGTGCTTGGCAAGTGCATCCTTTTCTCTGCTAGCACTGAAGCCAAGGTCCATGTGTTCTGACCACAAAGACTGAGAACTCCTGTGTTCAGCAATGTTTGCTCAAGTGATTATTTTCAGGAGGTTGTTAAAATAGCTGCATTCACAGAAGATTAACAGAATAAGCTGCTAGCTGTTTATACTTTAAAAATTAAAAAATTTAAATTAAAGTTCACATTAAAAATGTGGTTATAGTTAATAGTTGACTGTGTAATTCAGTATATTGAGGTCGCTTTTCAGCTTCCTATCCTTCCCACCCAAAAAAGTCCAAACCCTCTTTCGTTTGTGTGTTTGGCTTAGCACCTGCTAATTGAACAGTTTTTGGTATCTCTTTTCTCCTTGAGCCATTTCCACTTCCCTTTGATGTGCTAGGGGGCAGACTTGACTTAGGACTGAGAGTGTATTAGTCCGTTTTCACACCGCTGATAAAGACATACCTGAGAATGGGCAGTTTACAAAAGAAAGAGGTTTAATTGGACTTACAATTCCATATGGCTGGGGAGGCCCCCAATCATGGTGGAAGGCAAGGAGGAGCAAGTCACATCTTTCAAGGATGGCGGCAGGCAAAGAGAGAGCTTGTGCAGGCAAACTCCCATTTTTAAAGCCATCGGATGTTATCTTATTCACTATGATGAGAACAGCACAGGAAAGAACTGCCCACTTGGTTCAGTTATCTCCCACCAGGTCCCTCTCACAATACATGGGAATTATGGGAGCTACAAGATGAGATTTGGGTGGGGACACAGAGCCAAATCATATCAGAGAGTGCCTTCCCCAAACAGTATATTGTGTACAGTAGGAGGATGACTTTGTAGTTCCTTTCCTCATTTCTATTCCCTGAAGCCTGGCTATTCATGTCTATCCACTTTGCGGTTTCTGAAAGTGTGCAGAATCCCTTAATTCTCTCTGCAAACCCTTGGGGTGAGACTGGGAGACTGCATGTGATGGTAATAATATATATTATCTACTGAGGACCTGTTTGCTAAGGGCTTTATTTCACCCTGGTAACATATATCAAGTGCCTCTTCTGTCCTGGACAGGGTCTTGGGAACTGGGAAGGTATTATACAATGGAGAGGATGACAGAGTCCTTTTCTCATGGAGCTTACATTGCTAGTAGAGGCAACAGTTAATCAAATACTTACATGTGTGCACATACATTTGTACATACACATAAATAGTTAATAAATGGATAAATACTATAAATAAAAAAAGTACAGTGTGCTATGAAAACAGGTGACACTTGCATTATTTATCTCAAACCTCACAACACTTTTTTGAGTTCAGTGCCATCATTAGGTGAGGCCTGAAACTCTGGAAGGTTAAATAACTTGCTCAAGGTTGCACAGCTAGAAAGTGGCAACGTTGGGACTTAAAACTCAGTACGTCTGACTCCAAAAAATGGGCTGCTAATCCCTTTGCTATACAATCTGAGTTTCTAATAGTCAGCTTCTTGGTAGAAGACTGAAATTTGAATTCATGAAAGCAGACCCTAGCTGTATGGTATTCCCAGTTTTGAGTCTCCAGTCTGTCGTTTCATAGGAAAAGCAGGGCTTCTTTTGGAGATTGGGACACCTTGCTCCAGAGAACCTACCAGTTTTCCACTATCTGGAAAGAAAACTAATTTAATGTTAGACTCTAAATGCAGAACTTTAAGATATTTCAAGTATGGCTATAACATCTCTCTCTTCTCTGAATATACCAATCTTTGTTTCAGGGTGAAGCTTACAATGCAGTTGACTCTTAACTACATCTTACTGATTCGCACTTGCTTTTCCAACAGATTCCTTTTTAACTTCTTTCTTTGCTTTTTGAATTTCCTGATTTTAATTAAATAGTGGGACTATCAGACTCTTCCTCCTCAAAGACGTCTAGTACAAGCACTTGAGTTAAAAAACAAAAACAAAAACAAAAAACAAATAGTACCGGCCAGGCAAGGTGGCTCACACCTGTAATCCCAGCACTTTAGGAGGCCAAGGCGGGCAGATCACAAGGTCAGGAGATCGAGACCATCCTGATGGTGAAACCCCATCTCTACTAAAAATACAAAAATTAGCCAGGCACGGTGGCATGTGCCTATAGTCCAAGCTTCCTCGGGAAGCTGAGGCAGGAGAATCGCTTGAACCTGGGAGGTGGAGGTTGCAGTGAGCAGAGATTGCTCCACTGCACTCCAGCCTGGGCGACAGAGTGAGATTCCATCTAAAAAAAAAAAAAAACCCAAATAAAAACAAATAGTATGGAAAAGGCTCCTGCCCTCTATACGTTCTCCACTTTTAAATAATTCACCTGAAGAGGTGCAGAATGTAAAGCCTAGATGTTTTCTTACCAAGGAAAGAAACACTGATATAGGGACTGTTGTTTTCCCTTTGGCCTCTTTGTCCCTTGAACCACTCTGCTGGGATTTCTCAGGTCTTGCGATGGCCAGGATCCTATGGCACGTTTCTGTCTTCTCAGCTTTCCTTTAGGCAGGGAAGGCAGGTTCAAACACCTTCATTGGAGTCATGGTATTGTATTGCTTTTTTTTTTTTTTTTCCAGGAACAGTGGAGACAACTGGATTCCACTCAAAAGGAGCAATACTGGGATCTCATGCTGGAGACCTATGGGAAAATGGTCTCAGGAGGTGAGGGTGTGGGTTAGTCTGATGGAAGGAGGTAGAAGGACTGGAAAACTGTGAGGCATTTTCCATGCACTTATAGAGACATCTGCTGAACTGAAAATCGCCAGGTGAAAGAAATCGTTAGGGACACAGTTGGGAACTGGGGCAAGTTGGAGCTAGCAGAATTAACAGTAAGAACTTCCTTGTATTGAAAGTATTCCGTGTGCCAGGAACTGTTTGTGGGTACATTGCACGGAGTAACTTCTTTAATCTATGAAATTGATGATGGTATTCTCATTTTAAGCCTGATGAAAGTGAGTGTCAGATCAAATACTTACCCACTGCCACATAGCTCATAAGTGGGCTGAGTTATGATGGAACTCAGCTGTGGCTGGTTCTGAGTCCATGCTCTTTTCTACTAAACCACACTTGTCAACCAACCATTGGTGGGATCCCCATCATGATTCTCACACCAGCCTGCCAGGTAGTCTACAGACCTTTCTGTCCACCTGCCTAGACTCTTCTTTTCATGGCCTTTACCATCTGTCAAGGTCATCCTGTGAGTACTGGTGTCTTACAAGCTCCACACACTGTTCTAAGGTGAGTTTCTGCAAGTGTCCAGAGCCTTCATATTTTCCCTCATGCGTAGGGTGCTCCTTTGAAAGACACAGCTTGAGCTCCCAGTCTTCCCTATTCATCCAGGCCCACCATACATCTTTCTCTCTATAGCAGGCATTTCCCATCCCAAATCTGACCTGACTAATTCAATAGAATTTGGGGAAGAGCTGGCAGGAATATACCTTCATGTCAATGAGAAGATCCCAAGACCCACCTGCATAGGTGAGTAATCTTTCATTGGTCTGGAATCATTTCTGACTGCCTGTCATTAAATTGGAGGTGATTGGGGAGGTGGTGAAGGAGGTCAGGGGAGGCAGAATATTCTATTACGTTGGTTATAACTAGCCATGATCTGATTGGTTTGATTTAACTATTGAGATTGAGTCTACTTATCTCTGGCTATAGGGCTGTTGACACATATTTAACTATGGAAGGAAGACCACACATCAGACCTGCTGCCTTTAATCTTGTCTGTTATTTTAGCTTTCTTTCTCTGAAAGAATTAAGATTCACACAAATTAAGACCAATACAAATAGAGTAGAATTTCATTGCAAAGGATTATGTAGCAGCCATTATTACCCTTCCTAGCAAGAAGTTAGAGTATCTAGACATAAAACAAACAGAAAAAAATGTTTTATCTAATCCCTATGCACCTAACACTTCTTAAAACAGCAGCATCAACAAATACTTCGTATAAATAATTTATTTAAGACTAGGGAAGAAGAAATCTTAACTTGTTATCTTGTAAAATAGTCATTCTTTGCTTTCTACACTTTTTCTGAAACATTGAAGTTACGTAAAAACTAATTGCGAAACCTACACACACACACACACACACACACACACACACACACACACACTTTTATATATACAGTAAATCCCAGAACCTTAGAGGAAGAAGAGGACCAAGGATGGGAATTGTAGGGCAAGCCATTCTTTCTCCCCAGTGGCATCTAATTAATTATTTTCTTTTGCTAATATACCACAGAGAGAGCAATCATTAGCTGAGATATTTGATTTTAATTTTACACAACGTATTTATCAGGCCATTTCACAAGGATTTCTTCTGGAACAGAATTTTTCAAACTGCATTGCATAACCAATTAGTGAGTCGTGAAATCATTTGATAGAGTTACAACCAGCGTTAAAAAAAAACACAATAAGATTGAAGAGGAAATATCAGATGTAGGGGTGGGTAGTGTTTCAGGAAATATTTGTTTAAAATATGTGTGCATGTACTGTGTTTCAATATTAATATATCGATTACTGCCTTAGCTTGGGCTGCTGTAACAAAATACCATAGACTAAGTTGCTTAAACAACAAACATTTATTTCTCACATTTCTGGAGGTTGGGAAGTCCAAGATCAGGGTGCCAGTATGGTTTGCTGACCTCGCTTTTCTTGCTGTGTCTTCACATAGCAGAGAGGGGGGTTGGGGAGAGGAGAGGCGGAGAGGAAGGGAGAGACTGGGAGAGGGGGAGGTGAGAGAGGGAGAGGAGGAGACAGGAAACTAATCCCATCATGAGGACTCCACCCTTAGGACCTCATCTAGACCTAATCCCTCCCTAAGGCCCCAGGCCCCATCTCCAAATACCATCATACTGGGGGCTAGGGTTTCAACGTATGAATTTGGGGGATCACAGTTTAGTCCATAGAACTTATAGTGGGTTGTAGTCAGAAAAGGTTGAAAATATTGCTTTGGAGGTTGTTGCAGTAGGATTTTTTTTTGGACAGGATTTATTTTTAAGACGAGTTTTGGGTTCATAGTAGAATTGAATGGAAGCTGCAGAGATTTCCCATATAGCTCCTAGTAGTCTGACCTTATTTGCTATATATAGCTCACTATATTCCTACTCGTTTTTTGTTTGTTTGTTTTTCCTTCATCCCACCTCTGCTGACATGGTCCCATTAGATACTGCCTTTAACCAGATGTGAGGAGTCTACAAGGGTCATCCTGCCTTGATAGGCAAAAAAAAAAAAAAAAAAAGCTATTATAGGTTCCTGTCTCTACAAAAAATGCAAAAAAAAACAAAAAACCGGGCATGGTGTGAGCACCTGTAATCCCAGCTACTTGGGAGGCTGAGGCAGGAGAATCGCTTGAACCTGGGAGGCGGAGGTTGCAGTGAGCCGAGACCGCGCCATTGCACTCCAGCCTGGGCAACAAGAATGAAACTCTGTCTCAAAAAAAAAAAAAAAAAAGAGGATATGTGGAAAGAGGTTTAGGAAGATGAATCCGGCAGCAACGTGTAGGACAGATAGGAAGGGAACACTTGGAGGAGAGAAGTCTGCAGGAAGTCAGTGCAGGAGTCGGGCTGTCCGGGGAGGAGACCTAGAATAATTGTGGAAGTCACAGTAACCAAATGGGAAAGGCCTGGTTTGAAAAATACAACAGTTTGCCAGTTTACCAAATCTGGACTCAGATCAGGGGCAAAAGTCAATATAGAGAGTGAATATGCTGTTATAGTTGACCATATGGAAGAACAGCTCCTAGTTAAAACAGGTCAGCAGGGGGCAGTCTCAAAAAGCCATATACTTACCCTGCTAATAAAAATCCAAAGGATTAAAGTTTTTAAAGTAGTTATCTGGAAGAATATAACATGCAAGAATAGTTTTAAAAAAATGTTTTGAAAGAAGAATGTTTCATGAATGTTAGATCTGAAAATATTGTCTGTTGTATTATAAAGGTAAAAAATCATTAAAATAGTGTGATTCTGATATAAAAATAGATGCACAGATCAATAGAACAGAAAAGGGAGCCTAGAAAAGAGATGCTGGTCTGTATAAGAATTTAGCATGATCAGGCTGGTGCGGTGGCTCACGTCTGTAATCCCAGCACTGTGGGAGGCTGAGGCGGGGGGATCATTTGAGGTCAGGAGTTCGAGACCAGCCTGGCTAACATGGTGAAACCCCATCTAACTACACTACAAAAATTAGCTGGGCATAGTGGCGGGCACCTGTAATCCCAGCTACTTGGGAGGCTGAGGCAGGAGAATCGCTTGAACCTGGGAGGCAGAGGTTGCAGTGAGCCAAGATCACGCCATTGCACTCCAGCCTGGGTGACAGAGCAAAACTCCATCTCAAAAAAAAAGTTTTCATGACCATGACAGATAAATGATTATTTTTGTTGATATAGAAAGAGTTAAAGAAAGTTGATAAGAAAAATGTGCTTTCCCAGTAAAATATGGGCAGCAGTCTTCGAGTATGAAAAATAGCTCATAAATGTGATAAAGATTCATCCTTTCATAACTTAAGAATTAAAATTTAAAACAATGAAAAACCACTTTTCATCCATCTAAATGGCATAAGTTTAAAAATATTCAATATTTAAGTATTGAATACCCACTTCCCCCTCTGCCCAATTTCACATATGAGAGGATGGCAGAGTTGTTCTGGAAGTTGGGTTGCCAGTAGGTGTCAAGAGCCTTAATATTTATGCCCGTTGACACAGTAATTCTACTTTGAGAAATTCCTTTGAGATATTGATGAGAAATGTGGGCAAAAACTTATGAAGAAAACTGCTGATCACAGCATTATTTGTAGTCGCAAAAACACAATAAGCAAATTAGATTTCCATGGTAGGGGAACAAATTATATGTTTATTATGACATCTTCTTGATGGGCCATTACTCAGCTCTTTAAAATGATATTTATAAAGGCTTTTTTAAAAACACGAGAAAGTACCTTTGCCATTTGAGAGGAATATATTCTAAGGCTTTTATTTTATTTTATTTTATTTTTAGATTCAGGGACATTCTAAGGCTTTTTGACTTAACAAGTTCAGATCTAGCTCTCTAGAAGATGTCTAGATCCCTGGCAGACAATTGAAAAGACACTAATATGTGAAAGAGAAAGGTAAATGGCATCTTTAGATCTATATAGTTAAAATAATTTATAAAAGTTGAAAATCCTACCACCAAAATAAAAATTTTCTATTTGCATCATTAAGTACTATAACCAAAAACCCAAGTTACGATGAGAAAAACAAACTTCCAGTTGCTAGTGTGATTTAATAAAGGGCATGTAAATACTAGATTCAAGCACAGATCAAGGGATTCACTTTTATAGTAAAGCCCCGCTGCATTGCAGCTGTGGTAAAATGACACGTGCATTTCACAGATTTTGGGCGTCTTATGAATGGGAGAGGGAGACTCTATATTACATTGATTAATGCCACCATTCACAATTAAATGCTCCATAGCTAGATATAGAACTATATGTACAATATGACACAAATTATGTCAGAAAATAGCATATACCTGCATACATATAGGTTAAATTAAAAAGACTGAAAGGAAATGTATGCTCATAGTTGTTATCTCTGGGTAGTAAGATTGAGGCGGATTTGGTTTTCTTCTGTATATATTTCTCTCTCTTCAGTTTTTTTTTTTAGTTACCATATTTATCTTTTATATATAATCAGATAAAAATCACTTTAAAAGCAGTAGTTGCCTATAATATACTTGTTTTTTTCCTGGTCCTTAAGAAATACATGTGGCTTTATTTACGGAGTGATCACTTTATGAGTACTCCTGTGTTGTTTAAAAATCCTCAGCTCCAGAGCTGAACCATTTAGCCTTGAACCCAGGACAGGGGAAGTGAGTTTGAACATTTGGGCCATATGGTAGTTTTCTTTCTCACTTACTAATGCCCTAAAAAAAAAAAAAAAAAAAAAAAAAAGAAAATGAATGTTTTATGATGACCCTCTCTTTGACATATGAGTTAGAAAACAGGGCATAGCACTTGAACCATTTCAAATCTTCTTTCTTCTTTTAGGAGATAGACAAGAGAATGACAAGGAGAACCTAAATTTGGAGAATCACAGGGACCAGGAGCTCCTGCATGCTTCCTGTCAAGCTTCAGGAGAGGTTCCTTCTCAGGCTTCCTTGAGGGGCTTCTTCACTGAGGATGAGCCAGGATGCTTTGGAGAAGGAGAGAATCTCCCTGAGGCTCTGCAAAACATTCAGGATGAGGGAACAGGGGAACAGCTGTCTCCTCAAGAAAGGATTTCTGAGAAACAACTAGGTCAGCATTTGCCTAATCCTCATTCAGGAGAAATGTCCACCATGTGGCTTGAGGAGAAGAGAGAGACCTCCCAGAAGGGGCAGCCAAGAGCCCCCATGGCCCAGAAGCTCCCCACCTGCAGGGAGTGTGGGAAGACCTTTTATAGGAATTCTCAGCTTATTTTTCACCAAAGAACTCACACCGGAGAGACATACTTTCAGTGCACCATCTGCAAAAAAGCCTTTCTGCGGAGTTCAGACTTTGTGAAGCATCAGAGAACTCACACGGGAGAGAAGCCCTGTAAATGTGATTACTGTGGGAAAGGCTTTAGTGACTTCTCAGGATTGCGCCACCACGAGAAAATCCACACAGGAGAGAAACCCTATAAATGTCCTATCTGTGAGAAAAGTTTCATTCAGAGATCAAACTTTAATAGACATCAGAGGGTTCACACTGGAGAGAAACCTTATAAATGTTCGCACTGTGGGAAAAGTTTCAGCTGGAGCTCGAGCCTTGACAAACATCAAAGATCCCACTTAGGAAAGAAGCCCTTTCAATAGCCAGTAACCAAACTCTCTTTCCCCATTTCTATCTCCCAGCCCAGTCACAAAAATACTCAGCTCCATCAAGAGGAATTGTGTCTAAGAGGATACCCCTGTTAATCTCCTTTTTTCTTGGATTGGAGAGGAGAGAATCTGGACATGGCTTTGGACTTGGAGGATATCTTGGATTGGATTGCACAATGGCTTAAATTCTTGATTCTGCCTCAGGAGAAAGAATAGTCTTCATGTTTCCACTCATCCTTCCTTTGGACCCATCGGGGAAAAAGTCTAAATTGGAGATCCAGTTTTAGAAGTGCTTTCTGGGAAGCATTTAATGGGATTAGCTGTAGTCACTGCTTATGGGAAGAACCTCAGATCAGCCCCTTAAAATGAGTTCTAGAGCAGGTCTTCTGTTCCAGAAGGGGAGAAGCATAGAGGGCCTGTGAGCTCACGTGTGTTCTTTGTCATAGGGGTGAAAAACTAACTTCAAGTGTCCCTTGTTTGAAATAAACTTAGCAGAGTCACTTTCTATCTTATTTGTTTGTTCACTGTGTGTTTGACTGTATTTCAAAGCACATTATTTCATAGAAGACCCTAGGCAGTTGAACTCCAAAGTCAGCCCCTATAAACCTCAAGTTCATAATGTAGCAGAACAGTAATAGGAAAGTCCTAGGCTAATGTTCAGACGATCGGAGCTTGGCCAGTGCTGGCAACACCTTTATCTCAGGTAAGTTTGTTTTTGGTGTCCTCTTTCTGAGCCACCCTTCCACTTGATCTCTTGCCTCAAGCTGCCCCTTTCTCCTGGCATCCCACATGGGCTGTCATTTTTGCCAAAGTGTGCTCTATGCTTTAAAATTACCTCTGTTATAGTCTAATTTTGTCTGTGAGTGTTTGTTAGGAAGAAATTGATAGCATTGATCTAGTTTATAATACTCTCTAGTGGTTTATTAACACATGTATCTAAACTGTACAATTGTACTTGTCTCCACAAGTTAGATGCCTCAAAGTGTCCTGCCTGTATAGTGAGTTTCATGCGCGTCCGTGTGAAGAGAACACCAAACAGGCTTTGTGTGAGCAACATGGTTGTTTATTTCACCTGGGTGCAGGTGGGCTGAGTCCGAAAAGAGAGTCAGCGAAGGGAGATAGGGGTGGGGCCGTTTTATAGGATTTGGGAAGGTAATGGAAAATTACAGTCAAAGGGGGTTGTTCTCTGGTGGGCAGGGGCGGGGGTCACAAGGTGCTCAGTGGGGGAGCTTCTGAGCCAGGAGAAGGAAATTCCCAGGGTTAATCACTCAGTTAAGTTGGGGCAGGAACAAATCACAATGGTGGAATGTCGTCAGTTAAGGCGGGGCAGGGCCTTTTCACTTCTTTTGTGATTCTTCAGTTACTTCAGGCCATCTGGGCGTATAGGTGCAAATCACAGGGGATGCGATGGCTTGGCTTGGGCTCAGAGGCCTGACATTCCTGCCTTCTTCTATTAATAAGAAAAATAAAACAAAATAGTGTTGAAGTGTTGGGGCGGCGAAAATTTTTGGGGGGTGGTATGGAGAGAGAATGGGTGATGTTTCTCAGGGCTGCTTCAAGCAGGATTAGGGGCGGTGTGGGAACCTAGAGTGGGAGAGATTAAGCTGAAGGGAGATCTGTGGTAAGGGGTGATATTGTGGGGTTGTTAGAAGAAACATTTGTCGTATAGAATGATTGGTGATGGCCTGGATACGGTTTTGTATGAATTGAAAAACTAAGTGGAATAAGAGAAGGAGAAAAACAGGTATAAAAGGACTAAGAATTGGGAGGACCTAGGACATCTAATTAGAGAGTGCCTATGGAGGTTCAGCATAGTCCTGCCAGCAAAGATTATTTATTCAAGAGTTAAGAGTGGCAGTTTGGGGATAGGACGAGGAGATATCAGCTGTGATGGCTTGGAGAAACAGTGTAAACCGGCAGTGTAAACAAGAGCAGGGCATGTATGAGTAGTTGAGAATGGTGAATAGGAGTATGACTAGACGGAAGATAGTAGGGATGACAAGTTATTTGGGGGCATAGTCGAAGTTGGTCTGGTGTCTGGAATGAGACTGGGGCCTAATAAAAAGGAGCGTCTATACAGGAGCTTAAATGGGCTGTACCTTGTAGCATTCTGAGGACAGGTCTGACTTCTGAGAAGGGAAAGTGGTAAAAGTATTGTCCAGTCCTTTTTAAGTTGGTGGCTGAGCTTGGTGAGGTGTGTTTTTAATAGACCATTAGTCTGTCACTGAATACTAAGAGCCTGAAAAAATGCTTGGCTGATTTGACTAATAAAGGCTGGTCTGTTATCAGACTGTATAGAGGTGGGAAGGCTAAACTGAGGAATTATGTCTGACAGAAGGGAAGAAATGACTACGGTGGCCTTCTCAGACCTTGTAGGAAAGGCCTCTAAAAGTATTAAAGCAGCGGCAGCCGCTGCACGCAGACATGAGGGCTAGGCTAAAACAGTAAGGTCAAGTTGTTTGGACAGAAAGGCTACAGGGTGCGGTCCTGGCTCTTGTGTAAGAATTCTGACTGCATTAACCATGCCTAGGAAGGAAAGGAGTTTGTTGTTTTGTAAGGGATTGAGGTTTGGGAGATTAATCAGACACGATCAGCAGGGAGAGCTCGTGTGTTTTTACGAGAATTATGCCGAGATAGGTAACAGATGAGGATGAAATTTGGGCTTGACTGAAGTAATGGGGGCTGTCTGTGAAGCCTTGCGGCAGTACAGCCCAGGTAATTTGCTGAACCTGATGAGTGTCAGGGTCAGTCCAAGTGAAAGCGAAGAGAGGCTGGGATGACAGGTACAAAGGAGTAGTAAAGAAAGCACGTTTGAGATCCAGAACAGAATAATGGATTGTGGAGGGAGGTATTGAGGATAGGAGAGTATATGGGTTTGGCATCATAGGGTGGATAGGCAAAACAATTTGGTTGATAAGGCATAGATCCTGAACTAACTTGTAAGGCTTGTCTGGTTTTAGGACAGGTAAAATGGGGGAATTGTAAGGAGAGTTTATAGGCTTTAAAAGGCCATGCTGTAGCAGGCGAGTGATAACAGGCTTTAATCCTTTCAAAGCATGCTGTGGGATGGGATATTGGCATTGAGCGGGGTAAGGGTGATTAGGTTTTAATGAGATGGTAAGGGGTGCATGATCGGTCACCAAGGAGGGAGTAGAGGTATCTTATACTTGTGGGTTAAGGTGGGGGATACAAGAGGAGGACGCAAAGGAGGCTTTGGATTGGGAAGAAGGGCAGCAATGAGATGTGGCTGTAGTCCAGGAATAGTCAGGGAAGCAGATCATTTGGTTAAAATATCTCGGCCTAATAAGGGAACTGGGCAGGTGGAGATAACTAAAAAAGAGTGCATAAAAGAGTGTTGTCTAAGTTGGCACCAGAGTTGGGGAGTTTTAAGAAGTTTAGAAACCTGGCTGTCAATACCCACAACAGTTATGGAGGCAAGGGAAACAGGCCCTTGAAAAGAAGGTAATGTGGAGTGGGTAGCCTCCATATTGATTAAGAAGGGGACGGACTTACCTTCCACTGTGAGAGTTACCTAAAGCTCGGCGTCCGTGATGGTCTACGGGGCTTCCGAGGCGATCAGGCAGCGTCAGTTTTCAGCCGGTAAGCCAAGAAGGAGTCAGTCAGAGAGCCCTGGGTCAGAGTTCCAGGGGCTCTGGGAGTGTCTGCCAGGTGAGTTGAACAGTCCGATTTCCAGTGGGGTCCCGTACAGATGGGACACGGCTTAGGAGGAATCCTGGGCTGCAGGCATTCCTTGGCCTGGTGGCCAGATTTCTGGCACTTGTAGTAAGCTCCTGGGGGAGGAGGTTCTGGAGGAACGCCTGGCTGCTGCAGTTCAGGCGTTTGGAAGTTCTTGTGTGCTGGAGATGTGGCTGGGGTTTGTCTCACAGTGGAGGCAAGGAATTGCAACTTTTTTCTGTTATTGTACACCTTGAAGGTGAGGTTAATTAAGTCCTGCTGTGGGGTTTGAGGGCCAGATTCCAATTTTTGGAGTTAATGTCGGGAGCAGATTGGGTAATAGAATGTATATTGAGAATAAGACGGCCTTTTGACCTTTTAGGGTCTGGGGCTGTGAAGCGCCTCAGGGTTGCTGCCAAACGAGCCATGAACTGGGTTTTTATATTTGGTGAAAAAGAGCCTAAACGCTATCTGATCTGGGATAAAGAAAAAGGAGCATTAACCTTGACTATGTCTTTAGCTCCAGCCACCTTTTTAAGAGTAAATTGCTGGGCAGGTGGGGGAGGGCTAGTCACGGAATGAAACTGTAAGCCGGAGCAGGTGTGAGGAGGGGAGGCGATAAAAGGATTATAGGGTGGAGGAGTGGAGGCTGAGGAAGAATTGGGACCTAGCTTGGCCAGGCGAGGAGGGGAGAGGTCAGATGGGTCTGTAGAAAAGGAAGATTAGAAAGACTCAGCGACGCTTGGGGTTGGGACTGAGGGGACAGGCGGGAGATTTGGGACGAGTTGCATTGGGCACAGAGACTAGGAATGGACTGATGTGTAAAAGAATGCCTGGACGTCAGGCATCTCAGACCATTTGCCCATTTTACGACAAGAATTAGTTAGATCTTGTAGGATGGAAAAATTGAAAGTGCCGTTTTCCGGCTATTTGGAACTACTGTGGAGTTTGTATTGGGGTCAAGCGGCATTGCAGAAGAAAATAAGACGCCTAGATTTTAGGTCAGGTGAGAGTTGAAGAGGTTTTAAGTTCTTAAGAATACAGGCTAAGGGAGAAGAAGGAGGAATGGAAGGTGGAAGCTTGCCCATAGTGAAGGAGGCAAGCCCATAGTGAAGGAGGCAAGCCCAGAGAAAAGAGAGCGTAGAGACACGGAGGGAAGGGGTTCGGGGGTTCTTACCTTCCAGAAAAGCGGGAGGGGGGGGTCGGGGCGCGGAAATAAGGCATTGGGGCGCAGAGATAAGGGATTGGGGCGCAGAGATAAGAGGTTGGGGCGTGGAAATAAGGGATTGGGACGCAGAGATAAGAGGTTGGGGCGTGGAAATAAGGGACTGGGGCGCAGAGATAAGAGGTTGGGGTGTGGAAATAAGGGATTGGGGCGCAGAGATAAGGGATTGGGGCGCAGAGACAAGAGGTTGGGGCGTGGAAATAAGGGACTGGGGCGCAGAGATAAGAGGTTGGGGTGTGGAAATAAGGGATTGGGGGGTTCTTGCCCCCTAGGAAAGCGGGACTTGCCGCTAAGGGTGAAGGAGAAGGGGTTGAGGGGTACTTGCCCCTGCCCCAGAAAAGCAGAGAAGGGGTAGAGACAAGAGAAGGGGTTGGGGTACTTGACCCTTCCCCAGAAAAGCGGGACTTGCCACTAAGGGTGAAGGACCAAGGCAGGCGTCCCTGTGTGGTCTGACACCCTTGAAATGTGAGTGTATAATCAGAGAGGTGTCCCTGCAATGATTAAACACCAAGGGAAGGCTGCCTTCCCAGTCCGTGACCGGCGCCGGAGTTTTGGGTCCACGGATAAAACGTGTCTCCTTTGTCTCTACCAGAAAATGAAAGGAATTGAAATTAAGAGAAGGGAGAGATTGAAGTGTGGCGCCAAGATTGAAAGGAGAAAGAGGTTGAGGGATAGTGAGGGAGGTTGGAGAAGAGAGTAAAAAGAGGCCACTTACCGGATTTGAGATTGGTGAGATGTTTCTTGGGCTGATCAGTCTGAGGACCTGAGGTCGTAGGTGGATCTTTCTCATGGAGCAAAGAGCAGGAGGACGGAGGATTGATCTCCCAAGGGAGGTCCCCCGATCCGAGTCACGGCACCAAATTTCATGTGCGTCCGTGTGAAGAGACCACCAAACAGGCTTTGTGTGAGCAACATGGTTGTTTATTTCACCTGGGTGCAGGTGGGCTGAGTCCGAAAAGAGAGTCAGCAAAGGGAGATAGGGGTGGGGCCGTTTTATAGGATTTGGGAAGGTAATGGAAAATTACAGTCAAAGGGGGTTGTTCTCTGGTGGGCAGGGGCGGGGGTCACAAGGTGCTCAGTGGGGGAGCTTCTGAGCCAGGAGAAGGAAATTCCCAGGGTTAATCATTCAGTTAAGTTGGGGCAGGAACAAATCACAATGGTGGAATGTCATCAGTTAAGGCGGGGCAGGGCCTTTTCACTTCTTTTGTGATTCTTCAGTTACTTCAGGCCATCTGGGCGTATAGGTGCAAGTCACAGGAGATGCGATGGCTTGGCTTGGGCTCAGAGGCCTGACAGTGAGACTTCCCCCTCCCACCATCTTCCACCTCCCACCATCTTCCACCTCCTTCTTTAGGCCTGATTTTTTTTTTTTTTTTTTTTTTTTGGTGAGACAGAGTCTTGCTTTGTCGCCAGGCTGGAATGCAGTGGTGCAGTGGCGTGATTTCGGCTCACTGCAACCTCCGACTCCCTGGTTCAAGCAATTCTCCTGCCTCAGCCTCCCGAGTAGCTGGGATTACAGGCACGCACCACCAAACTCAGCTAATTTTTGTATTAGTAGAGACGGGGTTTCACCATGTTGGCCAGGATGGTCTTGATCTCCTGACCTTGTCATCCGCCTGCCTCAGCCTCCCAAATTGCTGGGATTACAGGCATGAGCCGCTGTGCCCGGCCTGCCTGATGTTATTATACTACTATGGGTGAGGCTCAGGAAGGATGATGCTAATGTGGACAGAGTTATCTCCCTGAAAACAGATTAACCTATAGTCAGGAAACTGCAAGTGCATTACTAGTTGATGGGAGAGGAGGGACAACACCCAAGCTGGAGGTCCTGGCTTCCAGCAGTAAAATTTATTAACTCCCTTGTATCATGAAGATGAGAAGGCCCCACTTAGGGGGTGCAGGAACTGCAAGGAAGAAAGCAGGAAAATCATAGAGGAATTAGCATCAGATTCCATATTCTATATAGCAGAGATTTATAGGATGATGGGATTTGAGGTTTTAAATCACGAGTTCTCAAACTGGCCTCCAGACCAGCAGCATTGGCAATTTGTTTAAACTTACTGAATCAGAAATATTGAAGGGCGGGTCCCAGTAATCTTTGTTTTAACAAGCCCTCCAGGGGATTCTGATGCCTGTTCAAGTTTAAGAACCACTGTTCAAAACAGTAATCACAAAATTAAGTTTCTGCAAGGTTAGGAGGGAATAATCACAGAAGGAATACTGGGTCCTCCCATACTTTTCTTACCAAACAAGCTGCCTCATAGAGCTTTTTAAAACTCATCAAAACTGTTAAACCCATTGGACTTCCAGTGAAAATTTGTTCCACGGAGGTAAATCTAGAAAACTTTTAGATTAAAAAGCTTTAGAATGGCCAGGCGCGGTGGCTCACGCCTGTAATCCCAGCACTTTGGGAGGCTGAGGCAGGCACATCACCTGAGGTCAGGAGTTCAAGATCAGCCTGACCAACATGGTGGAACCCTGTCTCTACCAAAAATATAAAAATTAGCCAGGCATGTTGGCAGGCGCCTGTAATCCCAGCTAGTTGGGAGGCTGAGGCAGGAGAATCGCTTGAACCCAGGAGGTAGAGGTTGCAGTGAGCAGAGATTGCCCCAGTGCACTCCACCCTGGGTGACAGAGCGAGACTCCATCTCAAAAAAAAAAAAAAGGCTTTACAGTAAAGATTTCTTCTTGGCTTCCTCTTAAATGATCGAAAGGATGATGGAGATACTTCCTGTTTGCTTGTTCACATTGTATCCACAACAAATAGTAGGTGTCAGATTAAAATGTATTGAGTGGATGCATGAATTAATGAAGGATAAATATCAGTATACACATCCCTTATCCTCTACAGCAGGGATCAGCAAAATATGGCCCATTGCTTGTTTTTGTAAATAAAATTTGTTAGAATGCAATCACACCCCTTCATTTACTCATCATTTATGGTTACTGTTGGTCTACCACGGCAAAGTTGCAAAGTTCAAACAGAGGCATTGTGGCCTGTAAATCACTAAAAGTATTCACTAACTGGCTCTTTATGGAAAAATGTTGGTGACCCCTGCTCCAGGATAGTGTTTCTCAAACTATAATGTGCATACAGATTTTCCAGAGAGATTGTTAAAATGGAGATTCTGGTTCATGGGTGATGCCAATACCACTGGTCCAAGGACTGCGTGGGGTAGCCTGGAAGAAGAGCACCTAGGATAGTGTTGTGTAACAAGGTCAGGGCCCTTGTGGTTTGTTTCTCTTGGTCTCTACATGATCATTTATGATTCAGCAGCTCTCAAATCCTGGGCCAGACACAGTTGAAGAGTAAATCATTTTATTAAGAAACCTGGGCCCACATTCCTTCAGCTCAGCCTCACCTTAGGCACACCTCTCCAAGTTCCCTAGAGGAATTCTACAGAATTGTGAGTGCTCATGGTTTCTTACCGTTCTAAGTGTCTGTGGTGACCCTTCACCCACCTGTCCCTCTAGGCAGCCTCCAAGCCCAGCTTTTTTATTTTCTCGGTGGCTCTGCAGGATGCTAAATCTGGAGAAGCAAGGCTACTCCAGCCAGAACCCACTTGGATGGGTTTTCCTTAGTCTTCAGGTTGAAAGTCCACACGTAGGTGGGTCCCCGCTGACTAGTCTTGTACACAGGACAGGAATAGACACTGCGGCAGTCCTGCTTATCTGCAGGAATGGCCTTGATGAACATCACAGGCATAGGGGGTGTCAGATCCTTCAGCTTTGCCTCTGTAATGATCCCAGCCTGAGGATAAAACATGAGAAGAGGCACCTTAGATCAGACCCAGAGCCCAGCCAACCAGCCTTGCTCTTGTCAGCAGATCCAAGGGAGGAAAGACTGGACTGACATGGCTGCCTTTATGCCTGCCCCCTTCCAGGTTTTCTCAGCAGCCTTTGATGGAATGCATCTGATATGTAGAAACACGTTTCTATTTTTCTCTGCCTAAATCAGGTGAAGCAGAGTTCCAAAAGCTATTATCATATACAAATGAATCCCTTTGGAGCTTGATTCTCTCCTAGTTTGTTTTTTCATTAATTCATTTCATGAGCATATCGAATGTGTATATTTGCCAGATGTCGGGCTAGGTGCTGGGGATTTAAAAATGACTAAGACACAGTTTCTGCCAGTAAATGCTTTAGCTTTTAAAGCTTTTGTTATGTCCTGTTTCTGTTTCTTTTCTATTTCATATGCAACTTCCTCCATCCTCTAGAGTGGAGAGGGCTACATTCTATCTTTACTCATGTAATGTGGACCTGAGTATTCTGTAGCTTTCCAGATGAGGCCTCCCTATGATTTTCTGAGCTATTTCAATACAGCTGTACAGAGCAATTTTTCCTACTAGTCCCGAGAAATGTTCTGCGGAGCCAAAGTCTCCCTTGGTCCAATAAATTTGGGAAGTGGTGCTTACCATATTCTGGACTTGACGTTTTACAACATACACTACCACACTGAACACAAGAAGTCCTAGCAATAAAGAAAACAGTTTATTTAACCTGGTGTTTCCCAAACTTATTTGACCACAGGACCTTTCTCTTTGCAACCTATTCATTTCCCATAGCACTAGTGCCTTATGGACCATACTTTGGGAAATGCTGATTCAGAGTGTTTCACAGATTCTTTGTGTCCATGTGACTCTGAGGCCTTTATGCCATGGACAAAGTTTGGTTTATTTGTGTGAAATTTATTTAAAGGGAAGGATGTAGCTCTTCACTTCTTTTAGAGGCTGATGAGGTAAAGGATGGTGAGTAACAGAATTAAGGTAAACAGTGGGGACCTCCTTGCCCCATAGAGATGAATGTGTATGGCAAGGAATAGGAACAGAGGTAGAACCTCTTTTTTTTTCCCCAACATACTGTAAAACCAATCCTTTTAAAGTGTATAATTTAGTGGTTTTTGGTGTGTTGACAAAGTTGTACGATCATTATCACTGTCTAATTCTAAAACATTTGCATCTCCCCAAAAAGAAACTCTATGATCATTAGCAGTCACCATTAACAGGATGTATTGACAGCTCCAATTATTATGGTTGAATTGTTTACTTCTTCCTTTAATTCTGTCAGTTTCTGTTTTGTATATTTTGGGGGCTCTTTTGTTAGGTGCATACATATTTACAATTGTATCTTCTTGATGGGTTGATCTTTTTATTCTCATAAAATGTCCTTTTTTTGTCTCTATAATTTCTATCCTATTTATTTTTCAGTAACAATTTTTACCTTATAAAGTCTATTTTGTCTGATACAGTATAGCCTCTCAGCTGCCTTTTGGTTACTGTTTGCATGGCATATCTGTTTCCATCTGTTTTCTTTTAACCTATTGGTATCTTCCAATCTAAAACGTGTCTTTTGTGGAAATGATATAATTGGATCATGATGGGTTTCATGGTTTGTTTTTTAAAATTCATTTAGCTAATCTCTGCCTTTTTAAAATTGTATTGCTTAATCCATTTACATTTAATGTAATCACTGATTAAGTAGAATCTGCTATTCGTTTTCTATATGTCTTTTTTATTTCTCTAGTTCTCCATTACTGTCTTCTCTTGTATTACCAGATATACGCTAGTGTATCATTTTAATTTCCCTTGTTTACTATTTTTTAAATTATTAGTGGTTGCCTTGGGGATTACAATTACCATTCTAAGACTGGGCATGGTGCCTTACACCTGTAATCTCAGCACCCTGGGAGGCCAAGGCAGGAAGATCTCTTGAGCTCAGGAGTTGGAGGCCAGCCTGGGCAACATAGGGAGAACTCATCTCTATTAAAATTCAAAAAAGTTAGCCGGGCATGGTGGCACATGCCTGTAGTCCCAGCTACTTGGGAACTGAGGCAAGAGGATTGCTTGAGCCCAGGAAGTTGAGGCTGCAGTGAGCCCTGTTCATGCCACTGCACTCCCGCCTGGGTGGCAAAGTTAGTCACCTAGTCTTAAAAAAAACAAAAAACAAAAAATATTCTAATGTACATAACAATCTATTTCAGATTAATTCCAGCTTACTTTTTTTTTTTTTTTTTTTTGAGATGGAGTCTCACTCTGTTGCCCAGGCTGGAGTGCAATGGCATGATCTCGGCTCACTGCAACCTCTGCCTCCTGGGTTCAAGCAATTCTCCTGCCTTAGCCTCCCCAGTAGCTGGGACTCCAGGTGTGTGCCACCATGCCTGGCTAATTTTGCCATATGGGCCAGGCTGGTCTTGAACTCCTGACCTCAAGTGATCCAACCACCTCATCCTCCCAAAGTGCTGGGATTACAGGCTTGAGCCACTGTGCCCAGCCTAATTCCAGCTTACTTTCAATGGTATACAAAAGCTAATCTTGTATAGCTCCATTCCCTCTCCCTCCTTTGTGCTGTTTTCATCATTTACATTACATCTTTATACATTTCTATCCATCAACACAGATTTATAATTATTTCCTTATGCAGTTGTCCTTTAAATTAGATAGAAGAGAAATAAAAATTACAAATGATGCATTTATACTATCTTTTATGCTTACATATGTAATTGCCTTTGTCAATATTCTATATCTTTGTGTGGACTTGAGTTTCTGTCTAGTATCCTTTCCTTTTGCCTGAAGGACTCCCTTTAGTATTTCCTATAAGGCTGGTTTACTAGTGATGAATTCTCTCTCTCTCTGTCTCTCTCTCTTAAAAAATCTGAGAATGTCTCACTTTCTTCACTTTTGAAAGAGAGTTTTGCTGCAGGTAGGATTCTTGGCAGATAGTCTTTTTCTTTCAGCATTTTGACTATGCCATCGTACTGCCTTCCTCTTTCATGGTTTCTGATGAGCAATCAGCTATTACTCTCATTGAGAACCCCTTGTTAAGTGATGAGCCACTTTTGTTGCTTTCAAGATTTTCTTCTTTATCTTTCACCAGTTTGACTATAATATGTCTTGGTATGGATCTCTGAGTTTGTTCTACTTGGATTTCACTGAGCTTCTTGGACATGTAAATTAATGTAAATTAATGTTTTTCTTCAAATTTGGGCAGTTTTGGGTCATTATCTCTTCAAATAGTCTTTCTGTCCCTTTATCTCTCCTTTCCTTTCTAAACTACCATTGTGCATATGTTGTTATGCTTGATGGTGTCCCACAGGTCTCTGAGACTCTTCATTTTCTCATTTTTTTCTTCTAACGGGATAATTTCAATTGATCTGATTCTAAATTTGCTGATTTTTCTGCTTATTCAATTCTGCTATTGAATTCCTCTACTGAGTTTTCATTTTAGGTATTATATTTTTCAAATCCAGAGTTTCTACTTTATTTTTTTAAAAACATATATAATTTTTCTCTCTGTATTCTCTATTCAGTGATACATAGTTCACACAATTTTCTTTAGTTATTTAGACATGGTTTCTTTTGGTTATTGGAACATCTTTAAAATAGCTGATTTAAAGTCTTTGTCTAGCAAGTCCAATATTTGATCCCCCTCAGGAATAGTTTGCGTTGATTGCTTTCTTCCTTGTGTATGGGCCATTGCTTTTTGTTTCTTTGTATATCATAATTTTTTTGTTGAAAACTTGGACATTTTAAATAATGTGGCCACTCTGCAAATCATATTCTCTCTCTTGCCAGGGTTTGTTTAGTGACTTTTCTGAACTGATTCTGTAAAGTCTATATTCTTTGTCAAGTATGGCCACTGAAGTGGCCTGCTCTGTTAGCTTAGAGGTCACCAAATAATTGGACAGATTTTCTCAAATGCCTAGAACCAATAAGTCACAAAGTCTTGGCTGAGTGGCTGTGTGCAAGTGTTGGAGCACACCTTCAGTGCTTAGCCAGGCAGTTTAAAACTCTGCTTAGATTTCACTCCCCTGTTTTCCTAGAACCTCAAGGTTAGCTAGAGTGTACTGCCTTCTCAACTCTCTTGAGCATGTCCACAGCTGTGGATGGGTGCACAGATCTGCACATAGGCATGGCCTAGATTTCCAGGAACATGTCAGGGGTTTTCAAAGCCCCCTATGGCCATCTCATTCTCCGACTTGCCCTTTTAAGCTTTTTGATTAGCCTACTGTTTGCACCACTATTATCTACTGCTTCAGACAAACTGCAGTGTTAAGCAGTTGTCTTTGATTGTCTTCAACAAATGCCCTGGGGAAAAAGACTGTTGCCCTGGGTGAGTTCCAACTCAGGTGAGATAAAGACTTGTGAGTCCAGGGAATCCCTGGACAGGCAAAATAATGACAGTTTTTTTGTGGGGGGGTGGGGAACAGGGCTTTGAAGGTGCTCCAACCCCATTTTGCCCCTTCCAGTGGTTTCCAGGCTACTGGTTTCACTGTGATTGTGGTCTGTTGGTTTTATAGGTAACCTCCAAGCTAGGGGTTGGGTTGAGATGGGAATAGACAAGTTAAAAGGCCATAGACTGTTCTTCCTACTGAGATTCAGCTGTTTTGCTTGAGTAAACACTTCTTGGATTGCTGAAAGCCTTTGGTTAATTTCCAGAATTCTAAGAAAGTTGATTCTGACTCAGTTTTTGTGAATGTTCTCATTGTTTTATGGAGGAGAGGATTTTAGGAGGTCCTGACTCTTCCATTTTTGCCGACATCTTTCTGGGATAAAACCTTTGAGAACAACAGCTTTTGGTGAAGAAGTATTGATTTTGGGGAAGTTTTTATTATTATTTACAATGAGGTATGAAAAATGGGAGGTTGACAATTGAAACTGATATCATTCCCCCACTTCCAGTGTCACTGACTTTCCTTCTGAGCTTCTTGCCTACTTTCCTTTTGGTACTTCTCTCATTTTGGTGGTTTGGAGGATTCTATTAATAGCTGTGGCTTGCTCTAGGCCACCTTATACCTAATGCAATCCATATATGATCTCCACTGACAGAATCTTGTGCAAATGTTCAGGTGGAGAGAGGGAAGTCAACTTCCTTCTCAAGATTCAGGCTTTCTAAACATTACCCTACTTTACTGTCCTTTCTGTTGGCTCTTGAATTGCTTTCCTAGGGCTGGCATAATAAAATGCCACAAACTTGATGGCTTGAAACAACATATTATCTCACAGTTCTGGAGGCCAGAAGTCCTAAGTCAAAGTATGGGCAGAGTTGGTCCTCCTGGAGGTTCTGAAGCAGAAACCATCCCATACCTTTCCTAGCTTCTGATGGTTGCTGGTAATCCCTGGAATTCCTCGGCTTGTAGATACATCACTCCAATTCTGCCTCTGTCTTCATAGGGAATTCTCTTCTGTGTCTCTACATGGTCTTCTTTGTTTTGTTTTTTTGAGGTAATTTGTTTAACTGCAAGCCTATATGGAATGAATGAATACATTTCCTACTGCTAATATACTCCATGAGACTTTACTTGCTATATCCACTAGAATGGTAAGCATTATAAAACATGTCTCAACAAAATTTTCCATCTCTTTTCCTTTTAGTTTCTTTTTTTTAAAAAAAATTTCAACTCTTAGATACAGGGGATACATATGCAGATTTGTTACATGGGAATATTGTATGATGCTGAGGTTTGGAGTATGGATCCCTTCATCTAGTTAGTGAGCATAGTACCGGATAGTTAGTTTTTATTAACCCCCACCTCTCCCTACACCCTCTAATAATCCAGTGTCTATTGTTCCCATATCTGTGCCCATCTATGTGGTCGTTGTCTTCTTTTTTTTTTTTTGAGACGGAGTTTTGCTCTTGTTGCCCAGGCTGGAATGCAATGGTGCGATCTCGGCTCACTGCAACCTCCACCTCCCGGGTTCAAGCGATTCTCCTGCTTCAGCATTCCGAGTAGCTGGGATAACAGGCATGCACCACCATGCCCGGCTAATTTTGTATTTTTAGTAGAGATGGGGTTTCTCCATGTTGGTCAGGCTGGTCTCAAACTCCTGACCTCAGGTGATCTGCCCGCCTCGGCCTCCCAAAGTGCTGGGATTACAGGTGTGAGCCACTGTGCCCGACCTGTGTGTCTTCTTATAAGGGCACTGGTCATTGGATTTAGGGTTCATGATAATCCAGTATGACCTCATCATAACTAATTACATCTGCAAAGACCTTATTTCTAAATAATCATTCTGGGGTTATGCCTAGACATGAATTTTTGGGGGCACTACTTAACCAAGTAAATCTCTATTTGCATATTCTTATTGGTGACAAAACATCTTCTCCAATCTCATGTGACTCACGTTTTTATTAGCCTTTGATAAGGAATCCTTTCAAAATGCCACTTTAAGTGATATCTACTGGCTCCTCTTTGCCAACATAGGACAACATAAAAGGCAGAAGATTCCTGCCCTTTGAGAGCTCATGAATGTGGAAAGTGGACCAAGGAGGTGAGGCAGGAGAATTGCTTGAACTCGGGAGGCGGAGGTTGCAGTGAGCTAAGATCGTGCCACTGTACTCCAGCCTGGGCGACAGACACACAGCAGCAGCAGCAGAGATAGCTGACTCCAACATTTTTTGATAACTGCCTATGTGCCAGGCACTGTTCAAGTGTCTTACATATTAGCTCGTTTAACTTTTACAATGACGCTCTTCTCCCATCTAACAGGTGAGGTCTGGAAAGGTGAAACTATATCTAAAGTTACAGAGTTAATAAATGGTGGTGCTGGGATTCAGACCCAGCCAGTCTGGTTCCAAAGCCCTTGCTATTAACCTCTCCACTCTACTGCCTCTGCAAAACTTACGCTCTTTGCACCACCCCTGGCTAAATAAAAATGGCCTGATGGCCTCAAGGAAAGAAGGTTAGCTAGAGAAAAAGATTCAGGAATATCTCTTTTAGTAGTCACACTTCATAGGAAGCAATGTGTATTTAATCAGCCCCCAGAAAGCTGCCCTTTGGTTCATTCCAAGCTTTACCTGTGTGTCCCAGCAGGCACCTTCCATGAAGAGGCCATGGATGTAGGCCCCTTCCCGAGGAGGACTCCTAAACTCTTCTCTGTTCTTCTTCGTCATGTCACATTGCAGGGCCATCTGGTCCAGTGGCCACTCATTCTTGCGAGCCGTGGACTGCATGATGGCAGTCAGGAACGACTGGGGGTTGAAGAAGCCTGTCAGCCACACAGTGGAGGGCATTGTAAAGTCACCCGTCCAAGCCTCTAGCTCCTTGATTCTGTTGAGGAGGTCTGGAAACCAGGCTGCCAGGCCTGCTGTGGAAGGGTAGGCTCGTCTAGCCCAGGACTCTGGCACCATATCGAAGTACAGGGCATTCTGTAAGTTCTCCATGTGGCTGGTCATAGTCAGCTCCCCCTGAAGATAAAGAATGGGAGGGGGAAAGCGTGAGAAGGTGGGAAGTCCCTGAAAACACCTGGCCTCAGAGACCCCTGGCTCATGGCACCCAGGCAGACAAGAGTTATCCATCCTTGTTCATGTCATTTGAACATAAAACTCCAGGGGTAGGTGACACAATGACTGTCCTGTCTAGTACTTGCTTTGGAAGGTTTGTCTCACAGAAGCTGGTCCTTGAAAACCCTCCCTGCTCTGATGTCAGAGTCTCAACTGTTCTACTCACAGTGTTTCAAAAGACACAATTGCTTCCCATTGCAGACCTTAAACCACTTGTGGGTTCAGTGCCACATGACCTTAGCCTAAAGCTTAAATTCCATGACTCTCCTGCATGCAGCTTAGAAACCCAAGAAGCCAGCGCCTACAAAGATCTATATTCCCCCAAATCAGGGATTTCTTTCAGAAATCGAGCTATTGGATATGTAATCAACTTTAAGGGACACTCTTTCAACAGCTAGATAGGATTTGTAAAGAAAGGTTTACACTGAACACCATCTTTATTTTTTTTTATTTTTGGAGACGGAGTCTCACTCTATTGCCCAGGCTGGAGTGCAGTGGTGCAATCTCTGCTCACTGCAACCTCCGCCTCCCAGGTTCAAGTGATTCTTCTGCCTCAGTCTCTTGAGTAGCTGGGATTACAGGCACCTGCCACCACACCCGGCTAATTTTTGTATTTTCAGTAGAGACAGGGTTTCACCATGTTGGTCTGGCTGGTCTTGAACTCCTGACCTCAAGTGATCAGCCCACCTCAGCCTCCCAAAGTGCTGGGATTACAGGCATGAGCCACCGCGCCCGGCCTGAACACTATGTTTAAAGCAAACTTTGTAACTTTGGCTCTGCCAATGATCTGTGGCAATTTCTTGAAGACCCCATTTCTATTGTTGTGGTTTCTGTAATAGGTGTTAGGGCACCTGACAGCGTTTGGCTGTCTCATCAAGGGCAGACTGCTAAAATGTAAGATGTTCTCACCTCCGTAGGGCCTGGAGTCTCCTGGCCTGTGGGACAGGAGACTGGCACATGGAATTCTAGATCTAACTTTTTCTCTTAACTTTTGGAATTCTTTTTTTTTCTGGAGACGGTGTCTTGCTCTGTCACCCAGGCGGGAGTGCAGGGGCGCAATCTCTGCTCACTGCAACCTCCGCCTCCCGGGTTCAAGCGATTCTTCTGCCTCAGCTTCCTGAGTAGCTGGGATTACAGGCATCTGTCACTATGCCCAGCTAATTTTGTATTTTTAGTAGAGATGGGGTTTCACCATGTTGGCCAGGCTGGTCTCGAACTCCTGACCCTGACCTCAGGTGATCTGCCCACCTCAATCTCCAGAATTGATGGGATTACAGGCATGAGCCTCCGCACCCAGCCACTTTTGGATTTTTTTTTTTTTTTTTTTTTTTTTTTAAGACAGAGTCTTGCTCTGTCACCCAGGCTGGAGTGCAGTAGCACGATCTCAGCTCACGGCAACCTCTGCCTCCCGAGCTCAAGGAATTCTCCTGCCTCAGCCTCCCAAGTAGCTGGGATTACAGGCGCCCACCACCACACCCGACTAATTTTTGTATTTTTAGTAGAGACGGGGTTTCACCATGTTGGCCATGCTGGTCTCAAATTCCTGACCTCAGGTGATCCACCCGCCTTGGCCTCCCAAAATGCTGGGATTACAGGCGTGAGCCACTGCACCTGGCCCACTTTTGGAATTCTTAAAAACAGTTAAGCATACCTACCTTAAGATGAACATATTTCAGTCTCCTGAGTGACAGCCAGAGGCTCCTGATTTATAAGAAATAAACTGGTAACTTCTTTATGAACTTCCTACATGAAGTATAATTATTACGAATTCACTTTCTAGACTGTAGTGTCTGGTGGCCGGACTATTTTAAGACATAAAAACCTCAATGTTTTAAAGAAAAGACCAATATCCCTAATCAGACCAGCAACAGATGGACCAGCCTGAATGAGTACAGTGTGAATTACAAACATTTTCCCCCAAGTAACAGGACTTTATTACAGGGATAGAAAATAGATTTCATTCCACGTATTTATCCAGATGTTTTGAGGTGAATGACCAGAGCAGGGTGTTGTGATGAATCTGAGGCCACATCAAGGCTCCATGGGATGTAAAAGAGCCCTGTATGTGCCACCAACATTTATCACTTTCAACCAAACCCGAATTTGATGAGCAAGTTTTTTCTGGTAGATTTCCCTAAGGATCTGCTGAAATGAATATCATTATTAGGTTAAAATAGAAAAAAACTGTTTCCTTTGTTTGGAATCTCTGCTTTAGTGTACACAGGCTTCTGAGAAATGGGTTTAATATGCTGCTTATATCTCTGAGCCCAAATCAAGCTTCTGAGACAATACGGTCTTCCTCATATCTGTAGTTATGTGATAATTCATTGCTACATGCAATGTATAGCTTATGTAATAATTGTTTCCCTTTAAATAGCTGATTATTTAATAAAATAACATTAAGTATAAAGATGAAATTTAGTGCAAAGGACAAAATAAATGATCAAAGAAGATCATTCACTTTGTTTTATGAGACCCCATCTGTGTAGCCATGTCTTCCCTTACCACGTTATGAAGGACATTCATGGCAATGATGAACAAAAGTGATGAGGATGGAAAACCTTGCCTTGTTCCCAAACTTAGAGAGAAAGCAGGCAGTCCCTCACAATTAAATATGTTTTCTTTGGATATCCTTTAAGTTGACATTTCCTTTGATTTCTGTTTTTTTTTTGATATTTTAAAATGAAGATTTGGTGTTCAATTTTGTCAAACGCCTTCTCTGCATTTATGAAGATGATCATATGATTTTTAAATGTAGCACATTAATATGGTAAACTTCACTGACTGATTTTTGAATCTTAAAACTAATCTTGTATTCCTAGGATTACCGCATTTAGCCATGATATATTATCTTATTCTTATATTGTGTGATTTGATTTGTTAACATTTTGCTAAGGAATTTTGCATTTGTGTTTATGAGGAAAGCTGATCTGTCATTTGCTCATAACGTATTTGGTGTCACGTTAATTCTGTTTTCATAAAATTTGTTGAGAAGTTTTCTCTATGCCTTTTCTTAATATACTTTATTTTTTTTTTTTTAGGGCAGTTTTAGTTTCACAGCAAATTGAGCAGCAAGTACAGAGATTACCCTTATATCTTCTGCCTCGACACATGCACAACCTCCACCACTATCAACATTCCCCACCAGAGCGGTACCTTTGTTACAAGTGATGCACCTGCATTCACCTCATTATCACTCAGAGTCCGTAGTTTACCGTAGGGTTTGCCCTTTGCGTTGTACATTCTATGTGTTTGGACAAATTTATAATGACATGTATCTACCATTACAGTATCATATTGTATCATTACAGTTTAATGCCACGTATCCACCATTTTAGTATATGTCATTGCAGTATAATTGTATGTATCCACCGTTACAGTATTGTACAAATACAGTATCATGTTGTATCATTATAGTATATGACAAGTATCCACCATTATAGTATCATATTCATCATTATTGTTTCAGTGTCCTAAAATTTTTCTGTGCTTGACCTACTCATGCCATCCTCACTCTTAACTCTGGGCAACCAGTGTTTTTACTGCCTCCATTGTTTTCCATTTTTCAGAATGTCACATAGTTAGAATAATACAGTATGTAGCCTTTTCATATTGACATCTTTCACTTAGTAGTATGTGTTTAAGTTCCCTCTGTTTCTTTTCATGGCTTGATAGCTGATTTTTTAAAAAGCATTGAATAATAATCCACTGTCTGGATGTACTGCAGTTTATCCATTTACCTACTGAAGTACATCTTGGTTTCTTCCAAGTTTTGGCAGTTACGAATAATGCTGTTATAAACATCTGCAGGTTTTGTATGGTGATTTAAAAAATTAAACTTACGATTTTGAGATAATTATAGGTATATTTATAGTTGTAAGGAATAATACAGACAGATCTTGTGTACCATTTACCTGGTCTCCCCTAATGGTAATAGCTTGAAAAACTATAGTACAATATCACAACCAAGATACTGACATTGATACAGTCAAGACACAAAACATTTCAATCATGATAAGGATTCCTGTTTTTTCTGTGGTGTATGGCTGAAGTAGCATGCTTATTGTCTGTAAGTTTTCTGTCTCGCTAGGCTGTCTCTTTGCTGGTTCATCTCTCTCTGCTGAAGAGAACAGTTTTGTTGTTGTTGTTGTTTTGTCTGCATCCACTGGTATTTCTGGCTTGCTGGCTTTTTTTTTTTTTTTCTCCCATTCTGAGGTCTATGAGGCATAAAGAAAATCCAAGAAACTCACTATCATGTCCCTTCTTGGGTCCTGAGGTTCATAGATAGTCTTCATTCCTCTCTACATATTCCAGAGTCTTATGTTTCTTCTGTATAAAATGGCCATGGTTTTTATTTATACTTAGCAGGAGGAATAGGGAAACATAAGTCTATCCATCTTCCTGGAAGTAGAAGAGTTTATGTAAAATTGGTATTATTTAATCCTTAAATGTTGTAGAATTTACCAAGGATACTTTGTGGATCAGGGGTTTTCTTTGTGGGAAATTTTAAGTCATGAATTCAATTTTTTAAACACATATGGGCTATTTAGGTTATACATTTTACTTGGGTGAGCTTTGATGGAGTCTCATAGGGAACTGGTTCACTTCATTTAAGTAGTTGAATTTAATTGCAGAAAATTATTCATATTCTTATAATCCTTTTAATGTCTATAGGATTTATGATGATATCTCCCCTTCCATCCTGATTTTTTCAAGTTTTTGTTTTTTCTTTTTTCTTATAAATTCTGGTAAATGTTTATTAATTTTATTCATTTTTAAAAAGAACCAGCTTTTGGTTTCATAAAGTTTTATAATTTTTTTGTTTTCACTTTCATTAATTCTACTCTTTATTATTTCCTTCATTTTGTTTACTTTGGGTTTGTTTTGCCATTTTTTTCCTAGTTTCTTAAGGTGCAGCTTAGATAATTGATTTGGGAACTTTTTTCATTGCTGATATTCGCATCTCATGCTATACATTTCCCTCTAAGTTCTGCTTTAGCTAATTGTTACCAATTTTATATATTTTTATTTTTATTTTATTCAATATAGTTAGAATTATTTAGAAATATGCTATTTAATTTCCAAATACTTGTGGGTTTTCTGATATCTTTCTGTTATTGATTTTTAGTTCAATTATGCTATAGTCAGTTAATATACTGTGTATGATTTTAATCCTCTCATATTGCTTTATGACATAAAATATAGTTGATTTTGGTGAGTGTTCTGTGTACTCTTGAAAAGTATGTGTATTCTGACATTGTTGGAGTGTCTGTAAAATTGGTTAAGTTGGTTGATAATTTTGCCAAGTCTTTTTTATCCTAATTAGTTTTCTGTCTACTTGTTCTACTAAATATTGAGAGAGGAGTTTTGAAACCAACTATAATTATGGATTTGTTTATTTCTTCTTTTGATTCTATCATTTTTTTGCTTTATGTATTTTGACGCTTTGTTATGAGGTGCCTATACACTTAGGATTGTTATATCCTCTTGAAAAATTGACTTATTATATAATACTCCTCTTCATCCATGGTAATATTGCTTATTTAAAAATATAGTTAGTTTGATTTTTATATAGCCTCTACAACTTTCTTTTGATTAGTGTTTTTATATTATATTTTTTCTCATCTTTTTCTTCTAACCTGTGTTTAGCTGGATACGTAGTTTTTTTGTCCTTTGTTTTGGTAATCAGCTGTGCTGAAAGAGTTAATGGGCAAGCTTGAGACTGCTATCCTTAGAAATGCCTGCTAGCAAGGTTGGCCTGTGGCTGGCATCTAGAAACTTAGCTCCTCGTTAACGGTTAATAGAAAAGGGTGGTTGACCATATCCAGACTGTGCAAACAATTTGGTTTACAATGAATACCTACTTCCCATTTGGAAGCATGGAATTTTGGATGTGCTAGAAAGAGGGTGCCTATGTGACCAGCTCCTAATAAAATCCTTGGGTGCTGGGGTCTCTAATGGAATTCCCTGGGCAGAAATGTTACACAAATGTTACTCCATTTCCAGTGCTGGAGAGAGGATGCACTCTATGTGATCCTTCATGAGAGGGAGGCAGCATATGGAAACCTGTACATGGGTTTCTCCTGACTCCACCTATGTCTTTTCCCTTATGATCTGGCTATGTGTGTATTCTTACTACAGCACCATAACAAATTTTAGCCATATGTATTAATACAATCATATGCTGAAACTCATGAGTCCTTCTAGCAAATCTCCAAATGTAGGAGTGGTCTGGAGACAGGATTCCTGACATAACAGCATATAGGTAGGTCTTGCTTTTTAAAAATTGGATCTGGCAGTTCTAAACAGTACTCTGGGCACTTAAGCCGTTTATATTTAATGTAGTTACCAATACAGTAACTACTATAATTGTAGATTATTTATTTATTTTTTGGCTGCTCTAGGGCAAGAATTGACAAACTTTTTTTTTTTTCCTGTAAAGTGTCAAATAGTAAATAAATATTACAGGCTTTGTGGGCCATATGATCTCTGCTGACACTACTCAATTCTGCTATTGTAGCACAAAAATAGCCATAGACAATGTATATATGAATGACTGTGGCTGTGTTCCAATGTTTACTTGCCAAAACAGGTTGTGGGCTGGATTTGGCCTGTTGGCTGACAGTTTGCTGAATGCTGCTGTAGGATTTACAATACATGTCTCTAACTCATCACACCCTAACTTCAAAATTATACCACTCCACATATGCTGTAAGAATCATATACAATATGCTTCTATTTCTCTCATTTTTCATGCTGTTGTTGGCATGTATTTTGGTTTTACATATGCTTAAAGCCCACAGTAAATTTTTATTATTTTTGTTTTAAACAGTCTATTATTTTTAAAAAAAGATTTTGGATGAGTAAAAATGTCTTTCATATTACTCACATATTTACCATCTGTGGAGACCATTATTTCTTTGTTTAGATCCAAATTTCCATATATCATTTTCTTTCTTTCTAAGAAATTTCTTTCTCTCTCTTTTTTTTTTTTTTTTTTTAAGACGAAGTCTTGCCGTGTTGCCCAGGCTGGAGTGCAGTGGTGTGATCTCGGCTCACCACAACCTCCGCCTCCTGGGTTCTAAGAAATTTCTTTAACATTTCTTGTCCCACAGGCTTGTTGGCTATGAATTATTTCAGTTGTCTGAAAACATCTTTACTTAGTTTTCTTTTTTGAAAGCTATTTTTTCCTGGGCAAAGAATTCTAAGTTTACAGTTTTTTTCTTTTAGTACTTTAATGATAGTTCTCCACTTTCTTCTGGCTTGCACAGCTTCTGACAAGAAGTCTGCCATCATTCTTTTCTTTGATCCTTTAAATATAATTTTTATTTTTCTCCTCTTGCTGCTTTTAAAATTTTTCTTTATCCCTGGTTTCAGCAGTTTTATTATGAGGTGTATTTACAATGTTTTCATTAGGCTTATTCTGCATGGGGCTTGTTGAGCTTCTTGTACCTATAGGTTTTGTGGTTTTCAGCAAATTTGCAAAACTGTGGCCCTTATTTCTTCAAATAGTTTTTTTGGCCCCCCCCTTCCCCATCAACAACCCCATCCTTTTGGGACACCAATTACATGTATGTTAGACCACTTGATATTATCCTACAGGACCTAGTAATTTGTTTACTTTTTGGGACACCAATTACATGTATGTTAGACCACTTGATATTATCCTACAGGACCTAGTAATTTGTTTACTTTTTTTGGTTTTTTCATTATTCTAGATGTTTTTATTGCTGTGTATTCATGGTTACTGATCTTTTCTCCTGCAGTGCCTACTCAGCTGTGAATCCTCTGAAGTTCATTTTTTCATATCAATATTGTATTTTTCATCTCTATAAATTCCATTTGCGTCTTTTAATAAATATCTTACATGTTCTACATTATACTCTTGTTTTCTTCTAGCTTCTTGAATATATGGTGCAAACTTATAATAGTTGTTTTAACATCTTTGTCTTCCATTGTCTCTGTCATTTCTGGCTTCATTTCAATTGATCACATTTTTTTTTTTTTTTTTTTTGAGCTGGAGTCTCTCTCTGTGGCCCAGGCTGGAGTGCAGTGGCGATCTCCACTCACTGCAAGCTCTACAGGCGCCTGCCACCACGCCTGGCTAATTTTTTTGTATTTTTAGTAGAGACGGGGTTTCACCACGTTAGCCAGGATGGTCTTGATCTCCTGACCTCGTGATCCGCCCGCCTCAGCCTCCCAAAGTGCTGGGATTACAGGCATGAGCCACCGCACCTGGCCTTGTCAGCACTTCTTTTCTAACAAACATGATGGATTATGCCCATTAACAGGACATACTCCCAATGTCCAGTAGCTTTGATACCACTTCACTTCATCCCATTTGTGAATGAGAATCAGAATCAGGTGAATGAGAGTGATAAGGAGGGGAAAAAGCAAGGTAAAGCCACTGATGTCATAGGTTGATGCCGCTTGAGGCCTGACCAGCACAAAAGGGCTGTGGGTTGGTGGCTGGTAGAACCACTGAGTCTGGGTACAGCATGCTCCAACGGTAAGTCAGGCTAATGCAGCAACTTCTCTGTGGGCAGCAGCTGCAGGGTGGACAGGTGAGAAAACCCCCTCTACGGACTGGGCCATGTACCTGGCAAATTCATATGTTGAAGCCCCAACCCTCCATGTGACTGTATTGGAAATAGAGTCTTTAAGGAGGTAATTAAGGTTAAGTGACGTCATAAGGATGAAGCCCTAATCTGATAGGACTTTCGCCTTATAAGAAGAGGAAGAAATCTCTCAGTCTCTCTCCCACTTTCCCCTTTTCTGGCTCTGCCTCCCTGCCATTTGAGGACACAGAGAGGAGACACCTCTCTACAAGCCCAGCAGAGAGCCCTCACCAGAAACCAAATTTGCCGGTGCTTGAGCTTAGACTTTGAGCCTCCACAACTGTGAGAAATAAATATCTGTTGTTTAAGCCACACCGTCTACGGTATTTTGTTACAGCAGCTGTACCTGACTCATACAGCCCTGGAGAAGAGAACCAGGAGAGAGGTCAGTGGGAAAAGTGATTGCTGTGAATGGAAAAAAAAATGGCCTTTAAGGGCTACAGGCCATTTTAGGAGAGAAGGGCTGAAATTCACCTTTAGGGGCAGGATGAAGTATTGTGCTTTATGGGGAAACTACCTGATAGTCTCTTTAGCAAACACAGCTACAAGGCAAATCCTTATCCATTGTCCTTGGCCTTACATTACAGGACCCAAATACATATATTTTAGGTTTACAGTGTCTCATATGATAGCCACTAGCCACATGTGGCTATTTAAATGCAAGTGAACTAAAATTATAAAATTAAAAATTGAGAGCTGGGCACAGTGGCTCATGCCTATTATCTCAGCACTTTGGGAAGCCAAGGCAGGAGGAGCACTTTGAGCCCGGGAGTGTGAAACCAGCCTGGGAAACACAGTGAGGCCTGGTATCTACCAAAAAAAAAAAAAAAAAAAAAAAAAAAAGAATTAGCTGGGTGTAATGGTGCATGCCTGTAATCCCAGCTACTTGGATGGCTGAGGCACAAGAATTGCTTGAACCTAGAAGGTAGAGGTTGCAGTAAGCAAAGATCATGCCACTGAACTCCAGCCTGGGCAACAGAGCAAGACTCTGTCAAAAAAAAAAAAAAAAAAAAGTAATATAGCTTTGGCAAAAACATACATAATAGTTTACATTACCAGACAGAAAACCTAGCCTTTTTGCCTAAAATACCATCATCCACCAGAGCTTCCTGTGATGGCAAAGACATTCTGTATCTGTGCTAATAAGATCACATGTGGCTACTGAACACATGAAATGTAACTAATGCAAAAAAGGAACTGAATTTTTAATTAATTTTTTTTTTTTTTTTTGAGATGGAGTTTTGCTGTGTCACCCAGGCTAGAGTGCAGTGGTGTGATCTCAGCTCACTGCAACCTCTGCCTTCCAGGTTCAAGCAATTCTCCTGCCTCAGCCTCCCGAGTAGCTGGGATTACAGGCAGCTGCCACCAAGCCCGGCTGAGTTTTGTATATTTAGTAGAGACGGGGTTTCACCATCTTGTCCAGGCTGGTCTTAAGCTCCTGACCTCATAATCCACCTACCTTGGCCTCCCAAAATGCTGGGATTACAGGTGTGAGCCACCACACCCGGCCGAATTTTTAATTTTTTTTCCCTCAAGATAGGGTCTCACTATGTTGCCCAGACTGGTCTACAAACTCCTGGCCTCAAGCAGTCCTCCTGTCATAGCCACTATGCCCAGCTAATTTTTGTATTTCCAGTAGAGATGGGATTTTGCCATGTTGGCTAGGCTGGTCTCAAACTCCTGGCCTCAAGTGATCCACCCACTTGGGCCTCCCAAAGTGCTAGGATTACAGGTGTGAGCCACCATGCCTGGCTTACATTAAAAACTACAAATGCCAGTTTTAGTACAAATTTTTATGTGCATACAATAGCACTACTTGCTTGCCAACCTGTGGTTAAGAAGATGTGTCAAAAAGTCATGACTCACTTCAAAAGTGAAATGAGTCCAACAGATATTTTTTAAAAAAACAGGCCATACTGCATTCATTTTTTCCCTTCAGAATAAAAATTTTAAGACGTTTTCAATGGCCAATTAACTTCCATGGTTATAAAATGCCTTTACAAACAATACAGCAAAATATAGTTCTACTGAATTTGCTTCTATACAAAATTGTTTGGGGTTGTATGAAATTTGGGTGCATCTATGGAAAGATACTGCACATGTGAATGTCGTCTGTCCTGTGAGTTGATAGGGGAATAAAGGCCCCATTCTGGAGTCACCCGATAACGTGACTCAGCAGAACTCCTAAGGTGTCAGGTTGTGGACTGCTGGCGGTACACTGGACTAAGTGTGATGGAAATGTCCTGGTCGTTTGGGATGTGCTTTGAGGACTGGGCCAGAGCGAGGCAGATAAGATGAACTCAGATGGAACCCTGGACTCAGAAGTCCTTTGTTTCTGGTCATTTCCCTGGGCTAAGTCAACAGCTCACTCTGTGTTACCATCCCTCATACAGAGATGTGCCATTTCTGAAAACCGTGAAGGCATAAAAACTGTTTCTGTAAGTTTTGTTATAAGAAGAGATAATGTGCTTGAAAAAAGTTTAAAATAGCCAGGCACAGTGGCTCATGCCTGTAATTCCAACACTTTGGGTCAAGGCGGGAGGATCGTTTCACACCAGTAGTTGGAGACCAGCCTGGCAACATAGTGAGACCCCATCTCTACAAAAATAAAAATAAAAAGTTAGTCGGGTGTGGTTGTGTGCACCTGTAGTTCCAGCTACGCACGTGGCTGAGGTGGGAAGATCTCTTGAGCCATGATCACACCACCACACTCCAATCTGGGCAATAGAGAAAGATTCCATCTCTGAAAACAAAAAAGTTTAAAATATATCCAATACAAAGGAATTTTAGGGCAGTGAAACTACTTTTTATGATACTATAATGGTGGATACAAGTCATTATTTATTTGTCCAAACCCATAGAAAGTCTAACACTGAGAATGAACCCCAATGTAAACTATGAACTCTGGGTGATAATGATGTATGAGTATAGATTCATCAGTTATAAGAAAAGTACCACTCTGGTGGGGAATTTGAGAGTCGAGGAAGGATAATTTGTCTTTGAGGACAGCAGGTGTATGGGAAATCTCCATACCTTCTGTGCAATTTTGCTGTGAACTTAAAGTTACTCTAAAAATAAGGTCTAATAAATTTAAAAATATATGCAATACTTAATTTTTAACACCCTTCAGAAATCTAACATCATTTTGAAAGCAGAGGAACATAATATGTGTAACTTGGCTTTCTTAAAAATTTCCCACATCTGCTTATAATAAGATTATAATGTATTCTGACAATAATTTTACACATACTAATTGAATGTGCAAGTGATGGAACTCCAAAGAATGTTCTGTCTCAGCTTGTCAGTGAAGCAGGGACAGCCCTGGAGAAGAGAACCAGGAGTCATTTAGGAAAAGAAGAAAATAAAAAATCATTGGCTGGGCATGGTGGCTCACACCTGTAATCCCAGCACTTTGTGGTGGAGGTAGGTGATTCAGCTGAGGTTGGGAGTTTGAGACCAGCCTGACCAACATGGAGAAACCCCCTCTCTACTGAAAATACAAAATTAGCCAGGCATGCTGGCGCATGCCTGTAATCCCAGCTACTCAGGAGGTTGAGGCAGGAGAATTGCTTGAACCTGGGAAGTAGAGGTTGCGGTGAGCTGAGATTGCGCCATTGCACTCCAGCCTGGACAACAAGAGCAAAACTCCGTCTCAAAGAAAAAAAAAAAAAGTCTCAAGCTATACTACAGCAAAGACACCTACTTATGTTAATTCAACCAGTTTCCTAAACTCCTCTGGCCTGAATCCTGTTTAACAGCGATTAATATTCACACTTGCTCACAGGTCAAGAGTCAACAAAGAGAAAACTTAAAACACTGGACCCTTCGCTCAAGAAAATGCTGCATTTCAGGGTCTACAAGGTGCTTCCTCGGTTTTGGCATTGCAATGAAACTCTGGGAGAACTACAGGCTGGGTGGCCCCTTTTCAGGATAGGAGGGCTATCTGGCTGTGACCTTAACCCTTTCATTCATCCCTATCAATAAATGCTTTCATAATCTTTCTTTGGCATAATACAGAGTGAAAACCTCATTTTTCCTGTAGGTCTTCGTTCTTTTAAGTCAGGGAGCCTGTTAAAAGCTTGGATTTGTAGGCTGTAGTCCAAACTAAGGACTCATACCTCTGGGAATGAGGCCAGGAACTTCCATTTGAAAAGGGCGCCTCTGATCTCTGATGTGTCTGAAGCAGCTGTTGCCCTGGGCTCACGGTCATGCAGCGGGCGTTCAGTCCACAGAGGGCCAGGGGACAGGGCAGCAGCACCCAGGTCCTCCCTCCTGGAGGGGCTCCATGCTGTAGCCTGTCCTGAGGCTTAGCTCCTCTCTGTTTTTTCTACCCTATGAAGATGTTCTTGGCGAGGAGCTTTCATTTGTTTAAGACACTGGGAGCTGAGGACATGGGAAGAAGTGAAAGTGATAAGGGTCCCACTCCTTCCAGGCTGGCCTCCAGGCTGGGTTGGCAGCAGCCTTTCTATTCAGGTATTCTGGTAGAGTACTGGAAGGCCAAAGGCATAGAGGCCAGGATAGCTGCTCAGTGGGTGGGGATGAAAGGGCCATAGCACGGCCCACCCTTCCAGACCTGAACTATTCAAGTCAACACACAGTGCATCAGAATAAAGAGCCAGAGGAGGCCGGGTGCGGTGGCTCACGCCTGTAATCCCAGCACGTTGGGAGGCCGAGGCGGGTGGATCACTTGAGGTCAGGGGTTCGAGACCAGCCTGGCCAACACGGTGAAACCTCATCTCTAGTAAAAAACACAAAAATTAGCCGGGCACGGTGGCAGGCACCTGTAATTCCAGCTACTTGGGAGGCTGAGGCAGGAGAATAGCTTGAACCCAAGAGGTGGAGCTTGCAGTGAGCCGAGATCGTGTCACTGCACTCCAGCCTGGCAACAGAGTGAGACTCCGTCTCAAAAAAAAAAAAAAAAAAAAAAAGAGCCAGATTAGATCCCCAGTCAGCAAGCCAGACTTTAAAACTTGAACAGCTTCACATCTTTAGAAACAGATTTTGTCAATCAGGAGGGGCAATCAACCACTGAAGCATAGAAAAAAAGCCTGATGCCATCACACGTTTGAATGATAAAAATCAGTTCCTGGCCAGGCGTGGTGGCTCACACCTGTAATCCCAGCACTTTGGGAGGCCGAGGTGGGTGGATCACAAGGTCAGGAGTTTGAGACCAGCCTGGTCAATAAGGTGAAACCCCGTCTCTACTAAAGAAACACAAGAATTAGCTGGGCGTGCTGGCGGGAGCCGGGAGGCTGAGGCAGGAGAATCGCTTGAACCCGGGAGACAGAGGTTGCAGTGAGCTGAGATCGCACTACTGCACTCCAGCCTGGGCAACAGAGCAAGACTCTGTCTCAAAAAAAAAAAAAAAAAAAAAAAAAAATAGTTCCCAGCCCCTCCCAGATTCTGGGCTGGCCATGGCTCCATCTAAGATATGCACTGCCTAAATGAAATAGAATGCAAACCACATATGAGAGCCACATAGGTAATTAAAAATTTTCTGGAATTCACATTTTAAAAGTAAAAAACCAAACAGGTGAATTTAACTTTTATTTAACTCAATATATCTAAAATACCAAACATCATTTCAATATATAATAAATATAAAATTACTAGACTATTTTATAGTTTTTGGTCTTATGGCTTTGAAATGTGGTGTGTAATTTAAGCTTATAGCACATCTCAATTTGGACTATTCCATTTCAAGGCTCAGTAGGCACCTGTCATTAATGGCTACTGTATTGGGCATTAAAAGTCTAAGAACTTGTCTTCTGTAGTTTTCCTACATAGGGAGATAATTTCTGGGCAGTCTGTTGTCAGTATATGCCCCTTTGAAAATGATGCCTAGTTGTTATTGAAACAGAATAAATTGGCCATTGGGCATTTGGTACATCAGGCTTTTGTGAGTTTGGTTAGTGAAAGTCAATACCCCTTCCAGTCAGCTCTGGGATAATCACAGGACCTGGTTCCTCATCTTGTGAGGCTGAGAGACAGATGTCTAACTGTGGTGAATTCCCAAAAGAATTCCTTTCTATGGGAACATATTTGTGGCCCCCAGATGATGCCTTCCTTTACCACTTTTGTGTGCTTTGAGCTCCTGTAGTCCTCAAGGCTTTCATTGCTGTGCTTTTCAGTAGCTAATACTTTTTAGGTAGACATTATGGCCTCCCATCCAGCCAAATATGAAGTATGGTGAATAACAATATCTTTTTCATGAATGCTAACAGTGTTGACTTAATGACTTCAAAAATTAGACATTTTCTAACCTTGGTGCCCAGTCTGGGCACAGCATTTGGGTTTGTCCAATTAATGTGTTGGCTAACATGGGTAGACCTGTCTCCCTATGCTCAACCTGAAACAGCCCTGGAATATTTTATTTTATTTTTCGGCTTGCAAGCATTTTTTTTTCTTTTTCAATTTTAAAATACCGTTATATATTTAGAGGGTACAAGTGCAGATTTTTTTTTTCTTTTTCTTTTTTTTTTTTTTTTTGAGATGGAGTCTTGCTCTGTGGCCCAGGCTGGAGTGCAGTGGTGGCATCTTGGCTCACTGCAAGCTCCGCCTCCCGGGTTCACGCCATTCTCCTGCCTCAGCCTCCCGAGTGGCTGGGACTACAGGTGCCTGCCACCACGCCTGGCTATTTTTTTTGTATTTTTAGTAGAGACAGGGTTTCACCATATTGGCCAGGCTGGTCTCAAACTCCTGACCTTGTGATCCACCCACCTTGCCCTCCCAAAGTGCTGGGATTACAGGTGTGAGCCACCACACCTGGCCGGGAAGTAATTTTTATCATTCAAACGTGTGATGGTGTCAGGCTTTTTGTCTATGCTTCAGTGGTTGATTGCCCCTCCTGATAGACAAAATCTGTTTCTAAAGATGTGAAGCTGTTCAAGTTTAAAGTCTGGCTTGCTGACTGGGGATCTAATCTGGCTCTTTTTTTTTTTTTTTTTTTTTTTGAGATGGACTCTTGCTCTGTCACCCAGACTGGAGTGCAGTGGCATGATCTCAGCTCGCTGCAACCTCCACCTCCCGGGTTCAAACTATTCTCCTGCCTCAGCCTCCCAAGTAGCTGGGATTACAGGTGCGTGCCACCACGCCTGGCTAATTTTTGTATTTTTTAGTAGAGATGAGGTTTCACCATGTTGGCCAGGCTTGTCTCCAACTCCTGACCTCAACTGATCCGCCCACCTCGGCCTCCCAAAGTGCTGAGACTACCAGGTGCCCACCACTACGCCCGGCTAATTTTTTTTTTTGTATTTTTAGTAGAGACGGGGTTTCACCATGCTAGCCAGGATGGTCTTGATCTCCTGACCTCGTGATCCAGCTGCCTCGGCCTCCCAAAGTGCTGGGATTACAGGCGTGAGCCACTGCGCCCGGCCACAAGTGCAGCTTTCTCACATGTGTATATTGCATAGTAGTGCAATTCTCACTTTTAGTGCACTTGTCACCTGAATAGTGAACACTGTACCCAATAAGTAATTTTTCATTCCTCACCCCCCTCCTTCCTTCCCACCTTTTGCCACCTCCAATATTGGTTATTCCACTTTGTATGTCTGTGTATTCCCATCGTTTAGCTCCAACAGTCCCAGAACTTTAAAGTGATTTTTTTTTTTTTTTTGAGATGGAATCTCTCTCTGTCACCCAGGCTGGAGTGCAGTGTCACAGTGTCGGCTCACTGCAGGTTATAGCATCCCAGGTTAAAGCGATTCTCCTGCTTCAGCCTCCGTAGTAGCTGGGATTACAGGCGCCCGCCACCACGCCTGGCTTATTTTTGTATTTTTAGTAGAGACGGGGTTTTGCCATGTTGGCCAGGCTGGTCTTGAACTCCTGACCTTAAGCAATCCACCTGCCTCGGCCTCCCAAAGAGCTGGGATTACAGGCATGAGCCACTGAGCCCAGCATAAAGTGATTGTTAAACTAAGAAAGTGAGGAAGGAAAACCTCAAGCAGAATTTCCTCTTCCCCTTCCCCCTGCCAGGTAAGCTGGTCAGCAAAGCCAAGCGTGCCTTCCACCAGTGTTCTGGGAAGAGCTCGGAGCTGACATTCCTCGCTGCTCCATCTCAGGGACTTGCCCCACTTAGGCCCTCCGCCTCTCACTCACAGGCCAGACCACTCTGCGAACCCCTCCTGCCAAGTCACCTGTTTTGCCTCTTTTCCCTGCTGTTCTCATTTCTGGCCAGCTCAGCTTTATCCATTCCCTAGACTTAAAACTCTCTTCTCTGAACTCTGCTGCCATCCCCTTTGCACCTTCATTTTGCCACAAATACCACTGTCTAACTTTTTTCTTTTGCCTCTTACCTTCATGCTGTGCTTCCCAAACTTGAGTCATCATAAGAATTTCCTGGCTGGTGATGAAACATTACGGACTTCCAGGCCCCACCCTTAGAGGTTGGTAGGACTGGAGCGTGGAGATGGGAACATGTGATAAAACTTCTGGAGAGTCTGAGGACCAGGCCAGCTTGGGGGATGGTCCTAAGGAGAGTCTGGGATTCATGACAGCAAGTTTGAATGGAGATTTCTCTGTTTATCTTCCATTTCGCAGTGGGACCAGTAGACAAAGGTCCCAGCTACTTTTCTATCATTGTTTTGTCACCTTTTGGAAGTTCACCCTATCACTGTTGCTCACCTGAGTGGGCCTGTAGCTGCAGCCAAACCATGTTAACTCTGAGAACAGACCGTGGGCTGCTCTGCCCTGTGCCTCTAGGAGCCCCTGCCTTTTGTGATCACCTGTCACAACCCTACCCTTCCTCCAGAACCCCCTCAATGCCACTGCTTCCCTGGGGCTTTCCTTATCCCACACACAATACTTGTTTCTTCTTTCTTCTCCCGCGTCTCTCTATGTGGCTCTTAATTAATTTCACCCTGCTTTATATCAGTGTGTGTGTCTGTTTCCCCACAAGACTGTCCTTCTGCAAGGGAAGGCTCCCTTTCCAATCTCCTCTGCACCCTCCAGCAGGCAGTGCTGAGACTTGCCCAAGAGGCTCATCAATCAACATTGCTTGAATCAGACTGAAAGAAAAGACAACTACCTCTCACACCCTGCATCTTTGCCCAGGCAAGCTCCGAGATTCATGACACCAACTGCAGCAAAGGCTCTCGAAAGAAAAATGAGTGAATGAATTGGAAGTCGAATGGGTAAACAGGCTGTGCCACATTACCCAAGTTCCATAAGCCTTTCAAATGGCAGCAAACCTACTCAAGATAGTTACTGATATATACCTGCGTACTCAGTAATGGAACTGCATTACATAACAGGCAAAGTTCTTATTTACTCTGTGAAATTTTGTACTTCATTTGATTACAAGCTGGCACAGAATTTGGAAACGTTACCAAACATTGTCCATCTTCAACATTCCCCTCCTGTCTCTCCTTCCTTATTTCCTTCTACCCATGTTGAGGTGCGGTGGAGGAAGGAGAAAGAACATTAAGAGATTAAACAAAAAAAACCCTAACCTTGATTTTTTTGTTTTTGTTTTTTTTGAGACGGAGTCTTGCTCTGTCACCCAGGCTGGAGTGCAGCGGTGCGATCTCGGCTCACTGCAAGCTCCGCCTCCCAGGTTCACGCTATTCTCCTGCCTCAGCCTCCCCAGCAACTGGGACTACAGGTGCACACCGCCACGCCTGGCTAATTTCTGCATTTTTAGTAGAGACGGGGTTTCACCGTGCTAGCCAGGGTGGTCTCGATCTCCTGACCTTGTGATCCGCCCGCCTTGGGCTCCCAAAGTGCTGGGATTACAGGCACGAGCCACCGCGCCCGGCCCTAACCTAGATTTTGCAGTCCGTTTCATCATCTATGTGACTCCATGTGAAAAAACTCATATGTGTTTTTCCTATCCACGTGTGACCCTAGGTGTTTAACCCCAAGAGACAGACATGATGAAGGCACCAGCATGTTCCATACCTGGACTTCCAGGGCTTGTCTGAGTGTTCATTTACAATTCTTTTAATAAACAAGCCAGTGTAGGCCAGGTGCAGTGGCTCACACCTATAATCCCAGCACTTTGGGAGGCTGAGGCGGGTGGATTATGAGGTCAGGAGATGGAGACCATCCTGGCTAACACGGTGAAACCCCATCTCTCCTAAAAATACAAAAAATTAGCCGGCGTGGTGGCGGGCACCTGTAGTCCCAGCTACTCGGGAGGCTGAGGCAGGAGAATGGCGTGAACCCAGGAGGTGGAGCTTGCAGTGAGCCGAGATCACACCACTGCACTCCAGCCTGGGCGACAGAGCAAGACTCTGTCTCAAAAAAAAAAAAAAAAAGAAAAAACAAGCCAATGTAAATCGACAGCAGTCACCTTCCTCAGCTCCTCAAAGGCAGCAAGAGCTTCCATTTCCTGTCATCGGAGTGAACAGTAATTAACAGGCTCTGTGCTAGGCACTTTACATCATCTCAAGGTGAGGAAAATAAACTTGTTTAAGTAACTGGTAGTAGAAATTGTAGACTCTTTCCTTGTTGACGAGAAATGTCAAAGACTGTATAACATCTTGGTTCTTGTAGACAACCTCATGGCCAGGCTGTGGTTTCTGGGGAGTGATGACTTTTGGGCACCTAGGATGCTGCAGGACAACTGCTCCCCAGCTTTCAGGTCCCCCAGTGCTCCTTCTTCCCCATAGGGGTCCATCTGTGTCCTCTAGCAATGTCCCCTCCATGCCTTACAAGACCGCGCTCACCTTTAAGCCGAGCTCCAGCTCCCTCAGTGAGCGCTGAATCTCTCTGGTGAGGATATTCATCCGGCCACACTCCTGGAAGGCAACTACAATGTAAGGGGTGCGCTCCTCCACTTTGGCCATCAGTTCTGGGATGTTAAACTCGTCTGTCACCCGCTCCAATATTTCTTCCAGAAGTGCCTTGACCTGCCCCACAGAAGGAAACACAGCGTTAAGAAAGGGCTCTATTCTCCAGAAGGAATCCATTTTCCTGCAGTGTGGGACTAGAGATGCCAATCACCCATCGTCTGCTGCCCCTCCACCCACTGACATGGCCAAACTCTTGCCTGCTTGTCGAGGTCAACTAGGTCAGGGCTGAGGACTGACTGACCACAGTAGGACCTCTTCATAGGCTGGCCAAGTTCCTGGGACTTGCATGCCTAGCATAATAAGATGAACACAGATAGCTCTCTAAGAATTTGGAGTTGAAAAACTCAGAGGCTGATCCAGTTGGCTGTGGGAATCAAACTAGAAAGCCATAAGACAGACTTGGGCCAAAAGGTGGCCCCTGTGGGCCATGTGAAGCTGAAGTGATGAGCAGCAATGACAAATCTATCTATCTATATCCAGATACAGTATATCAATATACAGTTATATACAATATCTATCTATATCCAGATACAGTATATCAATATACAGTTATATACAATATCTATCTATCTATCATCTATCTAATCTGTCATTCATCTATCCATCTATCTAATCTATCACTATCTATCTATCTATCTATCTATCTATCTATCTATCTATCTATCCGGTCATCCACTCAGTTCTGAGTTTCTATGATGCAACACTGCAGTTTCTATCCTTGAGTTCTGGAAGAAACACCCTCATCTATCATGTAAACCTCCTGTTGTACCCCACGATTCTTTTCCCCACACAAACTGTCAGCTAATTAGATCAGGGGAGCTAGGACAAGTAGGGTCTCTCTCCTGGAAAACTGGAATTGAGGCTCAGAGATTCTGAGTTAATTTGGGGCAAGCACTTGGAGGTTGAGTCTGCCATTTTGGAATAAATGAGTAAGCCCAGGAGGTCTGTCAGCAGAGAAAGAAAAATGAAAAGTGCAGACATAATAGACCACACAGCCAGCAGGTTGGGACAGAGGGAGAGAGGGGAAGGAGGGAGGGAGTGAGCGAGCGCCAGCCATTTCTGGAGTCCTGAGAGCTGAGCTCTAGGTGCCTGTGGTGGATATCTGTTTTTGTCTGTTCATTATCTCTTTTCCCTTCTAGGAACAATTCCCTATCTCCTTTGTGAAACTATGTCTTCCCCATTGTTTTATGTTTATGTTTAGTCACTGGGCCCAGTTTCCCCTGAGCCAAGTTAGGCCAATCAGATTATGTTTCCCAGGAGCACAATGATTTGAATCTCAAGCCTGGAATCCAAGGAACCACTGGCAGGATGGGGGCGCCTGGAAAGGGCAGTCTACCCTTCTTTTACCTGGGACTCTAGAGCCATCGTGATTTTTTATCTCTTCTTAGGCTGACTCCCTTGATAGAGTGAGCCATTTCTTGCCTAGTTAAGCTCTGTTGGTGTCTATAGCTTGCAGCCAAGGAGGCCTGACCGAGTTAATACAGTTCTGCCCTGCATTACCCATGTGAACATAAGCAAGTTACTTAGGCCTCAATTTTCTCCAGCTGTAAACACTTCCAAGAGTGTCTTTTTCTCCACTTGTCCCCTTTCCCAACTCCCAGAGTTGATGTGAAGATCAAATCAAATGAGCTGATGAGTGTGGCAGTCTCTGAAAGCTATGAAGAACTATATAAGTGTAAAGGATGATAAATATTCACCTTGCCTTGTATTGTTAACACACAATGCCATCTCCAGGAAAAGAGCTGATGTTAGAAAAAAGAAAGTAAAAACCAATCACTCTGTCACGAATGGGTCTTTGGTGCTGTCATAGCAAAAACTGGAATCGGATTTTAATGGTACCTGAGAGCAGCTGCTGGGGTAGAAGACAAATGGCTAAAATTATATATATATTTTTCTCTGGAGCAGAGTTTGAAAAAACAGCTCTATATCAGCGAGCTTCCATTTGGACATTATTTACAAAGAGACGAAAAGATCGTCTGGAGGTATTGTTCCAAAATACACAGGACGTGGGGACACAGAGTTCTGGTTCATCTCTGATTAGGCTGTAAAGGGTGTGGGGGCCTGAGGAGGGAGAGGGCTGATAGGGAAGGACCCAGGTCCACAGACGTATGCGGGGCCCCTCTTTTGCTCAGGGAACCCAGAGACTCTTTCAGATAGGAGGAGTGGGTTCCAAGGGACGGAGTCCACCTTATTTCCACAGACAAACACTTCTGCTTTCTTCCTTTCTGGAAAAGTAATAAATGCTTATCAGAAAAATCTAAACATTTCTGATACACATGATATTAGAAGCAAAGTCCTCCTATAGTCTTAACTCTTCCCCCTGTGGGAGAAAAACACTGTTCAACTATTGGTTTTTTGGTATATATTCCTGCAGATGCCCTTCAGTGTACATAACTCTATTCCTCTATCATCCGTCCATCCACCCACTATCCATCCATCACCCATCTACCCATCACCCATCCATCCATCCATTCATCCATCAATTATCTATCCATCATCACCCATCTACCCATCATCCATCCATCCATCCATCCATCCATCCATCCATCCATGTATCTAACATGCCAACCTCCCTTCTCACTCCTTCTCTTTAGCTATATACTAAAATCCCCAGCTTCCCTTCATATAGATGTAAACATGGGAACAGAATTGAGTCAAGAGTTCATGAGTGTATGTGGAGTGTACAACCTCTCGGTCATTTACTTCTTAACAACAAAATACTCTCTGGGCTTTGACTCTTTGCCCCTCATCTTGAGCTGACCTGCGGTGTGGACAGGAAGGAAGATAGCTCATAGGAACATGTGAGCTATGTGAGAAACACCACCATGGCCAAATACTGGGATACTGCACAATCAGATGTGCACCCAGTAACCTGCACACGTGTCCCACACAGCATTGTGCATGGCAAGTGATCACAGTTCATATCATTTCTGAAATACACAAGCACATACACACCCCATTTCTTGGGTTAGCTGGGGGAGGGGATAAGGAAATGATAAGCATTAGAACCTTCTTTGAACCTTGACTGAAGAATTCTAAGTCTATTACTTATACAGTCTCAGCCTTTTCCAGTTTTAGATCTAGGAACATTATTCATTCTGGGTGGGTTCTTCTCTTTATTTTCAAATTATACATCAAATAGTGGAATAGACTGAGTAGAGTGATATGGAGCAGCTTTCTCGAAGTATGCTCACCTCATCAAAATCACTAGGTTGCCAATGCAACCTAACCCCAGACCTCGGAGTCAGAATTTCAATCTCTCTGGCACATTCTTAGGCATATTAAAATTTGAGAAATACTATTTTGATGACATGACTCCATACCTTTATATAAAAGTCCAACTCTTTTAGTATCAGTTTGCTTTCCTAAAATCAGTCTCTAGAGGCTAAAAGTTTGATAATCTTCCCAAGGATGTTTACTTGTAAACCTAATGGCATCTCTAAATTAAAGAACCCAGCTAGGACCGGGTGCAGTGGCTCACACCTATAATCCTAGCACTTTGGGAGGTCAAAATGAGAGGATTGCTTCAGCCCAGGAGTTCAAGACTAGCCTAGGCAACATAGTGCGACCCTGTCTCTACAAAAAGTTAAAAAATTAGCAGGGCGTGGTGGTACACACCTGCAGTCCTAGCTACTCAGGAGGCTGAGGTGGAAGGATTGCTTGAGGTTAGGAGTTGCAGGCTGTAGTGAGCTGTGATTATGCCACTGAACTCTCCAGCCTGGGTGATGGAGTGAAATCTTACTCTTAGAAAAATTAAATTAAAAAAAAAATCCAGGCAGTACCATGGGGTGGATGTCAGTTGGTACAAATACATCTTTAGGAAGTTGGTTAGCTTGTCTCAGAAAAAAATTCATGGAGAAATTTCCCTTTGGTGGCCCATTCTTTTTTTGTTTTTTTTTTTTTGGAGACAGTCTTGCTCTGTCACCAGGCTGGAGTGCAGTGGCACGGTCTTGGCTCACTGCAACCTCCACCTCCCAGGTTCAAGCAATTCTCCTGCCTCAGTCTCCCGAGTAGCTGGGATTACAGGCGCCCACCACCACACCCGGCTAATTTTTGTATTTTTTAGTAGAGATGGGGTTTCACCATGTTGGCCAGGCTGGTCTCGAACTCATGACCTCATGATCTGCCCGCCTTGGCCTCCCAAAGTGCTGGGATTACAGGTGTGAGGCCCATTCTTTCTTTATCTTCAGCTACCCCCACACCAGGATCAGAGCCCCCATGTTGCCTTGGGTTGTCCTGAAACCCACACCTCACCCTGGTCTGCCTTTCTACTCCATAATTCCCTTCCACCTTCCTAAAATTTCAGGAAGTCCTGTGCTTAGTGGCAGGTAACTGTGTATTTAGAGACTCTCGGACTAGAAGCCATTCACACGAAGGGAAGGCGTTTGCATTATGAAGGACTGTGTTCTTCCCCACTGGCATCTGGTTGGTGAACTGAGGTGGGGGTGCTCAGGGGCAACCCCTTACCCATCCTTGCTTGGTTTGCCAGGGGATCAAGAAGTCACATTCAAGGTTCCCAAGCCACCACTGTTCAGCCCTGCCCTTTCTTCACTTTGGCAGAGAAGCTGAATAAAAATGGACTTTGGGTGGACTGGCAAAGAAAACTGCTGAACCCAATGGCAGGGACTTCCTATGATTTAACTGATGGCCAGCATGGTGATGACGGGAGGGGAGAGGCTCTTGGCGGTGACAGGCAAGCATCTCCAGGCTGCAGGTGGTTGGTGCTTTGTGTGTTGTCTATGCTGTGTACTGCCAAAATGGCCAGCAGGAGAAAGGTGTGCATCTATGATCCTCGGGGTCCCCCAGAACGACCTCAGGCAGTCCCCACCACACACACCTTTTCTTCTCTTGTGGCGCCCGCTCCGTCTCTGGCCTGGCTGTCCCGAGGCTGCAGCTCCAGCACAGTGCGGAAGAGCTTTTCTGAGGTTTGGGTCAGGAAGCCAATCTCTGCGTTCGGGTGGAGGCCATAGAGGTAGGGGGATTCTGGGGGCAGCTCAGCATCGATGTACTGAAAATCAAGGGCAAGCTCACTTAAAAAGAAACCAGGACGTACCTCCCATCTCCCACACCGGCTTGTCCTCTGCAGGGAGTCCATGGGCTAGTATCCCTCCTCCAGGGGACACTGCTCACCATCCCTGGTTGACTTCATCACCCTCTCCACCTATTAGTGCACCTTGACATCATCCATTTTTGTCGGCTGGACCCGTTTCCCAAAACTTCCACATTCATTCTATCATTCTCTTTTTTCTGGGAGGCTTAGATGACTTTATCTATCTCCACACCCAATGCCTCCCACTCCTCCCTGATGACTCTTTTTCCTGCAGACCAGAGGAGGACTTCTCATAGTCTTTCAAAAATACGAATCCCTCCCTAGTGATTTTACGTAAGCTCTTCTAGGATTCCAGACCTTTCCTTCTTTTCTCTCCCCTCCATCTAAATCAGATATGACAAACCTGAACATGTACATGGGATGGCACATGCAAAATAAACAAGTGAATTGGGCTTAGGACGAAGGAGGTGAGATTGGCTGCGAACTGGAGAGTTTGCGCCCCTGGTGAAAGGTATTCAAATAAAAAAAATTTTGAAACTATGTGTCACCCTAGCAGCTCCTTTCTGTGGCCAGTGCTAGTGGCTAGAGTCTGCCATGCCTAATGCCTAAAAATCCTAACCAGCGGCTAAGGCTCAGTTTTATTTTATTTTATTTTATTGTGTGTGTGTGAGACAGGCTCTCACTCTGCTGAAAAAACTAGAGTACAGTAGTGTACAGTAGAGTACACAGCTCACTAAAGCCTCCACCTCCCAGGCTCAAGTGCTTTCCACCTCAGTCTCCCAAGTAGCTGGAAATACAGGTACATGCCACCATGCTCAAGCCGATTTTTTATTTCTATTTTTTGTAGAGATGAGGTCTCACTATGTTGCCTGGGCTGGTCTCTAACTCATCAGCTCAAGTGATCCTCCAGCCTTGACTTTCCAAAGTTCTGGGATTACAGGCGGGAGCCACCGCGCCTGGCTCTGAATGTTTTGAGCGCCTCTTCATGGCTCTTTATACGATGGTGGGAAAATATCCCTCAAGTTCCGTTCCTGATATGATTTTGACGATTCCTTGGTGTTATTAACACCTAGCCTAATAGATTGCCCATTCCTCAAGGGCCGATCTGTATGTTCATTTTTGTATTTCCTCCAGCGTTCTGTGCAGGCCTGGACTCTATGTAGATGCCCTAGAACCATCTATTAACTAACACATTAAAGAGAAGTATAAGAAAGAGAGTGTACCTCAGTCATTTGGAAATGTGCAAATCGATTTCACCCTTGCTGAATAAGAAAAACAGACTTCCTTTGCCTGTTACTTGCTCCAGCCTCCTGTCGAATTATCCCATGGACACTAGGGGACGCTGTTGCACAATTTTCCCGGGAAAAGCCTTTTTGCCTTTGGTGAAGTAGTTAAAAACATTTCCTCTTATTTTCCTTAAAGAGCTTTATTGTTTTAAATCTCCTCTTATAGGTCCAATTTTTCTGGATCAAATGACTTTTACGATTTACCCTTAAGTTTAATGAATTAAAGAAATTTTTTTAAAGCTTGCAGTTAATATTCCTGTGATCAATATTTCCCTTATGTTTTATATTCAAGAGTTTTTCTAGGCATGTTCAAAAGCCTACCAATAAAAACTGCTAAAAAATATCTTTCGGGCCGGGCGCGGTGGCTCACGCCTGTAATCCCAGCACTTTGGGAGGCTGAGGTGGGAGGATCATGAGGTCAGGAGTTCGAGACCAGCCTGACCAACATGATGAAACCCCGTCTCTACTAAAAATACAAAAATTAGCTGGGCGTGGTGACGCACGCCTGTAATCCCAGCTACTCAGGAGGCTGAGGCAGGAGAATCACTTGAACCAGGGAGGCGGAGGTTGCAGTGAGCCGAGATCGCGCTATTCCACTCCAGCCTGGGTGACAGAGTGAGACTCCGTCTTATAAAAAAAAAAAAAAAAAATCTTTTGGAATGTTTTCCATGGAAGGTGAAATAGGCAAAGATGAATACTTTAAACATAGCTGTGGTAATAGTAACATAAAAGACCGAAGTAATAGTAAGAAAACCTCCATGAGGCCGGGCGTGCTGGCTCACACCTGTAATCCCAGCACTTTGGGAGGCCGAGGCAGGTGGATCACCTGAGGTTAGGAGTTCGAGACCAGCTTCGCCAACACGATGAAACCCCGTCTCCACTAAAAAATACAAAAACCGGGTGTGGTGGTGGGGGCCTGTAATCCCAGCTACTCAGGAGGCTGAGGCAGGGAGAATAGCTTGAACCTGGGAGGCGGAGGTTGCAGTGAGCCAAGATCGCACCACTGTATTCCAGCCTGGGTGACAGATCAAGACTCCGTCTCATAAAAGAAAAGAAAAGAAAGCCTTCATGAGAATGCTGACTGTGGCATACGTATGCGGTATGTGCCTGTGTTCATAGCCACCAACACGGAGTGGGAGGGGTGAGTGACCTGAGTGATCTTGGCACAAGACCATGCTCCTCCAGGGATATTTAGAATCACCCACAGAAACTTTACCAAAAGTTGGCTAAGGTCTTGCCTGAAATTTTGCTCCATGAAAAACGGCTTTGTCAGGCCAGGCGCGGCGGCTCACGCCTGTAATCCCAGCACTTTGGGAGGCCCAGGTGGGCGGATCACGAGGTCAGGAGATCAAGACCATCCTGGCTAACAGGGTGAAACCCCGTCTCTACTAAAAAAAATACAAAAATAAAATTAGCCGGGCTTGGTGGCGGGCGCCTGTAGTCCCAGCTACTCGGGAGGCTGAGGCAGGAGAATGGCGTGAACCCGGGAGGCGGAGCTTGCAGTGAGCAGAGATAGCGCCACTGCACTCCAGCCTGGGCGCCAGAGCAAGACTCCATCTCAAAAAAAAAAAAAAAAAAAAAAAAAAAATGGGTTTGTCAACATCCCAAGTGAAAACAACCAAATAACTGTCCCAGATGTTATTTGTAGAAAACAGCAACACACAGAATGACTGAACCAATCATCAAGAATCGAAAGATCTCCAAAGGCTCCATTTGATTATTAATTTGAGGCTAGAAATCCCGTATCTCTCAACTTAAACAGGGCAGGCTTGGGGCATAGGACCAGATTTGACATGAGCTCAGCTGTCTAAGCCCTTTTGCCTCAGCCCCTGCCTGCAGCCCATGGTGATGTCCCAGCAGAGGCTTCCCTGGTGGTGCAGGTCGGCGTGGGAGGAATACCCAGGGCCCTGTGAGCACCCTCACGACATCAGAAGCACAGAGCAGAGTCTCACCTGATGATAACCATTGTAGTCCATGTTGCCTGGGAGTGGGAACCCTGGGGCCAAAGACAGTTCTCCTTCTAACATTTCTGGTCGAATGAATTCCCCCAGGTAGGTTCTGCAGAGTCTTCTGTCCCAGTCATCTGTGATATGGCCTCCATACATGATCTCTCCAAACAGGTAGCGCAAATCATCATAGGGGACCTGAGTGATGGGGGAAAGAAAGAGAGGAAGGAAGAAAGACCTCCACACAGGCGTCGGGGCTGGCCTCCCATCTGGGCAGCACAGAAAGCCACAAGAGAGGGACGCTTCTTGAGATTGAGAGCAATGTCTTATTTTTCTCCATACCCTCAGTGCCCAGCAGGGTTAGGGGTGTTTGGGGAGTTCATTAAAAGCCTGAAGAAGGCCGGGCGCGGTGGCTCACGCCTGTAATTCCAGCACTTTGGGAGGCCGAGGCGGGTGGATCACCTGAGATTGGGAGTTCAAGACCAGCCTGACCAACATGGAGAAACCCCATCGCTACTAAAAATACAAAATTAGCTGGGTGTGGTGGTGCATGCCTGTAATCCCAGCTACTCGGGAGGCTGAGACAGGAGAATCTCTTGAACCCGGGAGGCGGAGGTTGTGGTGAGCTGAGGTCATGCCATTGCACTCCAGCCTGGGCAACAAGAGCGAAACTCCATCTCAAAAAAAAAGAAGAAAAAAAAAAGCTTGAAGAATTACATCAAAGAGTGAAGACAGGAAAGTTGCCAACCCCACGCCCCATATATATATGCCTTCCCTCTTTCAAGCTTTTTAACTGTGACAGTGAAGGCAGGCTCTACCTAGAAATTCTTTAAATAGGTGAATGTCAAATGGAGAAAAGTGAGGACCAGAGTACTTTTCTAATTTTCTGCCTTTAATGACAAGATTAACTGTCCCCTTTGAAAGTTCAAAGGGAATAAACAAAGCCCACAAGTTCATTGGTGTGAGACTTAGGGAGGGAGGTCACTGGAGGAAAGCCAGCAATGAAAGATTACTGTTGAGTGGGCTTCCCAGGCCCAAGGGCTGGAGACAGAAGGATTTCTCAGGGCATCTGGGCCTGGTTCGTTTTCCCCACGAGGAAGAGGTGGTGGCCCTGTTGACTCTGTGTTTGGCTCCTGAACTAGAATAACCTTGACGAGGTGAATATTCCCTTAACTGGAAGAGCACTGATTGTTAGCGAAGTTTGGGAACTTATATCAGGCGAGTGTGAAGTCTCTTCCTGCTGATCACAGTCTACCTGCCATGCTGTGAAGACATAGGTATGGTCTGGTGGGGCCCGGGACAAACTCTCATGGGACTGACTCACTGTGTGAGTCTCTAGTTAGACTTCCTGAGCGTCCATGGCTCTCACCTCACAGTTGTACTATTCTCAGCCTTTGGGTTAGTCCTGGGGTTGGCACTGCCTCATCCCACCTGTGTGGGGTGCAGCCCTTCTGTGTGCTCATGCCCCTTCTGTAGGATAGCACTGCATCATCCCTCCTTAACGTGCATACGAATTACCAGAGAATCTCGTTAAAATGCGCTGATTCAGTAAGTTTGGGTGGGACCTGAGATTCTGCATTTCTAACTAGCTCCCAGGTCCTGCCAATGATGTTGATGCATGGGCTCCGATTTGTACTATCAAGGTTTCAAATAATCTGGCTGTCAGGTAATGGGGAGTGGGGCTTGGAACATGACCATGTGTTACACTCTTAAATTATGGTCCCCGAATCAGCAGCATCTGCATCACGAGGGAGCTTGTTAGAAATGCACATTCTCAGGCCCCATCCTAGACCCCTCTGATTCACCCCTCAAAATTAAATAATTTTAACCCTCTCCCAACCTGGCTGGTCCCTGAATGTCCATGGCCTTTACCTTTGCGTTGGCCTCCAGGAAGTTGTAGAGGACATTCACAGAGATAGTGAGGTCTCCAGTGTTAAAGGGGTATGAGCGATTCCATCCCTGGGGCCCAAATTTTCGTCTTTCTGCCACCACCGCATGGAAGTAACAAAGAGCAAAGAGGATGCTCTTAAACTCCGTCTCCCGAGAACACATCTCCAGAGTGTCCTGAAATGAGAGTGTCGCTTTTAAGGTTCGCACACAACTTCTCTTATACGGGGCTGGCTAGGGTGAGGTTACAATCAGGGTTCGTGTTGGAAAACATTACCATATATTCTGGTTTGGGTTTGAGTTACAGCGAGACTACAGCCTGGGGGGAACGTGTGGAAGGGTCAGGTTAGCTGAGCATTGAATTAAGGTTTAGATTCAGGTGATAATAGGGTTTGGTTTAGGGTTCAAGTTTATGCATACGGATGTGCTAATAAAGTTCACTAATGTAGCTGATGGGGATCAGGGTGACATGCAATAAGAATGTTATGTACCGGGGTGTGGGGTGTGGGTGCACATGCCATGGCACCATCTCTAATATCTTCCCTTCCTACCATGCTTTTCTTGCCTGTTGTGGAACCTTAGCAGGTGTAATCACTGCCTGGGAGTTAAGCTGGGAAAAAGAGTACAGGGGGTACTGAATGTGTTTTGCTCCTTGAATCTTTGTGGAAGCTTCCCGCCCAGAGTTGGGCTGCTGGACTCCTACACTACAAGGGTGTCACACAGTCAGTAAAATCTTCTGAGACTCTGACTGTTACATGGTCTTCATCTTACTTTAGGCTTAAACCAGACCCCAAAGGTTTATGTTGGTTTAGGTGGCACAGTCATCCTGTTGGATGGCCCATCTCAAATAACCTGCATGACCCATCTGACACATGTGAGCTGGCAGGGCTTCTGGGAAACCTGAGATGCACTGGTACTATGACAAGATGACAACCAAGAAGAAAACCTCCCTAGCAGCTGCTGGAACCCTCTCCTTGAATTCCACCCAGGCGTGGTGTGGCAGATGGATTTTAAGGTGATCCGATGGCCTCCACTCTGCTACAATTCAGGCCTTTGGGTACTCTCCTGCCCAGGGAGGTGGAACTCCCAAGAGAGAACCAAAAAGAAATAGTGCCTTCTTGAGAAGATCAAAGAGGCCTGGGCCGCAGACTTTGACAGTACAACTTCATATACAAAGTTGGCCACCACGGGCTTGGACCTGGCTTCAAATAAATACGCTACAACATAAGCCTTGAAATTCCCCATAATGGAAACGTAGTGGTCTGCATTTGAACACTTGATATTCTGAGTCTCTCTGGAGCACAGTATTCTCAAACTTGACTGTGTATAAGAATCTCCTGGAGGGTTCATTAAAACAGATTCCTGGGCCCCAGCCCAGAGTTTCAGATTGGGGCCTAAAAATCTGCAATTTTTTTTTTTTTTTTTGGAGATGGAGTCTCACTCTGTCGCCCAGGCTGGAGTGCAGTGGCACAATCTCGGCTCACTGCAAGCTCCGCCTCCCAGGTTCACGCCATTCTCTTGCCTCAGCCTCCCAGGTAGCTGGGACGACAGAAAAATCTGCATTTCTAACAAGTTTCCAGGTGATGCTGATGCTGCTGGTCCAGGGGCCATACTTTAGGGGGTCTAACATGCAGTTACATTTCAAATCCATATCCCCACTACCTAACACCTGGATTCTTTGAACCCTTGATACTCAAGATTCATGTAGACGTCAAGTGATATCATCTGATTGACAGTATCATCTCTCTGCCTGAAGATAGCCCATCAGTGTGTGACCCAGTGTATCTTATCAATGAGATGTATAACAACGTGCCCTTCTTCATCTTGGAATATTAGGTAACAGTAAACTTGCAGAAGGCTTCCCCACATCTCTTGCCAAAGAAATGTCCTGAGCTCTACTCCCCTGGGGTTATCTGGCAATGGAGAGTGGGGTTGCCCTGAGTGGGCATCAGGTGGGAACATTTTACCCACATCAGCATTGCTCCGTAGCCCAACCAGCACCCGACTCCCTTCTGAGTTGCATGCTCTCCCCCCACCAGTTTGCATCAGCTGACTGTGAGGTGTGCTGCTGTTTTTGCCTCCCTCCCGGGGCCGTACCTGAGTGAAGTTGTCCAGGGCCTTGTGCAGGTTGGCATGCATGCCCGTGGGGGGCTCATTGGTGATCTTAATGGAGTTCTCCAGGATGCCCTGGGGGATGATGTGGCCCTCAGGGGAGGGTGCTGGCTCTGCACTCATGAAGACCCTGAACTCTGGGTGGCTGTTCTCACTGTGCTCCTCCAGCTTCTTCTCCAGGGTGCTGAGCCACTTGGCCACCAGGTGAATGTTCTAGTGGGAAGGAAGGAGCCCCCCCTCAATACAGGCATCTGCTTAGCTCTGTTAGCAGTAAATAGTTGTCAGGAAGGCAGCCAGAGGGGGGACTGGTCTTAGCATCACATAATTTTTAAAAATTGTGGTAAGACGTAACAGAAAATTTACCATCTGAAACCCTTTTTAAGTGGACAGTTAATGGCGTTACGTGCACTCACATGTTGTGCAACTCAATGACTTTTAATGGCAGAAGTGTCTTAAATCACATCATAGAAAAGAGTTCTGGGATGCCCAGTAGTGAGGACCTCCCAGTATTCTGCAGTTAAACTCTTATCTCTTGCTATCCTAAGGCTTTCCAGCATAATGTTTTTAAACTTGCCTGTGCATGGGAATAACCTGAAGGGCTTCTTAAAATACAGATTCTTGTGCCCCAGCCCAGAGTTTCAGATTCAGCAGGTCCAGGATGGGGCCTGAGAATGTGCATTTCTAACAAGCTCCCTGGTGATGCAGATGCTACTGGTCTGGAGACCACAATTTAAGAGTGTAACACGGCCAGGCACGGTGGCTAACACCTGTAATCCCAGCACTTTGGGAGGCTGAGGCAGGCGGATCACGAGGTCAGGAGATCGAGACCATCCTGGCTAACACGGTGAAACCCCGTCTCTACTAAAAATACAAAAAATTAGCTGGGCATGGTGGTGGGCGCCTGTAGTCCCAGCTACTCAGGAGGCTGAGGGAGGAGAATGACATGAACCCGGGAGTCGGAGCTTGCAGTGAGCCAAGATCACGCCACTGCACTCCAGCTTGGGCGACAGAGTGAGACTCCGTCTCAAATAAAAAAAAAAAAAAAAAAAAAAAAGGCTGTAACACTTGGTCATCTTCCAAGTCTAACTCCCCATTACCTGACAGCTAGATTATTTGAAACCTTGATGGTACAAATTGGAGCTCATGGATCAACATTGTTGGCAGTACCTGGGAGCTAGTTAGAAATGCAGAATCTAAGGTCCTGCCCAAACTTACTGAATCAGCGCCTTTTAATGAGATCCTCCGGTAATTGGTACATACGTTAACATTTGAAAGGCACTGATTTAAACTCTTTCTAGCTAGCTTTCCTGAGTCTTCTCTCTCCACTCTCCAAACCACTCTGTTAATTGTTGCCAAACTTATCTTCCTGAAACACACTGAGTCATTGCTGCTCAAAGACCAAACAAGGCTCTCTACTCTAATCCCAAGCTCCTCTGTCTGGTCTTTGAGCCTGTCTCCTCCTCCCAACGTTTGATTGCTGTCTGTCTATCTATCAAAACCTACATTTGTTTCTTACCAGTGCTTTGCAGAATGCACCTTTCACTGTAGTAAGGGGAGTCACCCGGCTTCATTGCAATGTGTTTCATTATAATGGATAGATAAAAGCTCCTTGATAAATATTTGAGGAAGTAAGCATGCAAAGCCTTAAATACACAGATCAGAGCTGAGCCCAGCACTTGGACCACAGTAATTTGGTCTTTGAGTGCTGCCTTCTCTTCTATAAGAAGAGAAATAACAATAACGTTTGCTATACTTATTTCAGAGTGGCTGCAGATAACCAAAGAAATGGATTTGAAAGGGTTTTGTAGGACTGGGTGCAGTGGCTCACATATGTAATCCCAGCACTTTGGGAGGCCAAGGCGGGTGGATTGCTTGAGGCCAGGAGTTCAATACCAGCCTGGCCAACATGGTGAAACCCCATCTCTACAAAATAAATAAATAAATGAATGAATGAATAAATAAATAAATAAATAAATAAATAAATAAAGGATTTTGTATACTGTAAAATGCTATGTAAGGGATAGTAGTAGTTGTTGAGATGAAAATTGGTGAAATTAAATAATTTACTTATAATCAAATCAATTGGAGCAGAGTGTTTAGTGGGCTACTTGAGAGCCAGGGTTTCTTTTAGCCAGCATCACCAGCAACCTACATGTGGGTAATTTGGCTGCTCCTTTAGAAACTCCAAGTTCTGCTACTGGGCAGGTCTAGGAGAAGGAATGTCTGTTGCTTGTGTATAGAACCCTGGGGTGGATTCAGAGATCCTCGAGGCTGCCCCACAGGGTTGATGGGCTTGGGTTGGGAAATCCACACAATAGCTCCTACAGCCAGGAAGGAAGAGCGGGAAGACTGTGAGCCTTGCTTTCTCACCCAGGACCAGAGAAGCCAGCTCTCCCAGAAGAGAAGCCCTAGTTCATCTGGGTCAGGGTCCTCAGGCAGCATTTCCCAAAAGTGTGCCATGGGATGTTAAAAGATGTTAGATCCATAAAGAAGGTCTGTGTTCCTGCACACCTACAACCATCAGATCTTCGACAAACCTGACAAAAACAAGCAATGGCGAAAGGATTCCCTATTTAATAAATGGTGCTGGGAGAACTGGCTAGCCATATGCAAACAAATGAAACTAGACTCCTTCCTTATACCTTATAAAAAATTAACTCAACACAGATTAAAGACTTAAACATAAAATCCAAAACTATAAGAACCCTAGAAGAAAATCTAGCAATATCAGTCAGGACATAGGCATGGGCAAAGATTTTATGACAAAAATGCTAAAAGCAATTGCAACAAAAGCAAAAATTAACAAGTGGGATCTGATTAAACTAAAGAGCTTCTTCCCAGGAAAATAAACTATCATCAGAGTGAAAAGACAACTTATGGAATGGGAGAAAATTTTTGCAATTAGACCTGACACAAGTCTAATATCCTGAGTCTACAAGGAACTTAAACAAATTTACAAGCAAAAAAACAAACAACCTCATTAAAAAATGGGCAAAGAACATGAACTGACACTTCTCAAAAGAAGATATTCATTGTGGCCAACAAACATATGAAAAGAAGCTCAACATCGTTGATCATTAGAGAAATGCAAATCAGAACCACAATGAGATACCATCTCACGCCAGTCAGAATGCCGATTATTAAAAAGTCAAGAAACAACAGATGCTGGTGAGGTTTTGGAGAAAAAGGAACCCTTTTATGCTGTTGGTGGGAGTGTAAATTAGTTCAACCGTTGTGGAAGACAGTGTAGCAATTCCTCAAAGATACAGAAGCAGAAATACCATTTGATCCACCAATCCTATTACTGGGTATAAGCCCAAAGGAATATAAATCATTTTATTATAAAGATACATGCATGCATATGTTCACAGCAGCACTATTCACAATAGCAAAGACTTGGAATCAACCCAACTGCTCATCAATGATAGACTAGATAAAGAAAATGTGGTACATATACACCATGGAATACTATGCAGCCATAAAAAGGAACGAGATCATGTCCTTTGCAGGGAAATGAATGGAGCTGGAAGCCGTTACCCTCAGCAAACTAAAGCGGGAACAGAAAACCAAACACTGCATGTTCTCACTTATAAGTGGGAGCTGAACAATGAGAACACATGGACACACGGGGCGGGGAACAAACACACTGAGGCCTGTTGTGGAATAGGGGGAGAGGGAGAGCATCAGGAAGAACAGCTAATGGATGCTGGGCTTAATACCTAGGTGATGGGTTGATCTGTACAGCAAACCACCATGGCATATGTTTACCTATGGAACAAACCTGCACATCCTGCACATGTACCCCAGAACTTAAAATAAAAGTTGAAGAAAAAAAAAGAAGGCCTGTGTTCAACGGAATTTGGGAAATACTGGATGGAATAAGATTTCTATACCAAAGGATTCTCAGAACCATTAGCCTATTGATATCATTGAAAATATCCTTAAAAGGAATTTGTATGTAGTATTTTCCAACATTTGAAATAGGAATTTGTTAAGTGTATTCCTCCCCCCCCAGCTTTTTTTTTTTTTTTTTTTTTTTTTTTCAGAGAATCTCTCAGGTTTACAGGCTGGGAAACATTGCTGGGTAGGATTCTGGTCCAGTCTAGTTCAGTACATCAGGAAATTCTTAGAACCAGATAGCTGTGATTCCTACAAGAGATTTCACAAACCAGTAAGGATCTTTTGTTTCTGTGAGCACTTTACAGTGTGGACAGATTACGTCTATTCAATACTCCAATGCTTTATTCAGGGGGAAAGGCAGGCATCCAGATTATTTGGCACAATTTTCCTTTGGAAATGTCCAGTCACCAGGAAATAAAGATGGAATATTGAGTTCAGTGTTGGAGAGCTCTGAGCAACCACATCAGCACAAGATTTTGATGCCCTGCATGGCCAATAGATGCTGGGGGACAACGGGGGCAGCAGAGGCGGCACCACAGTTTCAGAAACAGACTCTGATGTCCATGACAAGTGCCTGGGTTCCCAGCACTGGCGTCCGGAGAAGTCTCTTGGCAAATGTGCCTGAGGGGGTGGGGAGGTCATACCTTCAAGCACTGTGCTGACCCATGAGGGAGGAAGGAGGAAACTCAGCTGTTATTATCTTTTCTCCTGAACTTCCTGATGTTTCTGGAAAAGGAGGCCCTGGGAGGGGCAGATCTCTCAGTTGCTAGGCTCCAAATAAATAACTGAATAATTAAGGACAAAGACCCAGCAGCAAGATGTGATGTCACCAGTAATCAGGAGATGGGGGAGGTTCATGGTAGTGAAAGCCGGGAAGAATGGGAGTGACTGGCTTTTGCATTTATTCTTTCTTTAATTTCTTCATGGATTCCTTGACCCACCGGCCTTTTGTTTCAGTGTCTGCTATGTTCAAGGCAGTGGGCTGGGTGATAAAAGGTAAAGAAGGAACATCTCTTTACCTAAAAAATTTGGTGGAGAATACAGTCATAAAATAAACCATGTCAACGTAGCAATGGAGCTCTAATAGAAGATTTCAAAATGTTCTAGGAGAAAAGAGGAGCAAGCTATGCATTCTGCCACAACTCCAGCATGTATACAAGTGGCATAAAAGAGGATTAGGCAGGCCGGCCCTGAGAGATGGATTTGAAAAGGTTTTGTCTACTGTGAAATGCTATGTAAGAGTTAGTAGTAGTTAGGCTGGGCGCAGTGGCTCATGCCTGTAATCCCAGCACTTTGGGAGGCTGACGCAGGTAGATCACTTGAGTTCTGAAGTTCAAGACAAGCCTGGCCAACATGGTGAAACCCTGTCTCTACTAAAAATACAAAAATTAGCCGGGCGTGGTGGTACGCTCCTGTAATCCCAGCTCCTCAGGAGGCTGAGGCAGGAGAATCGCTTGAACCCGGGAGGCGGAGGTTGCAGTGAGTTGAGATTGCGCCATTGCACTCCAGCCTAGGCGACAGAGCAAGACTCCATCTCAAAAAAAAAAAAAAAAAAAAAAAAAGAGTTAGTAGTAATTGTTGAAACGAAAATTGGAAAATTGGTTAAATGAAATAATTTAATAGGGGTTAAATAAAATTTAATAGGGGTTAATAGAGAGGGCTAAATTCTTTAATTTAACTCTCTTTTCTGATAGAAGAGAGGTAGCCTTTTTTTCCTTGTAACTGTTCAGTCAAATTATCAGTAGTAGGGGTTCCAGATTCCAAACACCAACATGAGCTCTCAGTGAAGAGGCTAAGGTTGCTCCCATATCCTAGTCATGCCCGTGACGAAGAGCATATGACACACAGCCCAAAAGAAAGGCACAGCAGAGGAACGTGCCATGAAATTCACAGGAAGAAACCAGCTGTTGAAAGCATCCAGCTGCCAGGGCCTTCAACGTAAATGCTAACTTCCTGAACGCCTATTAGAGTGGGAATCTGTTTCTTTTATAAGTAGAGCTATTTAAACTAGAGAGAGTGACAGAGCAGGTGAGGGGAGAAGGATTGTTCCTGGACGTGGTCTGGGGAAGAGAACATATGAGTGAGGAGAACTGGAAAGAGAGAAGATGAAGAAATGAAGGGGACAAGAGTGTGAAAGGACAGATGGGGAGAAGCTAAGAGTGGATGGAGATGCCCAGTGAGTGTGGGATGAGGCAAGTATGGGTCAAGATAACCCAGACAAGGGTAGAGGAACATACCTGCAAAATAACCCAGTGACCTTTCTTGGCAGCGAGGTCCAGCGCAGCCTCAGCCACCACTTCCTGTCCTTGCCCCAAAGACACGTTGTGAAAGTTCTGATTGTTGAAGGTGTATCCAAGTTTTCTTCCTAAAAGGAGGATGGAGGCGTCATTATTATTTCTTGTGTCTAATGATGGATGTTTGATGTTCATAAGGAAATGCACACGCTCAGATCACCCCTCAAACACGGGCATGCCCAAATCTATAACCGAAACCTCATATACTGACCCTTTTCCTTCACAGGGGGCTACTTCTTCCAGCTTTTTATTGTCATATAAAAGGAAGCACTTGAGCCGGGCGCAGTGGCTCATGCCTGTAATCCCAGCACTTTGGGAGGCCGAGGCGAGCGGATCACCAGGTCAGGAGATCGAGACCATCCTGGCTAACACAGTGAAACCCCATCTCTGCTAAAAATACAAAAAATTAGCTGGGCGTGGTGGTGGGCGCCTGTAGTCCCAGCTACTCGGGAGGCTGAGGCAGGAGAATGGCGTGAACCCAGGAGGCGGACCTTGCAATGAGCCGAGATTGCGCCACTGGCTCACTCCTGTAATCCCAGCACTTTGGGAGGCTGAGGCAGCAGGTGGATCACCTGAGGTCAGGAGTTCAAGACCAGCCTGGCCAACATAGTGAAACCTCATCTTTACTAAAAATACAAAAAATTAGCTGGGTGTGGTGGGAGGTGCCTGTAATCCCAGCTACTAGGGAGGCTGAGGCAGGAGAATCACTTGAACCCAGGAGGCGGAGGTTGCAGTGAGACGAGATCACGCCATTGCACTCCAGCCTGGGCAACAAGAGCGAAACTCAGTCTCAAAACAAAACAAAACAAAAACCAAAACAAACAAAAAAAAAAGAAGCACTTGTTCAGACCAAAATCACTTCACTCTTCCCTCTTCACTTAATTCCCAAAGAGGGGTAGGATTGCTGATGCTATTCTTTATGTGTCTTATCTGCAGACCAGATATGGGTCCACCATTCTAGGGAGTGCTGATGAGAGAAGGGTGAGAGAGTAGCAAGCATATGGGTGTGGTCCTTTGTGGCTTGCCTTGTCCTCTGAATAAATATTGTGTCTTCTCTGGAACTTTACTGGGAGGTGTGGCCAGTAGGGGCAGGATTCAGGTAGTTCTGGCTTCCTGTACTTTATGCCCTATTAACCTCCTCTCCTATCATTCCCAACACATAGAAAAGAGTTATCTCATCATTTTGCACGAATTAGAGTGAAGAGGGGCAAGACATGAAGCTGTTTAGTTGTGTAGGTGTGAATTTTCTGTTGGATGTATATAAGGGTTGCTGGTGTTGCAGATGGATTAAGAGAATGACCACACACACAAATGTGGCAGCCATACCACTGAAGCAAGACCAGTGGGCTTCAGCTGCTCTCCACGCCCAAGGGAAACAACACAAAGAAATGACCCTAATATAGAGAACATTAGCTCTTAGCACAATCCAATAAAGTGTAGAGAAATTACATAATATTCTTTAGATAAAAGGATCATAAAAATGTATAATACCATGAAGGAATCATTAAGTGATTTTTCTAGCAAGGTGAAGTAGACAAAAGGGGAGAAATCGAAAAAGAAATAATAAAAATCCATACTTAAAAAAAATTTAGTTTCAGAGGAACTAAAAGTGAAGATGTAGTTTGATACTTCTGCAAGAAAATTTTTGGAAACAAGTGTTCATATTGAATATTTCTTTTAAATATAAACAATGTATAGACTGTCATTGAAATGTACAGGACAACGCAAGATGATGACTTTTTGTAGTAAGAAATAGATATTGGAGACTTAACTGAGATGAACCCAAGAAACACCGTTATTAAATTATAAATCTTAGTTGGCAAAACATTTGATGTCAGCTTTGGAAGTGGGGAGATAAACAATTCATTCCAGAGAAAATACCAGGATAAAAAGTGTTGGGACTTTTAGATGTCTTCTGTGACATTTCTGCTCACAAAAGGGCCTGTTTATTTTGTTTATTAGCAACAGAAGGATATGGGCAAAGAGGTTATTTAATAAAGATTAGTTTGAAAATTCCAGACTGGAGGGATCATCACGGGCAAAGTTTAGCACTGCAGAGCCCGGCTGGGATCAGTCTGCATTAATCTGGGCTTGAGGCATGACAATGAGGCGGAGAAGAAAGAAATGGATCTTGGAAACATTGAGAAGGGGAAAAATGGATGGGATTCTCACTAACTGAACACTCAGCCAAAGGTGGCCGCATCCCATGTGAGCCTCATGGGTGCGGAGGTAACCTTGCGAGGTCTTTCCCTTTGCAACTGTGAGGCTCTCAGATGGCTTATTGGGCCTTGAGCAAGTCCCTCCAGTGTCTCAGGATTTCACCTTCAGATTGTTGTATGCTGGTGCTTCCATGCCTCCACCCCTACTGCTTGTGACTCATCTCTCCTTTTCTGACTTTCCTTCCAGCTCTACATATGGTGGTGTCACCTGGAACTATGCCCCACTGTCAACCTCTTTTAACATCTTTACGGTGTGCGTCACTGACCTCTAGTCTCTCTGAGGACATCACAACTCCTACAGTCCTCTCCCTAGTTCCATACCCCTATGGCATTGGCGTTGGAAGGGGAACATTTTTTCTAGTGTTTTCTTGCTACTTGGAGGCTATTTCTTCTCCACCTTCATAAAAAAGAAAAAAAAAAAATCACCTTTTTTTCTTTTTTTTCACCCAGGCTGGAATGCAGTGGCATGATCTCACCTTACTGCAACCTCCACCTCCCAGATTCAAGTGATTCTCCTGCCTCAGCCTCCCGAGTAGCTGGGATTACACCCAGGCTGGAGTGCAGTGGTACGATCTCACCTCACTGCAGCCTCCACCTCTCAGATTCAAGCGATCCTCCTGCCTCAGCCTCCCAAGTAGCTGGGATTACAGGTGCCCGCCACCATGACTGGCTAATTTTTGTATTTTTAGTAGAGATAAGCTTTCACTATGTTGGCCAGGCTGGTCTCAAACTCCTGACCCCAAGTGATCCACCCACCTCGGCCTCCCAAAGTGCTGGGATTACAGGCATGAGCCATTGCACCCGACTAAAAACCCCTTTCTCACTGAAAGCACATGTCATCTGGTTTTATTATTTACTAACTTTTAAGTTCTCTGCCTTCTACCAACTTTTCAGTGAGTCTCATTTGTATTAGGGGCTTTGGAACTTGGTTCCTGTTTCATCATCATCTTGGTAAACTCTAATGTCACTATGGATGACTCAGACAACACCCAGCCTCATGTTTCCTCATCTTTCTTTCTTTTTTCTTTTCTTTTTTTTTTTTTTTGAGATGGAGTCTTGCTCTGTCGCCCAGACTGGAGTGCAATGGCGCAATCTCAGCTCACTGCAACCTCTGCCTCCTAGGTTCAAGCAATTCTCCTGCCTCAGCCTCCCGAGTAGCTGAGACTACAGGCACACGCCACCATGCCCAGCTAATTTGTGTATTTTTAGTAGAGATAGGGTTTCACCATGTTAGACAGGCTGGTCTCAAACTCCCGACCTCAGGTGATCTGCCCACCTCGGCCTCCCAAAGTGCTGGGATTACAGGCATGAGCCACTGTGCCCAACCTCATCTTGAAAGAGCTTAACTCCAACCATAATCCCAGCACTTTTGGAGGCTGAGGCAGGTGGATCACCTGAGGTCGGGAGTTCAAGGCCAGCCTCACCAACATGGAGAAACCCCTTTTCTACTAAAAATACAAAATTAGCCAGGCATGGTGACACATGCCTGTAATCCCAGCTACTCAGGGGGCTGAGGCAGGAGAATCGCTTGAACCTGGGAGGCAGAGGTTGTGGTGAGCTGAGATTGTGCCATTGCACACTCCAGCCTGGGCGACAAGAGCGAAACTCTGTCTCAAAAAAAAAAAAAAAAGAAAGAACTTAGCTCCATTTCATTTCTGCTGCCGATTCCCAGTGGCCACACCCAGGGCTCTCCCATCATGGAGATCTGTCCTGTGTCTGAAACATGATTCTTCCATGTCCACTCATGAATTTCACTTCCTACTTCCTAAATTTTTTTACCTTCTTATTTCTTCCCCACCTATTTTTCTACTTCAGTGAAATGTTGAGTCCTTTGGTCCCTTCGTTTTTTTCTAATTTCAGCTTTACCTCCTCTTATTTTAATATGGACCCAATAATCCTTAATTTGAGCCCAAGTCCTCAACTCCATTGCCTCCTTCTACTTCCGCACTTACTACTCAACTTTCTAAGACCCCAACTCTGAGTTTAAGTATTAATAAAAGGAATAATTCACATGTTTGGTGAATTGGCACCATCACCAGCTTGTGATTCTCAATTTCGAAGCGCTTTGGTACTCTTTCAATGTGTCCAGAAGCCGGCTATGTTACCCATTTCCCTCTGTCATTATGTCTCCTAATGGATCCCTCTTTTTTTTTTTTTTTTCTTTTTTTTTTGAGACGGAGTCTCGCTCTGTCGCCCAGGCTGGAGTGCAGTGGCACAATCTCGGCTCACTGCAAGCTCTACCTCCCGGGTTCATGCCATTCTCCTGCCTCAGCCTCCCGAGTAGCTGGGACTACAGGCGCCCGCCACCACGCCTGGCTAATTTTTTGTATTTTTAGTAGAGATAGGGTTTCACCGTGTTAGCCAGGATGGTCTCGATCTCCTGACCTTGTGATCTGCTCGCCTCGGCCTCCTAAAGTGCTGGGATTACAGGCGTGAGCCACTGCGCCCCGCCATGAACCCCTTTTCTTATGCTCAGCAGTTTGCTCTACTGTCTTAATTCCCTGAAAAAACATGCCCTCTGGTGGACACGCCTCCATTACTGCCATTTTGTCTGCATTTCTGTACACTGCCCTGTCAATGAAAAAGATGTCCTCCTCCCTTCCTGCCTGTCACTTTAACTGTCATTTAAATCCCATCTCTTTTTGTATCTTTTTAAAAATTATTATTATTTTATTTTTTGAGATGGAGTTTCTCGCTTGTCACCCAGGCTGGAGTGCAGTGGCACGATCTCAGCTCACTGCAACCTCCTTCTCCTGGGTTCAAGTGATTCTCCTGTGTCAGCCTCCCAAGTAGCTGGGATTACAGGCACGTGCCACCACTCCCGGCTAATTTTTGTATTTTTAGTAGAGATGGGATTTCACCATGTTGGCTAAACTGGTCTCAGACTCCTGACCTCAGGTGATCCGCGTGCCTTGGCCTCCCAAAGTGCTGGGATTATAGGCATGAGCCACTGCGCCCGGCCCTCTTTTTGTATCTTTAACCTTTGTCTCTATTCACTCTTCTGCTCCCCAGCACATGCACAAATCAGTTTCGCTCACCACAAAAAAACAATACTCCATGAATCCTGAATCCTCTCTCTAAAGACTGTACTTGCCTCAGCTTATCTATCTTTTACTTGCCTTTTAAAGAAAAGAGGGCTGGGTGTGGTGACTCATGCCTATAATCCCAGCACTTTGGGAGGTTGAGGTGGGCAGGTTGCTTGAGCTCAGGAGTTCAAGGCCAGCCTGGGCAACACAGTGAGACCCATCTCTACAAAAAATACAAAAAATTAGCCGGGCATAGTGGCATATGCCTATAGTCCAGCTACCTGGGAGGCTGAGGCAAGAGGATCACTTGAGCCTGGGAGGTAGAGGTGGCAATGAGCCAAGATGGCGCCACTGCACTCCAGCGTGGGCAACACAGTGAGAGCCTGTCTCAAAACAAAACAAAACAAAACAAAACAAAACAAAACAAAACAAAAAAACACCCAACCAAATACAAGAAAAAAGAATGGGGTCAGGAACAATGAAAACAAGACCCAAAGCAAAGTTTCGAGAATCTGGCTGCAAAGACACTGAATGGAAAACTGTTTCTTTGAACATATCTGGTAGCAGGCCTACAAAAATCTCAGAACGTTGGAGAGAAAAGGAGACAGTAGAAGACAAAGGCGGGATACACAGCTTCTTTCTGATCAGAAAATGGAAAGACAGAACTCATTTTGTTAAAGCCAGGTAATTGGGCAAAGAAGGATGGAGACCAAGCAAGATGATGCTGCAGACAAGTGAAAGAAAGACCAGAGAAGATGCCGGCATCAGGGCAAGAAGGGGAGGGCCAAGGAGGAGACTGTTCTTTGAGAGGATGTGACAAAAAGATGTGAAGGAAGGGCAAACTGAGCTGCCCCAAAGAACAGATGCACCATCCTCATCGTAACGCCATGCAATGCTACTGTACTCTCGGCTTTTCAAAGCCTTTTCACATCTGACATTTTGTTTTTATCTTCACAGTAACCCAAGGAGGCAGGTATCATGGGTGATTGAGAACAAGGGGGAAGTAGATGAAGCAAAAGCAGAAATAAACAAGCAAATAAGGAAGTGTGGCTCCTTTAGGGAAAAAGATGATGAGAAAAGAGAGATGAGTACAGTGAAAGCTCTGTTAAAGGCTTGATCAGAGAAGGCAAGAAGGAAAACAGTGAGGGTGGATGGTGGTAGCTTTCGTGTTAAAATAGAGGCCAGCCAGATGTGGTGGCTCACGTCTGTAATCCCAGCACTTTGGGAGGCTGCGGCGGGTGGATCACCTGAGGTCAGGAGTCCCAGACCAGCCTGGCCAACATGGTGAAACCCCATCTCTACTAAAAATACACAAATTAGCCAGGAATGGTGGTGGGCGCCTGTAATCCCAGCTACTCGGGAGGCTGAGGCAGGAGAATCGCTTGAACCCGGGAGGTGGAGGTTGTTGCAGTGAGCTGAGATCGTGCCATTGCACTCCAGCCTGGGTGACAAGAGCAAAGCTCCGTCTCAAAAAAACAAAACAAACAAAACAAAAAAATAGAAAACAGAGGCCAAGAAGAGTGGATGGAATTTTCCCCTTCCCCACTCCATCCCCGCTTCTCCTCCTCACTTCTTTCTCCACTTTCCTTTCCTTCCCCTCCTCCTCCTTCACAATTGTTGAGGAAGAAAAATCCTGGAGGAGACTGAGTGCCACAAAAGTGCCTACAAATTATAGATTCCTAATCAAGGGAATTATTAATTATTAATTGGCCAATGGATAAACTTCAGGGACTGAAGAAATGCTCAAAATCGTATACAGAATGTTGTGTGTCTGTGGGTATGTGCATTTTTCGGGGGTGGAGGAAGGACCAAGGAACAAATCTTGAATCTGAATCTAGGGGTTTTAAAACTCTACCTGATATTAAGAACTGCCTTGTTGAAGCAAAAGAATACGTAAATGAAGGAGTAAAGAATTTAAATCAAATACCCAAAGAGGAGAAATGATTCCAAGCTTTTTAAGAGTCTAAACGGAGGAAGACAGTGAACTGTGTGATACACAGACTCTGCACAAGCAATAAAACAGTAAGTTTACTTAATAAACTGGGGCTTGGGGACATGGGGAAAATGTTTAGATCAGCCATGTGGATTCCAGACTTGAGACTAGGAGCCCATCAGGCAAGCTGATTAGATTCAAGATGTGGGAAATGTGGATGTCACCAGAATATATGTCCTAAATGGGTGAATTAGAAAATAAATCAAAGCACCAAGAAGGCAGGGAGGAAGGAAGAGAGAGAGAGGCACAGGTGCCTAAGTAATCTCTAGTTGATGAACAGCAATATTGCTTCTGGTAAGAAAATATCCATTAAGATTAAGCCAAGGGCAGGGCTGAGATAACGTATTCTGAGACAAACAACCCATATAGATCAGGGAGGGGTCAGTTTGCCTGAGATGACAGGAAGCTGCAAACTACGTGATGGAGTAGTTGGAGGTCAATTGGCTAAGAACAATAGGAAATTGCTCATAAACAGGGTATATGAAAGCTTCCAAAGGGGAAAATACTGAATAAAAATGAGGAAACTAAATTTATCTGTATAAAAGGAACAAAGCCTCCAGGGGACAGAAGGAACACAGACTATAAAGTGTGAAAGTCAGGAATAACTTAGCTCTGATAACAGTTCTGCTAACATTAATTTGTTCGTTTGTTAGTTCATTCAACAATACTTCTCTGTGCTAGTTATGCTATTAGGCAGTGGTAAAAAAATGAACAAGATGACATGGTCATCAAGGATGTTAATGACAAGCAGGTAGGCAAAACATAAGTTAAAATTATAACAGAATGATTAAATTAAAATTGTATTAAATGCTCTGAAGCAAATACATAGAGTGCTGTAAGAATCTCTAGTTGAGAATCAAATGGTCTTCCAGGGAGGCCAGAAATGGCTGGTAATTTGCAGGATGAGTAGGCATTGGATGGTTGAAAATATTTCAGATAAAAAGAACAATTTGTGCCAATGTCCTAGGTTAGGAAGGCTCATGGTGTGACAGGATCTAAAAGCTGGACAGAAAAGCCATGCCATGCAGGCCACACAGGTCATGTTAATATTGGACTATACCAGTGGGAAGTCACTAGAAAGTTTTTTGTTTTGTTTGTTTGTGTGTGTTTGTGTTTGTTTGTTTTTGAGATGGAGTCTCTGTGTCGCCAAGTTGAAGTGCAGTGGTGCGATCTTGGCTCATTGCAACCTCCGTCTCCCAGGTTCAAGCGAGTCTCCTGCCTCAGCCTCCCGAGTAGCTGGGACTACAGGTGCGTGCCACCATGCCTGGCTAATTTTTGTAGTTTTAGTAGAGATGGGGTTTCAGCATGTTGGACAGGTTGGTATCGATCTCTTGACCTTATGATCTGCCTGCCTCGGCCTCCCAAAATGCTGGGATTACAGGCGTGAGCCACTGCACCCAGCTGGGAAGTCACTAGAAAGTTTTAAGTAGAAGAGTGATACAATCACATTTGAGATTTAGCAACATGACTCTGGCTGCAGAATGGCAAGGGTTTGCAGAGGAAGAAGAGTGGAGATGAGCTAGGAGGCTAGTGTAATAAGCCAGGTGAAAGACTATGGTGATTCAGACTAGGATGGCAATCATGAAAATAGAGACAATTAGATGGATTTGAAGCATATTTAGGAGGTGGAATCAATAGAACTAAATGTGGTGTGGGTGGTGGAAGAGGTGTCTAGGATGATTGACACCCAGGTTTCTGGCATGAGAAACTTGGTAAATGGTGGTGGCATTTACTAAATATAACAGAAAAATTTTTAGAGCTCAAAAGTTTTAGTGACTCTTCCACTTGAAATGACAGGCTGACTGCTCAGCAGATGAATGAAAAGGACCCACAACTAGGCACAGCTTATGAAATTTCAGAACACAAGGTAGAGAGATTATTCTAAAGTTTTCGGGGAATAAAAACAGGTCACCGACAAAGAAACAAAGAAAGAATATAATTTCACTGGCATATGATATCTCATGAACAAAACTGGCTTCTAGAAGATAATAGAATCATGTATCCAAAGTTCTGATAAAAACCATTTTGGACCTTGAAAAACTATCAAACTGCTATATAAGCAAAACTGAAGCATTTTTAGACACCCAAGGATTCCAAATTTTTACTTCTCATGAGTCTTTTCTGATAATTTATGCCAGCAAAGTAAGGATGGAGAATTGAAAATAAAAGACATGGGATATAAAGACAGTAGAACTAATTTAGAATATAAAGAAAATAGGTCCCAGGATGATAGCTTCCTAGAAGGCTGAAATACAATTTATTTATATTAGAAGAAGATGTCAGTGAGCTCCAGGGAGAGTATCTTCAAGAAGAATAAAGTGCAGTCTTTCCAATATAGAGAACGAATAAAAAGGTAGTGACAATGATAAGTGAAGCATTTACTTCTTCTCCTGAGATAAATAAAAGGCAACTTGCAACTCCAAAGAAAACTAAAAGCTACAAAAATTATCATCACCTATAAAGCAAACTGAAATTTGACATGTTTTGAACCTCTGTGCTAAGAACATTCTTCTTTTAGAGACCCCCTAAAGATTATGACATTTGATCAAAAAGAAGGAAGTGTAATCCTAGACATTACTTGCCTTTGCAGTGAATGATATATTTACATATATTAGAATATATGTGCTGTTTATTGGCTTTCAACTTAAAAATTAACCCATAAACTAGGCATGCATGAAATTAATGATAGTAACAGAGTAGAATGAATATGCATTCATTCTTGACTATGCAAAAACAAAGACATAGCTGACACAAGATGAGAAATGGAAGCTTTAGCTTACCTAGAAAGAAGTCAAAAGAATTATCTAAAACTTGTGGAATATGAAACTGTTTCTCTTTTTCTTTTTCTTTTCTTTTTTTTTTTTTGAGACGGGGTCTCACTCTGTCGCCCAGGCTGGAGTGCAGTGGTGCAATCTCGTCTCACTGCAAGCTCCACCTCCTGGGTTCATGCCATTCTCCTGCCTCAGCCTCCTGAGTAGCTGGGACTACAGGTGCCTGCCACCACGCCCAGCTAATTTTTTGTATTTTTAGTAGAGATGGGGTTTCACTGTGTTAGCCAGGATGGTCTCGATCTCCTGACCTCGTGATCCGCTCGCCTCGGCCTCCCAAAGTGCTGGGATTATAGGCATGAGCCACCGTGCCCGGACAATAAATTGTTTTTCTAATAGCATTTAGTTATAACATACCCAACAGATGATCTAAACACTTTAATATAGATATCAAAATTAAGGAGGTGTTTATCAACAAGTTATATAACTTAGATGAAATGGACAAAGTCTTAGAAAGAAATAAATTATGGTAAGTGACTCAAAGAGAAATAAAAACTTTGAGTAAATATATAACTAGTAAAGATAAATTGAACTAATAATTTAAAAACTTCTTACTCAAAAAAACTCAGGCCCAGATGGCTTCATCACTGAATTCTACCAAACATTCATGAGAATTAATACTAATACTTTACAAAATCTTTTTTAGTTTTTGAGACAGAGTCTCGCTTTGTCACCCAGGCTGGAGTGCAGTGGTGTAACCTTGGCTCACTGCAACCTCCACCTCCCAGGTTCAAGCAATTCTCTTGCCTCAGCCTCCCAAGTAGCTGGGATTACAGACATGTGCCACCATGCCCGGCTAGTTTTTGTGTTTTTAGTAGAGATGGGGTTTCACCATGTTGACAAGGCTGGTCTTGAACTCCTGACCTCAGGTGATCCACCCACTTCAGCCTCCCAAAGTGCTAGGATTACAGGCATGAGCCACAGTGCCTGGCCTACAAAATCTTTAAAAAAAAATAAAAGCACAGGGAATACTTTCCAACTAATTCTGATGTATAGATTATTAGCATTATTCTGATACTGAAAACAGACAAGGACATTGCAAAGAAAGAAAACAACAGGTCAATATACCTTGTGAATATACATGTAAATATTCTCAACAAAATGTTAGCAAATTGAGTCCAGTAATACATAAAAAGAATTATACACTAGTACACCAGGACTGACTGAGATCCTAGGAATGCAAGGTTGGTTTAACTTCTAAAAATCAATAATATAATATACAATATTAATAGAATAAAGAAACAACTATCTTATTACTACAATATATGCAGAAAAAGCATTTGACAAAACCCAACAACTTTTCACAATAAAACAGAACTCAACAAACTAGGAATAAAAGGCAACTTTCTCAATCCAATAAAGGATATCTACAAAAAATCCACTGCTGACATCATACTTAATGATGAAGACTGATTTTTTTCCCCTTAGATCACAAACAAGACAAGGAAGTCTGAACTTGCTATTTCTACCTAACAGTGTACTGGAAATTCTAGCCAGGGTAATTAGGCAAAAAGAAATAAGAACATATGAGGATAGCACTTTGGGAGGTCGAGGCAGGCAGATCACGAAGTCAAGAGATTGAGACCATCCTGCCAACATGGTGAAACCCTGTCCGTACTAAAAAAATACAAAAATTAGCTGGACATGGTGGCGTGTACCTGTAGTTCCAGCTACTCGGGAGGCTGAGGCAGGAGAATTGCTTGAACCTGGGAGGCAGAGGTTGCAGTGAGCTGAGATCGTGCCACTGCACTCCAGCCTGGTGACAGAGCGAGACTCCATCTCAACAAAAAAAAGAACATATAATGATAAAAGAGGAAGAAACATAAATATCTGAATTTGCAGATAACATGGTCTTGTAACTGGAAAATCCTAAGAAATTCACTAGAAGGAATTATTAGAACTAACAAGAAAGTTTCAGCAAGTTTGAAGAAGATCAGTATGTAAAGAGCAACTGAAATTAAGGAAACAATTCCATTTACAACAGAATCTAAAAGAAAAAAGTCTTGGGAATACATTTAATAAAAGAAAAGCAATCACACTAAAAACAACAAAACATAGTTAAAAGAACTTAAAGAAAGCTAAATAAATGGCAAGACAATCCATGTTCACTGATCAGATTTATATTGTTAAGATGGTAATACTCTCTAGATCTTATCTACATATTCAGTGCAGTCCTTACTGAAATTCAAGCTACATTTATTATTTTTTGCAGAAATTTATAAGCCAATTCTAAAATTATATGAAACATAAGATGACAGCAAGAATGAGGGAAACAAACAGAAAACAACAACAAAAAAGAAAATATAAGAGACCCAGAGTAGCAAACACAATCATGAAAAGAACAAAGCTGAAGAACTCATACTTCCTGATTTCAAAACATACTGCAAAGCTACAGTCATTGAGACTGTTATTTGGCATACAGATAGATACATAGATCAATGTGATATAAATAATAGTCCAGAAATAAGCTCTTACAATGATGGTCTATTTTTGACAAGGGTTCTAACATCATTTAACCGGGAAAGAATAGTCTTTTCAACAAATGGAGCAGGGACAATTGGATATCTACGTGTCAAGGGACAAAGTTGGACCCTTTCCTTACATACAGAAACATTAACTCAAAGTGGATTATAGACCTAAATGTAATAACAAAAAGTAAAAATCTTGGAAGAAAACAAGGGAGAGTAAATCTTTGTGACCTTAGGTTGGCAATCGTTTTATAAATATAGTATTAAAATACAAGTGGCCAAAGGAAAACATAGATAAATTGTATTTTAACATAAAAATTTTCTGCTTCAAAGAATACCATTAAAAAAGCAACTAGAAAACCCAAAGAATGAGAAAAAATATTTGGAAATCATATATCTGATAAGAAACTTGTATACAGAATTTATAAGGAACTCTTCTTATAACTCAACGATAAAAGGACAAGTAACCTAATTTTAAAAACTGGAATAGAATAGACATTTCTCCAAATAAGATGGAGAAATGCCCAATAGGTACATAAAAAGGACACTTACCATCATTTGGGAAATGCAAATCCAAACCACAGTGAGCTACCACTGCATACCCACTATGGTGGCTCTAATCAGAAGATGGATAATAAGTGTTGGTGAAGACTCGGGGAAACTGGAATTTGCATATTGCTGTTGGGATAGTGAAATGGTGCATCTGTTTTGGAAAACAGTCTGGCAGTTCCTTAGAGTTAAACATAAAGTCACCATCTGACCCAGCAATTCTACTCCCAGGTATATACTCAAGAGAATTGAAACTTATGTTCACACAAAAACTTGTTACATGAATGTTCATAGAAGCATCATTTATGCAGCTAAAAGATGAAATAGCCCAAGTGTCCATCAACAGATGAATAGAGAGATAAAATGTGGTTCAGCTATACAATGGAATATTACCCATCCATAAGAAAGAATGTAGTTCTGATACATGCTACTACATGTTTGAACCTTGAAAATATTATGCCAAATGAAAGAAGCTCATCACAAGAAAGCATATTGTATATGATTTCATTTCTATGAAATGTCCAGAATAGGCAATTTTTTTTTTTTTGAGATGGAGTCTCACTCTGTCACCCAGGCTGGAGTGCAGTGGTGTGATCTTGGCTCACTGCAACCTCCGCCTCCCGGGTTCATGCCATTCTCCTGCCTCAGCCTCCCCAGTAGCTGGGACTACAGGCACCCGCCACCATGCCCAGCTAATTTTTTGTATTTTTAGTAGAGACAGGGTTTCACCGTGTTAGCCAGGATGGTCTCGATCTCCTGACCTCATGATCCACCTGCCTCTCCTCCCAAAGTGCTGGGATTACAGGCGTGAGCCACCACGCCCAGCCGAGAATAGGCAAATATTTAGAGACAGAAAGTAAATGATGGCTGACTAGGCCTGGGAAGGTGGTGAGATGCCATGGAAAGTAATGGCTAGTGGATGTAGGGTTTCAAAACAAGAGTTTTGAAAATTAGCATATGGTGATGGTCACATAGCCTTATGAATATCCTAAAATGCTTTGAATTGCACACTTTAAATGGGTGAATTGTATGGTTTGTGAATTATATCTCAGTGCAGCTGTTGAAAAATTTGGGAGCACGAGGAGAGTCTTGGTGGGCAGCAGCGTGTCTCATCTGTACCTGTGGGATGTTCATTGATTGAGGAGTCTGGATGATGTCATGGAGGGGCAAATGCCACTGAAAGATTTTTATTCCTTACATTTCCTGAGATCAGGGGATGCACCATATGTGCAAAGCCACATGGGGGAGCACCAGGTTGGTCAAGAGGCAGGAAGGAGCAAGGGGAAATCGTAGGCCAGGGTCTTTATTGGGGTTTTCCCTGAGAAACACAAGGCAAGGCAGGGGAGACAGTTCAAGACCGGCTAATTTGAGTAACTCTCGTGGTTTGGGGGCATAGGGACTGTCCTTACTAGTCTGGTACCTGGCCCTGGGTTGATTTAGGCCAGTGGGGATGTTGGCTTGGTGTGTGATTTAGATAAAGGGGATGATTGGGAGTGTGGACTCTGGATGGTTATTTTGCTTACAAAAGGCATATTCCCAGGTGAGCCTTTTGTGATCTCTAAGAACTGGCTAGCTTTGGGAGCAGCAGTCTCTCTCCAATCAGTGAGGCCACAAATGCCAGAGCATCAAGACTATAGTTGACAATAACATATTATATAGTTTCAAGTAGCTAGAAGGTGGATATGGAACGTTCCCAACACAAGGAAATGATTAAATGTTTGAGTTCGTGGATATGCTAATGTATGGAGCATAAGTAATTCCATCTTAGCAAAAGACTCCATCTTACATTTTAAAAGGCATCGTACCAACAGGGACCAGATGTTTGCCTAATCAGTAGAGACTGCATGCAACCAGATAAGGACATAACCAGGCACACTTTCCCACTATCAGTCCTCACCAGAGGACTTCACTGGCTCAGAACAGCCATCTTGACAGACACTGGTCTTGCTGTTAATTGTGATAAACACCCGGCATCCGCGGAAGGCTCTGCCCACATCAAAGACTCTTCCTTGTGGTTCGTTAAAAGACTGCCCAGACCAGGACAGGAGATTCTTTTTGTCCACATTGCTCCCCTTGGACTGTTTCATTAACCCATTTTCCTATCCCCTTTCTCTTGATGTTAGATGTTACTTCGTTTGATGTGGAATGTTTAATCTGTAACATTTGTATTGATTTAGTATACCATTATGTATGGTTTGCAATATCGACTGACTTTTGGAATGGCTTGAGCCTGTGTGCCTACAGCTCTGACTACCGAGTAAATGGGATATACTAAGAAGAATTACCTCCGTAAAGCTTGTGGCTTTTATGATTGGAATAGCATCAGTAAAAGACTGATACTGTAGAAAGACACAAATGTCTGTGGATCTGGTTATGTCTGACTTTGTGCTGCTCATGATACTAATCACCCTGATCTGACTACTATGTATTATGTGAATGGAAACTTCACTATGTGTCTCATTGATATGTGCAATTATTATTTGTCAATTAAAAAATTTGTTTTAGAAGAATATAGAAAAAGAGAGTACAGTCGACCCTTGAACAACACAGGTTTGAATTGTGTGGGTCCACTTACACATGGATTTTTTTCAACCAAACTCAGATGAAAATACAGCAGTATTTGAGAGATGTGAAGCCTGTATATACAAATGGCAGGGCCGGTGATGGGACTGGGATATGCAAGGACTGGAACCAATACCTCCCAGTCCCCACCCCGTGTATGTGGAGGGAAGACTGTATAGTTAATGCATTTGGCCCTGTGATGCTTCAGTGCCAAACAGACACATACAGAATCTAAGACGACACAGACAGAACACAGTGCACGCTAAATCCTTGTTTTTCATATCAGGAATAGACACTTTATCTAAAACTGCTAATACAAAAATGGTGATATAAGGTTATTACTAGGAAATGAGAAGTAATTCTCAAAGGAACTAAATTCAGAAATGGACAAAAGCATAGGGCCTGGGAAGGGGGACTGCGTATCTGGAGGGCTGGTGCTGGGGGCTGTTGCTTTTCATTTTTAATTCTTCTCTATTACTGATTTTATTATGCACATCTTATTCGTTCTTTAGGGCCTAGTTAGCTTTATCTCTCCTCCCCTGAGGCACAAAGCATATGCTGTTAGTTCTTTCATTCCATAATCAATACTAGACTTGAAAACCAGAAATAAAATCCTAAGCCTCCCAGCCATTCTGAATGGACCCCTTCTCTCAGCAAAGGACATTCCAAAGTTAACTTGAAAAACTAGTTCAGGCCATGATGGGAAGGGGGGGTCAGACATGCCTCATTACACCCTCCTTTCTTTTGGAATTACTGATAGGACAGACTCTTTTTTTTTTTTCACTCTTGTTGCCCAGGCTGGAGTGCTATAGTGTGGTCTTGGCTCACTGCAACCTCTGACTCCTGGGTTCAAGCGATTCTCCTGCCTCAGCCTCCTGAGTGGCTGGGATTACAGGCATGCACCACCATGCCCAGCTAATTTTGTATTTTTAGTAGAGATGGGGTTTCTCTGTGTTGGTCAGGCTAGTCTCGAACTCCTGACCTCAGGTAATCCACCTGCCTTGGCCTCCCAAAGTGTTGGGATTACAGGCGTGAGCCACCGTGCCCGGCCAGGACAGACTCTTTAAGTCTGATAAGAAACGCTTACAATCTATTCTCTCTGAAGCCTGCTACCTGGAGGCTTCACTGCATGAAAAAACCTTGGTCTCCACCACCCCTTATCATTTTTGTTTTTTTGGTTTTGAAGTTGGACATGCTGAATATTCTATTTTTGTTTCTTTAACTTTATTTTAAGTTCAGTGGTACATGTGCAGGTTTGTTCCATAGGTAAACATGTGCCATGGTGGTTTGCTGCATAGATCATCCCATCACCTCGGTATTAAGCCCAGCATCCATTAAGCTATTCCTCCTGATGCTCTTCCTCTGCCACCCCCTCAATAGGCCCCAGTGTGTGTTCTTCCCCTCTTTGTGCTCATGTGTTTTCATCACTCAGCTCCCACTTTAAGTGAGAACGTTCGGTGTTTGGTTTTCTGTTCCTGCATTAGTTAGTGGAGGATAATGGCTTCCAACTCCATTCACATCCCTGAAAAGGACATGATCTCATTCCTTTTTATGGCTGCATAGTATTCCATGGTATATATGTATCACATTTTCTTTTTTTTTTTTTTTTTTTGAGACAGAGTCTTGCTCTTGTCACCCAGGCTGGAGTGCAGTAGTGCGGTCTCAGCTCACTGCAACCTCTGCCTCCCAGGTTCCAGCGATTCTCCTGCCTCAGCTTCCCGAGTAGCTGGGATTACAGGTGCCTGCCACCATGCTTAGCTAATTTTTGTGATTTTGGTAGAGATGGGGTTTCACCATGTTGGCCAGGCTGGTCTTGAACTCCTGACCTCAGGTGATTCACCCACCTTGGCCTCCCAAAGTGCTGGGATTACAGGTGTCAGCCACCGTGCCCAGCCGTACCACATTTTCTTTATCCAGTCTATCATTAATGGGAATTGAGGTTGATTCCATGTCTTTACTATTGTGAATAGTGCTGCAGTGAACATATACATGCGGGTATCTTTATAATGTTAATAGAATAATTTCTATTCCTTTGGGTATATAATCAGTAATGGGATAGCTGCATCAAATGGTATTTCTCCCTCTAGGTCTTTGAGGAATCGCCACACTGTGGGGCCCTGTGGAAGGATCATACTAGTATTTCAGAAAGATTGCTCTGGCAAGATAAGGGGATGGGTGAGGCAGAGTGGAGGGGACGAGGCCTCCTCATGAAACTGGGACTGTGAGTTCTGCCTTTTACAGCCCAGAGTGGCTCTTTCTCTCCCTGGTGGGTGATCTTCTGATTTTATTTCAGCAATGACCCTGACTTCTGTATGATTTGCAGTGTTGCATATTTGAAGCTTGAATCCAGAAAAGAGAAATCAATAGACCCCAAGAATGAAAGTGCATGGGGCAAATGCAGCCCTGGCTCCAAGAGGACGCCTTTCTCACCTTGACTTTCTACATCCTTCAGTGGGTCCACCCCTGGAGACAGGATGAAAAACATAGGAGTGGCTGGTCCCGATTCTTCAAATGAGGTTGCAAAATCTAGGGCTCTTCCCACCACGTATTTGCTTCCTAACTTCTCTTCAACAAAATCTCTGCCAGAAAAAAAGCACATATAGATTTATACATATATAGCAGCCACAAAATGGTAACATTTGAGAAATAGAGGCCTATAGAAATGAAAGAACATGCTCAAGGTCATGGGCTAGGTAGTTATAGAGCTAGGACTGGCTCCAAGTCCACTGCTTATTAAGTCAACACACAACCTTGTGCTGCTAGTTGCCGAGCTGCTCACCTGGATCTGGGCTTCCTCTGAAGCCCCATCCAGGCAGGCCATCGCTGACTCCCTCAGGGGAGCCTGGTGGCTTCTCACATCACCCCACCAATCAGGACACTGTTAGCGCCAGTACCTTCAGAAAGCTGGTAAGTTAAATCCTCCATATGCTCTCTCCCTGCTATCTACCAGCCTTGCCCAAGATTTAAGGCCCTACGGTACGCTATTCTCTCTCTTTTTTTTTTTTTTGAGATGGATTCTCGCTCTGTCCCCAGGCTGGACTGCAGTGGCACAATCTCAGCTCACTACAACCTCTGCCTCCCGGGTTCAAGTGATTCCCCTGCCTCAGCCTCCCGAGTAGCTGGGACTACAGGCGCCTGCCACCACGCCCAGCTAATTTTTTTTATATTTTAGCAGAGATGGGGTTTCACCATGTTGGCCAGGATGGTCTCGATCTCCTGACCTTGTGATCCACCCGCCTCAGCCTCCCAAAGTGTTGGGATTACAGGTGTGAGCCACCGCGCCCAGCCTATTCTCTCATGTTTTATTTTTCTCTCTCTTCTTTCATCTCACTCCACTTACCAGTGTTCCTGTCCAAAGTGTCACATTTTATGCTGAACAAATCTTCATAGCTATAACCACTTATTGAACATCTGACCCAGCTCCTGGTCTTAACAGAGACTTGCACTCTCCCCCAGGAACACTATTTTCCCTGTAGCCTTCTCGACTGGGCTCATTCTCCTACGCCTGCCTTAGGATTGGCAAGCGGAATCAGGGTCCAGCTCACTGCCCACTACTGTTTTCAAGCCATTCCTTCCCCATTCTTTTTTTTTTTTTTTTTTTTTTTTTTTGAGATGGAGTCTCACTCTGTCGCCCAGGCTGGAGTGCAGTGGTGCGATCTCGGCTCACTGCAACATCCGCCTCCACCAGGTTCAAGTGGTTCTCCTGCCTCAGCCTCCTGAGTAGCTGGGACTACAGGCGAGTGCCACTATGCCTAGCTAATTTTTGTATTATTAGTAGAGACGGGGTTTCACCATGTTGGCCAGGCTGGTCTCGAACTCCTGACCTCGTGATCCTCCTGCCTCGGCCTGACAAAGTGCTGGGATTATAGGCATGAGCCACTGTGCCTGGCCCCCTCCCCACTCTTGTGGCTCCTCAGAGGCTCATTTCCCCTGGCTGTGTCACCACTGCCCCTGCACATCAATGTCATCTGTTCCCCTTCAGTCACTCTCCTCTTTCACTGTCTTTTTCTCTTTCAGCCTGGGTGACATCAACATCCATGTGGACAATCCTGTAGATTCTTAGTGACCTCAGCTCAAGAGATCTCTGTTTTTCTCCCCCTTTAGCAACCTAATTCTATAGCCACATGCTCATCGTTGTCATTACTTGGAAACTTCTTAAATGTTAGGACACACAAATGGGAACATCTCACTCTTTGACCCAAGCCTTTTATCCTTAGCAATCTAACCTGACTTCACCTATTCTTTGCCTGTACTGGGGCCACTACGAATGGAGGAATTTCAGTATCTTGGTCTCCCTGGTATTTTTCCTTCCTTCCTTCTTTCTTTTTTAAAATGGAGTCTCCCTCTGTTGCCCAGGCTAGAGTGCGGTGGTGCAATCTTGGCTCACTGCAACCTCTGCTTCCCAGGTTCAAGCCATTCTCCTGTCTCAGCCTCCTAAGTAGCTGGGACTACAGGAATGCGCCACCACGCCCAGCTAATTTTTCTGTATTTTTAGTAGGACAGGGTTTCACCATGTTGGCCAGGCTGGTCTCAAACTCCTGACCTTAAGCGATCCGCCGCCTCAGCCTCCCAAAGTGCTGGGATTACAGGCGTGAGCCACCGCGCCCGGGCCCTCCCTGGTATTTTTCTATCATGCCCTTACTCTAATCACTCCTTTCCTATCCAGTATAGACTCCACGGCCTACAACTTCTTTTTTCTTTTAAAAATAACTTTATTGAGGTGTAATTGACATACCATAGGATTTTCCCATTTTAAGTGTACTATTCAATAACTTAATACATTTACCAAGTTGTACAGTCTTTACCATAACCCCGTTTTAGAACATTTATATCACACCAGTGAGATTCTTTATGGCTATGGCTATTTAATTTCCTTTTTTTTTTTTATTTTTTACTTCTTTTGAGATGAAGTCTCACTCTGTCGCCCAGGCTGGAGTGTAGTGACGCAATCTCGGGTCACTGCAACCTCTGCCTCCCGGGTTCAAGCAATTCCCTGCCTCAGCCTCCAGAGTAGCTGGGATTACAGGTGCCTGTCACCATGCCAGGCTAAGTTTTGTATTTTCAGTAGAGACGGGGTTTCACCATCTTGGCCAGGCTGGTCTTGAACTCCTGACCTTGTGATCCACCTGCCTCGGCCTCCCGAAGTGCTGGGATTACAGGCGTGAGCCACCGCGCCTGGCCTGTTTAGTTAATTTCTATTCCCACCCTCTAGCTCCAGGAAACTACTATATACACATGGCTTTGGAGCTCAGCCCTGCTGGTCCAGTTGTCCTGAGGTTGCCCTTGCCCCATGCCTATGCTGGGCCTTCCACCACCCTGTTTCCTACCGCAAAGCATAGGTCATCCGGTCGGGCCGCATGGCTCTCAGCATGCAGAGGCGCTGCAGGGCTGTCTTGTTCTTCCACTCCTGTGGGAGCTTCTCTTTCTCAGGACATTCGGACTCCACAAACTTTTTCCAGCTCTTAGCAGATCCCTCTATGTCCCGATCCAGATTAGAGAATTCTTCCATTGATGAAAGTACCTGGGAAATTTCAGAGAATCTGAAATGCAGTTTCTCCAGAAAGCTGTCATTTGCATTGTGTTGGGGGATTGAGGGGCCAGATGGTCTTATCTACACAATTCTGTCTCATTTATACTCTTGTCTAGAGCTTTGGATCATCCCCCAGGAAAAATCAAGAAAGAGGAAGAATTTTGAGCAGCTTAGCAAAGTGCCCCAATAACATGCAAGATTTAGCGCATAAAATGTTTGGGATATTATTAGCAGCAGAGACTGAGCCACACCTGCCTGTAGGTGTGTACATGGAAAAGAGGGGCAAGAAGGGGCATTATGGTTATTCTGGTCTTGAAGCTTGGACACCTAAAGTTAGTGACTTCTCCCTTTCCTCCTCAAACTCACTCTGCCACCAAACCCTGTCAGTTCACCTCTCAAAATGTTTCTAGAATTATTCATGTACTCTGTGTTAACGCCAACTCTTAAAATGCCCATGGGTTGTCTATTTCTATGAGGATTCAGTCCAAATGTATAACTTGGTAGCCAGATCTCTTCATCTGGTGCCTCTCTTCAATCTGTCCAGTAAGTCATGTGTCCTCCTACTCTGTCCCACTCTGAGCATATCTGCTCCCAACCTTGGAAATGTGCCTGACTCATTCCCAACTCATTTCCTTGTTCATACTACTTCCACCATCTGTAAAGTCCTGTTTTCTTTTCTGCCACATTCCACTTCTTCCTTTTCTTGTGCTGGTCACGATTGTTATATGTTAAGGCTCTACAGGTTGTGAAAGACCAGTTCAAAACCTGCAACCTCCCTTGGGCCATCCTTCCTAATGTAGAACATGTAGACCTCCCATCCTTTTGTAAACCACTTAGAGCAAGCTTGTCCAACCCATGGCCCTTGGGCTGCATGCGGCCTAGGACGGCTTTGAAGGTGGCCCAATACAAATTCATAAACTTTCATGAAACATTATGAGTTTTTTTGTGACAGATATATATTTTAGCTCATCAACTATCATTAGTGTTAGCGTGTTTTTTGTTTTGTTTTGTTTTGAGACGGAGTGTCGCTCTGTTGCCCAGGCTGGAGCGCAGTGGCATGATCTTGGCTCACTGCAACCTCCACCTCCTGGATTCAAGCAATTCTCCTGTCTCAGCCTCCCGAGTAGCTGGGACTACAGGTGCAGACCACCACGCCTGGCTAATTTTTGTATTTTTAGTAGAGACGGGGTTTCACCATATTGGTCGGGCTGGTCTTGAACTCCTGACCTCAGGCGATCCACCCGCCTCGACCTCCCAAAGAGTTGGGATTACGGGTGTGAGCCACCACACCCGGCCCCAGTGTTAGTGTGTTTTATGTGTGGTCCAAGACAATTCTTCTTCTTCCAGTGTGGCCCGGGGAAGCCAAAGATTGAACACCCCTGACTTAGAGATACTTGCAGAGTTGACATCTTTAATAAAGAGCTTGACTTCGTTTTTAGATGTTTGACTGCTGATAGCTTTTAAACCTCATCCTTTCCTCTTCCCCTTCTGCCCTGGGCACTCTCTCTTTTGGTGCTGGAGGGAAGTTGTACCAGGCAAGCCCCTGCCCATGCACAGACACCCTCACCCTGGCCCCACCCCCTAAGCATCATAATACCCAAAGCAGTCTCCTTTTCTGGCACTCTCAAGCCATTTGCAGCCTGCTTGGGAGCTCCTTTGCTCTTCCTAGAAAACCATGTTATCTGAGTAATAAACTTTCTCATACCCTCTTAGTATGTATGTAGCATCATCAGTCTTGATGTTGGAACTGTATTTTGGGTGTGTGTGTAGGAGGTCTGTTCTATTTCTTTAGAGTGCCCACATCAACATCACTCACTTAGATACTTAATTACCTGCAGTCCTGCCTTCATTACTCAACTCTGCCTGAATGCCTGGTTTCCCCAATGACATGAAAAGCTAGACGAGACTGCGTGTCTAAAGCACCTACCACAGTGCCATGAGTTTTTAGGCACCCAATATAATCTTTTTATTTGAACTCATTCATTCATTCGTTCATTCTTTTGACATTTATTCAATTCCTACTACCTGCCAGATACTGGGGAAGAAAATAATAAAAAACAACAACAACAAAAAACACAAGCCTTTCAGGAGCCTGCAGTCCTAGCTTAGGGAAAAAGAAGATGAGGGAGGCCTTGGTAGGTATGTAGAATTCTGCTGGGCAGAGATGGAGGTAGAGTGAAGGAAAGGGAATTTTTTTTTTTTTTTTGGCAGGGGAAGGATCAAGAAGAGCTAAAGCCTGGAGGAGGGAGAGTGTGGGGCCTGACAGGAAGCAGCGTGATTGCTGCAGAGGAGTCTTTTGCCTTACCACCGACAGGAACAGCTGGAGAAGGACAGAGGCATGTGACCGGGGCTTGCAGAGGCTTTTGTCCCGTGGAAATGAACACATGTCCTGGCTTTACATATTCCTTCACATGGGCTCTGTGGCTTCCCAGTTTCACCCTGATCACTTACAGCAGGGAATCATCCTTCAATGGTGCAGATAAGTCGTGTGGAGTGGTGTGTGGAGTGGAGCAGGAGGCACCGGGGGACTGGAGTTCTGGCCCCAGCACCACCACTTTTGAGCCAGTGGACTTGGAGCCTGTTTTAAAACCCTTGTGAGTTTTTTTTTTCATTTGGAAAATGAGGCCAAGTCATGTGGTCTGCCATATCTCATACTGTTATGTAGATACAAATGCTTTGAAGGCTACAAAGCTCTCCCTTTTCCTTCCTGGGGGGCTCCTATGGCTATTGAATTGCAACTTCTGGTTTACTTGCCTGTTACTCCCACAAGACTGTGAGCTCCCTGCGGGCAAGAACTTTTGTAGGCCTCTTTGTACGCCTTAGACCTAGCAGGGTGCCTGGCACTTAGGAAATGCTCAGTTAATAAGATTTGACATCTGCCTGGCCAGCAGGAGGGCTCTTGACAGGCTGAGAAAGCTGCAGCTGCTGTAATTATTTCTCTCTGTGCCGAGGAGCTGACTTTCATCTTCTTTCAGGCAGCCACTCACCCCCTCTTCCCAGTTTGCATCATTATTAACCCTTCTGCAGTCCTGCAACCCCCTCTGGCGTCTCCACAAAACTGAGCAAATTACACTGTGATCAGTGCTCCCAGCTGCCAGGGCTGGATCTGAAACACACTTTCTTGAAGCTCTAGATTGAATACAATTGCAACATTTAATCTTCCAAATGAGGCAAAGGGATTTCTAGCCTTCTAATAAGCTAAATGGAAATGACTAATTAACCTAATTACTTTGGACTGTGTAGCAAAATACAACCGAGCTAAATTGGCAACCAGACTGGTAGTAAGGGGCCTTTTCAAAGGCTAACAAAGGCCTTCATCGCAGATGAGATTTTCTAATGAGCAACAGAACATGCCCATTACCTGAAAGTTCTACATTTGATGGGACCTAAAAAACCCTTACAAAGGATATTAATAAAAGCAGTATTTTATCACAAAGATTTCATTCATTACCTGCTTATTAGTTCTTCTGGGGAAACAAAGCAATCAGTCTTCATCACGAGATACAATGCTTAAATTTTTTTTTTTAAAAAATCATGTCCTATTCAATTATACTTATTTTGTTTCTTTAGGCTAAAATCCAACCAAACACTTAAAAAGAGCATTCATCAAAGGCTTTGGCAACGAGTACTACATAATGCATTGTGTTTCACCTGCTCATATCCTGTGCTGTGCTTGAGTTTGATGGTTCTGGACTTTGCTGCTCTTCCTAACAAATTCACATAGAGAGATAAAGCTTCCCTAGTTGGCAAAAGCCTTTGAACAGCCAGATGAGCTTAGCCCACAAAACAAAACAAAAAAGCAAAGTGAAGCAAGGCAAAGCGAACCAAACAATCCATTTCGTGAAAAGAGGAATGAAACTAAATTGTACGTAGCTTTTGGGTTGAGCTTTGTAAAATGAAAGTACTGAAGAGTGCTTGTGAATCATTTATTCCTTATGACTTTTGCAGCAGAGGGCTTTGTGGGGTAATACGAACAGAGGCAACTGGACTTGGTCCAAACTGCACAACTCACAGTTCCTGAAAGTTTTTCCTTCTTTGGACAAATTCTATGCAGTACAATCCATATCGACTATAGCATGTGGACACCAGATAGCTGGGTGATTAGTCATCATAATTGTTATGGGGTGAATTGTGTCTCCCCAAAATATATATTGAAGAAATAACCTCCTGGACTTGTGAATGTGACCTTATTTGGAAATAGGGTCTTTGTAGATGTAATCAAGTCACAAAGAAGTCACTAGTGTGGACCCTAATCTATTATGACTGGTGGCCTTATAAGAAACGGAAAGGGCCAGGCGCGGCGGCTCACGCCTGTAATCCCAGCACTTTGGGAGGCCGAGGCAGGCAGATCATGAGGTCAAGAGATTGAGACCATCCTGGCCAACATGGTGAAACTATCTCTACTAAAAATACAAAAATTTTCTGGGTGTGGTGGCGCACGCCGGTAATCCCAGCTACTTGGGAGGCTGAGTCAGGAGAATCGCTTGAACCCGGGAGGCAGAGGTTGCAGTGAGCCGAGATTTCGCCACTGCACTCCAGCCTGGCGACACAGCGAGACTCCGCCTCAAAAAAAAAAAGAAAAGGAAAAGAAAGAAGTGGAAAGGCAGAGACTCGCAGAGGGACACAGAAGACAGCCAGACAGCCATGTGAAGATGTGAAGATGGAGACAGACCCTGGAGTTATGCTGCCACAAAGCAAAAGACACCAGGGGCTATCAAAAGCTGGAGGCGGCAAGGAAGCATCCTTCCCTAGAGCCTCTGGAGGGAGCACGGCCCTGCTGACACCTTAATTTCAGCTTTCAGCCTCCACGACTGTGAGAAAACAGATTTCTGTTGTTTTAAGCCACTCCATTGTAGTACTTTCTTAGAACAGCTCTAGGAAACAAATACAGCAACCATAACCAATCAGCTTCCATTGGTTTAGCATTTACTCCGTGTCTTACACAGCCTTCTAAGAAAGGTATTACGACGACCATTTTGCAGATGAGGAAACCAAGGCTCAGAGGAATAAGACAACATGTCAGAGGCCACACACACAAACTTGAAGTTGAATCCAGGGATGTCTGACTCCAGAGCCTGTGTTAATTAGTCCATCTCCATCATTGCTCCAGTTCTGCAAAGGGGTTCATTCAGAACCGCTTTACAGAACAAACTTATTTTCCGTAAAAGCATCAGACTACAAGAAATTATTGTCTAGCTCTGGACCATACTGTCCTATGAGGTGGCCACTGGCCATGAGTGACTCCCAAGTACTTGAAATGTGGTTGGTGGGACTGAGAGACTGAATTTTTAATTGCATTTAATTTTAATGGTCTTCAAATTCAAGTGTAGAAAATAGGACTTGTTTTATTAATTGGAAAACTTCTAAAGATTGTTGGAACAACTTGGGTATATGAATCAATCAATTTTATGGAATCTCAATACAAATATTTTTGATGAAAATTTGGCATCTGAATTGAGATGAGCTATAAGTTTAAAAAATATTCACCAGATTTCAAAGGCTTAGTATAAAAGTACACAATATCTTAGTAATAATTTTATAACAACTGCATATTGAGATAATATTTTGGCTGTATTGGCTTAAAGAAAATATCTTGCTAAAATTAATTTTATCCATTTTTTTGAAACGGAGTTTTACTCTTGCCATCCAGGCTGGAGCGCAAAGTGATCTCAGCTGTCTTCAACCTCCACCTCCCAGGTTCAACCCATTCTCCAGCCTCAGCCTCCCAAGGAGCTGGGATTACAGGTGTGTGCCACCACACCCGGCTAATTTTGTACTTTTAGTTGAGACGGGGTTTCACCATGTTGGCCAGGCTGGTCTTGAACTCCTGACCTCAGGTGATCCGCCCACCTTGGCCTCCCAAAGTGCTGGAATTACAGACGTGAGCCACCGTGCCCAGTCAATTTTATCCATTTTTAAAACATTTTTTAATGCAGCTATAGAAAATTTAAAATTACTTAAGTGGTTTGCATTATATTTCTTTTGGACGGTGCTACTTTAAAGTGTGTCTATTCATTTGTATCTTATGTAGCCCAGGAAAATGGATGGTTTCCACTTCTCTGCATTTATTTAATCATTCTTAGGCATTTTGTAACTTTGTAATTTGGGTTTCTGTTGTGAATGGAGTACCCCCTTATTTCTTCCCCAGTATATTATTTCCCTTCTCATTCACCAGATTGGGCCCAGAATGACAAATAAAATTAAATAAAAATCAAATTACAACTTTATTATTTGGATCAGAGATTGGCAAACTACAGCTTGCAGGCCCAATCTGGCCCACCATCTGTTTTTGTCAATAAAGTTTTATTGGAACTCAGCCGTGTCCATTCACTTATACTGTGACTGGCTTTGGCAGAGTTGAGTAGTTGCTACAGAGTCTGGCCTACAAAGTCTAAGTGGCCCTCATAATTGTTATGGAGTGAACTGTGTCCCTCCAAAGTAAAATATATACTGAAGAACTAATCTCCTGGACTTGTGAATGTGATCTTATTTGGAAATAGGGTCTTTGTAGATGTAATCAAGTTAAGATGGAGTTACTAGTATGGGCCCTAACCAATATAACTGGTGCTCTTATAAGAAGCAGAGAGACAGGACTCACAAAGGGAAGACAGCCATGTGAAGATGGGAAGATGGTGATATTTACTAAGTGGCCCTTTGCAGAAAAAGTGGGACAACTCTTGATTTAGATACAGTCCTAAAGTTGGTTAAAGCAATACAGGCTCTGAAAAAGAAGTTAGAAAACTATCTTTGAGAAATGGTAGCATTAATGGAATGAGCCTAGAATTTCCTGAGATGACTCCTTTGAAGGGGACGGCAAGTATATAAATAATTAAGTTCTAGGTTTTAGTTATAAAGTAAAACTACTTGGACGGATATCGAGGGAATCATGCTAAATGAGCACACCAATCCCACATGGTTATATACTGTATAATTCCATTTATGTAACATCCTTGAGATGACAGCAAATTATACAAATGGAGAATGGATTCGTAGTTGGTAGGTATTGGGAACTGGGTAAGGGAAGATGTTGTTGTGGTTATAGAAGGCCAACATGAGAAGTCCTTGTAATGGTGGAACTTTCTGGATTGTATCAATGACAATTTCCCAGATGTGTTATTGTACTATAGTATTGCAAGATGTTACCATTGTGGAAAACTGGGTACAAGGGATATCTCTGTATTATTTCTTAAAACTGCATATGAATTGTTGTCTCAAAATAAACCATTTTAATAAAAAAATAAGGAGAAAGAAAGCCAATCATATTACTTTACTCTTATACTTCTTTGTGCTACTAAACATCTGTAAAATGCAATAAACATGGGAGATCATAAACAAGATTCATCTTATGTAGATGCTATTCCTCACATGGCGCTGAAACCCGTCATGGGTGTTCACTCAACTGCCTGCATGGAGTGCAGGCCTGGACTCTGGAGCAAGCTGGTGTTGCCTCACCCAGCATTCCCTGCCAGGCATTGTGTCAGGATCTGTGAATTGCAGGCATAGTACCTACTGAAAGAACCTTATAGTTTGTGATCTTTTCAACACTCATAGAATCCCAGCTAAACTAAGCTGCATGATGTGGAATGAAAATAGGCTCTGCCATCAGACAGACCAAAAATTGTGTTCTGGGCTTCTGGTAAGCGTGGGACCTGTTTCCTCCTATGTTAAATGGGAACAAATAATACCTATTGCCCAGGTGGACAGAGAATTAAATAAGGTAATGCATTTCCAAGGCACTCAATAGATAAGAGCTGTTATTAACTGCTGAGCATCCCAGGCTGAAATGCACTCCTGCTTTGAGTCTGAGTTAGGATTCAGATGCCTGAATACAGCACTGGCACCTGCTGTTTTATGGAAATGCTGTGGCAGCCTCTCCACATCAACCCCAGGGACTCACTGAGGAGGCCATGTCCCAGCCTTAAGCCCTGGTAGGTGAAAAGCAGCTCAGGTGACTTAGGGGAGCTCACAGGAACTTTCTGTTTCCTCACACCCTGGAGGCAGAGCCCTCATACACCAGCATGCACCTGCTTCTTCTCTGCAGGCCCAGGAAAGATGAGCTCACTGTGGGGACGCAAGGAAAGGGATGCGCCTATGTTTAACACAGCTCCATGCTTGAACTCCAACAGAGAGCCCTGCTGACTTCATGGGGACCAGTGTCAGAGGTAAATTCTGAGAGATGAGAGCTTGGCTTTTTTCTAGGGGTCAATACTGACCTTGACAGCTCCCCACGCCTGATGGGAGAGGAACTCCACGGGGCTGGCGGTGCCCGTCTGCACTGGAGATCGAAGCAGGAAATCCAACTCCACTGCATTGACTTCTCGGTTCATGAGGAGAATCTGCAATGTGGAGAAATGATACTGCATTTCTTTAGCTTGTAGCCAGAGTCCTAGAAATCTTAGGGGTTGTCACTCAGTATAATTATTACTGCCTCTAATACTAGTTTGCCCATCAATTTTGGTTGTTTAATGAGGGTAGAGTGGAAGGAAGTGTATATTCACACACGTTACTACTGTGTCCCTCTATTTTCACCCCAAATATGAGAGTGACTGAACTGCACACAGCGAGTGACTATATCTTGGTTAATAAGCATTTATTACATATCAATCATAAATGCCATGGAGTATGTTTCTGCAATCTAATTGAGCAGATGACACATACAAATGACATGATCTGAGGAGAATGTCAAAATGACGTATGGATATACGGCAGCTAGAAATGCAGATAGGAAGCCATAATGCTAAAGGAGTTACAGAGTAGAGAAGTTACCAGCAAGTGAGGGGCAAGAAGAAACTAATTTGACTAAACTTTCTATAAGTAGTTTATTTTCTTTTCTTTTACTTTAAGTTCTGGGATACATGTGCAGAACGTGCAGGTTTGTTACATAGATGTACATGGGCCATGGTGGTTTGCTGCACCTGTCAACCTGTCATCTAGGTTTGAAGCCCTGCATGCCTTAGGTATTTGTCCTAATGCTCTCCCTCCCCTTTCCCCTCCACCCCCTGACAGGCCCCAGTGTGTGACATTCCCTGTGTCCATGTGTTCTCATTGTTCAACTCCCACTTATGAGTGAGAATATGTGGTGTTTGGTTTTCTGTTCCTGTGTTAGTTTGCTGAGAATGATGGTTTCCAGCTTCATCTATGTCCCTGCAAAGGACATGAACTTGTTCTTTTTTATGGCTGCATAGTATTCCATGGTGAATATGTGCCACTTTTTCTTTATCCAGTCTACCATTGATGGGCATGTGGGTTGGTTCCAAGTCTTTCAAGTCTTTGCTATTGTAAATAGTGCTGCAATAAACATACGTGTGTATGTGTCTTTCCTATAAGTAGTTTTGGATTGCGTCTTGGAGAAGCTAAGAGATGGGGATATTTTCACAGAAGGGACGACGTTCCATGGAGTAGGAAATGGAAAAAGCAGAGGCTTGATAGGGGAATTAGTGAGCTGTGTACAGGGGAGAGAAAAGCCTTTGGCTTAGTTTGAGCTCATGATTCACACTGAGAGGTGGGGCCCACATTTTTTTTTTTTTTTTTGCAAAGGCCAAGCTGTCATCTGGGCTGGAGTGGGGAATATAGGGGGTGAGAGGGGTGAGGCAAAGCAACACTCACCCATGAACTCAGGCAGGCCCTGAAAGGTGAAAACAGAGTCAGCACACAAGTGATGATGGGATATCTGACTTTTGGAATTGGAAAGGGCCTTCAACCGTGGGCCAGTGGTGCAATGGATAACGTGTCTGACTACGGATCAGAAGATTCAAGGAAAGGGCCTTCGAGATAATTAGTCTGTGCTCCCAATTTACATATTGGAAAAAATCCCAATTCTAAATGATTACAGGGACATGTAAAAGGAAGTAAATTAGGCCAGATGCAATGGCTCATGCCTGTAATCCCAGCACTTTGGTAGGCCGAGGCGGGTGGATCACCTGAGGTCAGGAGTTTGAGACGAGCCTGGCCAATATGGTGAAACCCCATCTCTACTTAAAATACAAAAAAAATTCGCTGGGCCTGGTGGCGCACACCTGTAATCCCAGCTACACGGGAGCCTGAGGCAGGAGAATCACTTGAACTGGGGAGGTGGAGATTGCAGTGAGCCAGGATCACACCACTGCATTCCAGCCTGGACAACAGAGTGAGACTCCATCTCAAAATAAAAAAAAGGAAGTAAATTTTCATGGTTTTTTGATGTTGAGAATAACTAGAAGACAAAGGTTTCTTCTTAAAGATGCAGCAACATCGGAAATCCCTGCTTCCCAAACCCTTGAGAACCAACGTTATTGAAAACTTTCTAAGGTCAAGGCTGCTACAGTTGTGGAAAGACCTGTGCAATTTCTTATCCCGGGGGATGGCTGCATCAGTAAACTTGCAGTCTAAAGGTAAATAAACAATGATGGATACTCTACCAAATTTCTTACAGCATTTCAAAAAGCGTCTGGTTATTGGTATGGTTTCATCTAGTTTCATCTTCAGTGCCAGTTTTGATTGATTGGTAGTGGCTGCTGGAGTGCTGTGCTGAGGAAGATCTTAGATCTTCCAGGATCAGCAAGAAAAAGTACAATGATGGATTAAGTATGTCTGCCATAAGTGGGAAATGGTGGGGGCAGATGCACACACCACATTGGACCTTCTTGTCTGATGCCTCTATCCAAAGACAGATAGTCTGGACATGCTGTGGAAAGTGATGTTCAAAGAAGAAAGTTTCTTAACACCTGCTGTCTGGGCACTAAAAATAACCTGTTTTCTGGAAACTTCTTCAATCCACTTTTACCTGAAAGGTGAGCTGGGCAAGGTAGGTCAGCTTATCACACTCAAAGAGCCCGCGGATGGTGTACTGGTACACAGAGAAGGTTATGCTGTCTATTAGGTTGGCCACCCGCTCCCTGAGGCTTTCGTCAGGAGCAGCCCTCTCCACAGCCTTCTGGAAGACGATACTGAAGGCCTGGGGACAGAAGACAGGAAACTGGTAAGGTACACAGCCCTCTTACTATACACTAGTGGTCTTACCTGCGAAGAATGTGATAGTTTTCCAGCCCATAGAAATTTTTTCCCAAGGCCAGGCACGGTGGCTCATGCCTGTGATCACAGTGCTTTGGGAGGCCAAGGTGGGCAGATCACCTAAGGTCGGGAGTTTGAGACCAGCCTGGCCAACATGGTGAAACGCTGTTTCTACTAAAAGCACAAAAATTAGCAGGTGTAGTGGTGCATGCCTATAATTCCAGCTACTTGGGAGGCTGAGGTGGGAGAATCGTTTGAACCTGGGAGGCAGAGTTTGCAGTGAGCCGAGATGGTGCCACTGCATTCCAGGCTGGGCGACAGAGTGGTTCTGTCTCAAAAAGAAAAACAAACAAACAAAAAAAACCAAAGAAATGTTTTCCCAAAATATCCTGCCAAGGACAATAGTAACGAGAAAACATGCTATTATCTTTTGTTAGTTTGCTCATGTGAATTATTACATAGCTATAAGCATATATACCTCTGCAGTGATAAGACGAGTCCTTGCAAGCAGCCTCCTTTCTCATGGACCCTTCCTGCAATGCAGGGAGCGTAGCCTGCTTTGGTTACATCTTCTGAACTACACATTATGTGTATAAACTCATATAAAAATCATGTGAATCAGTTTTCCATTGTTTTAAACTTAGATATTGACTATTTAAAAAAGTAAATATTTGGAATGTTACATTTTAAATGTGATATGAATAGAACAAACAATTAAAGAAAATAAAAACCAAGGCCAGGTGCAGTGGTTCATTCCTGTAATCTCAGCACTTTGGGAGGTAGAGCTGAGAGGATCACTTGAGGCCAGGAGTTCAAAACGAGCCTGGGCAAGATAGCGAGACCGTGTCTCTACAAAAAATTAAATTGTCCGGGCATGGTGACACACACCTGTAGTTCTAGCTACTTGGGAAGCTGAAGCGGGAGTTTGAGGCTGCAATGAACTATGCTGGTGCCACTGCACTCCAGCCTGGGCAACAGAGTGAGACCCTGTCTCAAAATAACCTAAGAAACAAAACAAAACAACACAAAACAACAACAACAAAAACAACAAAAAACAGAACAAAAGAAAATACAAGCCAAGATATAATTGGAACTTTTCAATTTTGGGTTATGCAGATTTCCAGCCTTTTCTCTATTTTCCTTTTGTGGCTTCAATAAGAAAAAAAATCTTAAGTCTTTCTAACACCACCAAGTATTTGAACTTTAATGGAAACCAGATAAGATTTGAGTCTCAATATCTCTTCATTTGCAAAGTAGGAAAATGTGAATTTCTTTCTCCCTTCCATGGTTCCAGGGTGTTTCTTGTTAACAAAGGCTTTGCAGTCTTTCTTCCTTATTTAGTTTTAATGATCTTTGCAAAATCTTCTGCCCATGTTCAACCCAATCCATTGTAATGGTTACCTTCACTTGATAGATTTTAGATAGGAAGAATAGTTCATTAGAGGCTGATAATGTCCCCCCAGCACCACAGAGAGCAATTTGGGAAGATTCCAGAACAGTTTCATAGAGACAGAGTGGAGAGCTTTCTCCTGGCAGTTACTATGGCTTTTCCCTAAAGCTCTCTCTTTATCAAAATAACAGTAATCAGTGAAGAATCTCTTTGTTATTTAAGTTTAAACAAAGTGATTCACAATTCAGGAAAACATGTAAAAAAAATTAAAAACCTAGGTACATTTAGCGTTTTCTTTATATTAAACTAATTTTGCTCTCTTTTTCTTTTCTGTCCTAAAACAAGAAACAAAACCCAAAAAGCTTCTTCCTCTTACTTCTGGTGTCGGAACAGCTCTGGTGCTGGGCCTGATCCCACTTCCACAGCATCCTCCAGAAGGTCCCTTCTCCTGCCCATGGGGTCTTATCATTGACTCAAACTACCCTCATATATACTCATCGGCTTTTGTAATTTTTTTGTAGGGCCCTTATCCACTGCCTTGTATCTTTGGTATTTTTCATCTTTTTACCAGGTTATGAGCACATATAGTGGGGCCCAGGCCTTACTCACTTTCTTACATTTCCCCAAACCTAGCCCATCTCTTCACATATAGTGAGCACTAAAAAATATTTGTTGGATGGATGACTATGTCCTGCCAATGCCTAAAAGAACCTAGGCAAAGTATGAGCAACGCTCTAGACCAAGGGTATCAAACTCAATGCCTTCAGGGGCCAGGTGTTTAATACCGAATAGGGAGGCATAAGGACTGTGGCAACACTGGAGGCACATGCCAATCTAGGGGGGCAGCATCCCTTGGCTCCAGCAAAATCGTGCCACGTGGGATGTGAGCTCAGTGTTGTCAATCTTCCAAACCTTCATGAGAAGCCATAATTTGGAACTTACATAACTTCTCCTCATTTTTAAATGTTGGCAACCAATTAAAGTACTTGAAAAGCCCTCCAAGGACCAAAGAAAACAGGACAATAGGCCCTTGGGCTTCCGATTTGAGACCAATGCTGTGTTATTTTTGCCTCTGCCTATCTGATGCAAGCTTCTTCTATTTTGAGAAGTGTTATTCCCCCAGCCATGTCTCTCTGCAGAATGCACACAATACAGAAAGCTAGGCCTCCCATCAATCTGCAGGAGAACCCAGTGAGGTGTCTTTCACTCTGAGGCACCCTGTGAATGTGTCTTATTAACCTTTGCCTTGCCTTTGGCTAAATCTTGAAGAAAAATTACTTTACTGCCACTTAAGTTCCATCTTAATCATATTATAAACTTCAAAGTTCAAAACCTGGCTGTTGAAGAGTTTTTGCATGTGTAAACACACACACAAACACATTTTAATATATTCCTGCTCAAAACACTTTTGAAAGCTAGGATGAATGGTTCCTGCCACGTTGGCCTATCTGGGGTTTCCATATTCTGAGAATGCCTCTTCTTTCTCTGCCAGGATGGGGAACTGTTAAATCCAACCCCAGACAAAAGCCAAGACCATGGAAATTACAGTGGCCCATTTTTCTTCAAAACAGAGAAGGCTTCTAAATGCATTGTGGTTTCGATATTTTTGAACACCCTTACTTCAGCTACTTATCATAAAGCAGTTAACCTGCTTTTAAAGATCAGGTTGGTCAATGAACAGCTGTTTTTGCAATTCTTAATATCAGTATGGTGACCCAAACTCCATCTCCCCTACTTTAAAAATGGAGCTTCAGAACCTCCTATATCAGGACACTGTTGCTGCCAAACATCTTACAACATGGTTTTGAACACAGATTGTCATGGGCCTCATTTAATTTCTTGTTTTCAGAGTCACTGTGGTAGGCTTCTGATGGGTACCTATAGTCAATTTCAACTACTCTTGGAACCAGGGGGGTGATCCTGTGGTTATTAGGCTTATCATGCCAATTTTTATGCTGTTTTAAAAGATTTTTATAATTCTTTCCTATGTTGCCTTAAACTAAATATGAGGCCAAGTATTGGGTTTCTTTTAAAAACGTAAAATATGGGACCGGGTGCAGTGGCTCACGCCTGTAATCCCAGCACTTTGGAGGCCGAGGCGGGCGGATCACGAAGTCCGGAGATCGAGACCATCCTGGCTAACACAGTGAAACCCCGTCTCTACTAAAAATACAAAAAAAATTAGCCAGGTGCGGTGGTGGGCACCTGTAGTCCCAGCTACTCGGGAGGCTGAGGCAGGAGAATGGCCTCAACCCGGGAGGCAGAGCTTGCAGTAAGCCGAGATCGCGCCTCTGCACTCCAGCCTGGGCAACAAAGCGAGACTCCCTCTCAAAAAAAAAAAACAAAAAACCATAAAATATTATAAACACAGTTCATCCAATCTGCAGAGACTCTGAGTTAAAATAATAAGATTGGGAAATGATTAAATGCCATCTTCAATCAAATGAGCCCCAGGAACTGGAGGCCTTCTGATTTCTCATCTGCTCATCACCATCCCTGCCATCTTGGTCTTCACATGGTGGTTTAGCTGAAAGCACTCCACAGATTCTGAAGTGTGTGCACTCTGTGTGTGTGTGTGTGTGTGTGTGTGTGTGACTGTGTGTATGTGAAATCTCCATGTGTCTATATACATATGGTCTCTCTCTCCTGTTTCTCTGTGTGTATATGTATGCATGTCCTCTTTGTTGGGTCAAACCAAAGAAATTTAGAAATGCTTCACTACCTCCTAATGCCTCTTCAATTGTGGTCTTTTGGTGAATGCCCTAGGGGGGAAAGATGTACTTTCAGAGATGCACTAAAAATTTATAGGTCTTTATTTTTTCATGAGTAAGATAAGTTTAGTCAGCACTTACAATTTGCTAACATCTTTGGTGGTTTTAGGAATATTTCAACAATCATAAGCAGCAGCTTTGGGGATATTAGGGTCATAAGAAAACTAATTTAAAGTTGGTGTATTATTATTGCCTGCTTTGGACTTTAATCAATACAAGTGACACATTTGATTGTCTATTATATTTTAAGCTCTTTGGGGACAGGGATCACTTCTCAGACTTCTTCGGTATCACCTTCCACACATTCAGTAAGCATAGTACCTACTGTATCATGTGTGCCTACTGAATGAGCCAAGACTTGCTGTGGTGTCCTGTTCTGTTCCAGTCAAAATTACCCGTGAGTCATGTAAGACCCAATTAAAGAGATGAGGATGGTAAGAGATGTCTGAAGGTAACATAGCTCCTCTCCTGGCTTTGATCTTACAGACTTGCCATAGCTAATGATCTTACATGGATAAGCTCTCACAGAGAGCTGCATTGGCAATATTACACTGCTTTATTATAATCAGGCAAGAAACTCCAGGTGTAAGTCACCTTGAGAGAAAACTGGTACATTGGATGGATCTTGCTGAGGTCGTTCATGATGAAGTAGAGCAGTGAGGCCCTGGCAGCTGCTGGCCGGTAGTGCTCTCGGGCCTCGTTGATTTTCACTTCAGTCACCTTGGCCTCCTGGACCTGTTGGAAAAATAAACAGCAGCCCACTGTTCCAACCAACCTGGGCTTCCTGAGAATCAACTTGGCCCCTCTGTGTGAGTAGACATGCGTCTGCTTAGGGGATGGAGTGAAGAGGGATGGGGATGATGGGTAGAAAGTTGAAAAGCTACTATGGTATTCCTTCCTAGAACTTGGATGAGAAAGGAGATGGTAAACTTCTAGTGCTTTCGGAGGGTGAGGTGTCAGCTCTTCCAGTTGGGAAGCGTGAGCCATGAAAGCCTCCACACTCCATCTCTAATGAGAAAGATTTCATGGAAATGCAAAAAAAAAAAAAAAAAAGTATGACTCAAAAATGAACTAGAATGCCAAGCAGTGGAAATCCAGGGAAAGAAACATAGTATAGTCTTCTTTTTTCTTAATTTTTGTGAAATAGTTCATATGTAATTTCACAAAGATATCTTTCAATGGAATATTCTATTTTCAGAAAATTTCTTTTTTGTTTGTTTGTTTGTTTGTTTGTTTGAGACAAAGTCTCGCTCTTGTCCCCAGGCTGGAGTCCAATGGCACGATCTTGGCTCACTGCAACCTCCGCCTCCTGGGTTCAAGCGATTCTCCTGCCTCAGCCTCCCCAGTAGCTGGGATTACAGGCGCCTGCCACCACGCCCGACTAATTTTTGTTATTTTTAGTAGAGAAGGGGTTTCACCATGTTGGCCAGGCTAGTCTCGAACTCCTGACCTCAGGTGATCCACCTGCCTCAGCCTCCCAAAGTGCTGGGATTATAGGCGTGAGCCACCGCGCCCAGCCAGAAAATTGTTTATGACAGGTAAAAATAAGAAAGGAGACCTCAGGATCAGGAAGACAGATTTCTGTTAGACTATGCTTCTAAAAGCAAACCTCAATATGCTCTGCCCTTATGCTCCAAAATAGAGGAAAGTTACTGATAATTTGTGGGAGCACCACAGGAAAAGGCAATGATCCTTATTGAAGATGTTCTCATAATAAACAATTACAAACTGCAGGAGTATTACAAAAGGGAACAATCAGAAGGCCCCTTTCCAAAACAAAACAAAACTAAACTAAAAACACCCAGAAGGATTAGCATCTCATGAACTGAGAATGACTGAACAAACTCACCATTAACAAAGTATGTTTTAGAGCAGTGGACACAAAAGGAAGCATAAAATATGGACATTATGAAAAAGAACAGGCATATCTGGAAAAGAACTAGCTACAACTTCTAAAAATAAGAGTATAGTTATTTAAATTTAAAAAGTGTTCAGTTTAAATAATAGACTGGAGTTGAAAAGAAAATCAGCAAACTAAAAGAGAAATCTCAGGAAATTGTTACAAAAGCAACTCAGAAAGAAACAGAGATGGAAAATATGTGAAAGAGGTTTATGATCTTTGATGCCCATCAGGACGTAGCCCAATTTTCCCAGCATGGTTTACACAGCCCTATACAACGGAAACTCAGGCCACCTTTCATGCCTTATTGCCAGTGACCACTTCCAGCTCCCACCCCCTCTATGTTCCAGTTACACTCAAGGGAAGCACCTCCTCCCTCTCACCCAATGTGGGTTGAGTGTTCCTCCTTTGTGTGTTCACTGATCCCTGTGCTTTCTTGGCCTCAGCCCTCAGCCCTGTTTTGTAACTGCCTGTTTACTTGTCTTTCTTCCTTAGAGGGCCAGGCCCTAAAAGCCTAGGATTATAGCAAATTTCTTGCTGTATCTCCAACTTTCATCATGGATCTTAGAATACAGTGGCCTTCAAGTAAGTGTTCATGAGATGAATAAATGAGAAAGAGAGAGAAGACAAAAAGAAACTGAACAACAAAAGGAAAAAGAAAGCTTCATACAACCCTCGGCACACAGCAGGTACTCAATAAGTGTTCATTGATTTTAAAGAAAAAGATAAAAAAAAAACAGATGAAGAGGTGGGGAGAAGAGATCAGTATGCTGCATCCCATCCTCTGACCTACTCTCTTGATGTAAGTTGGGTCTGTCTCCCCAGCTCTCTTATCCAGGGCAGTGGCAGCTCTACCGTAATTACTTTACAAACTCTCATGCCCCCAACCAGAGATACGGAGGCCATAGGTAACTGATAGTGGAACCTGGTGGTCACATCCCTGCTGTTGACCCAATGTTCGGCTGACTCTTCCTCCTTTCAATCTCATCACTCCAACCTCAACTGTCCCTCACCCCAGAGTGGGTATGACCTGGTTTATCTGTCTTACCCATCATTGCTTTTCATATTTCCTACCTTGTCTCTACCTAGAACGAAGTCTTTCATATTTGGAGAAATCCCAATAATCTGGCAATAAGCATCTTCCGTCAAAGGTATATTGTTCCTGGACACTGTTACAGATATGCTCTGTCCTGCTCAGGGCCAATATCTCCAATGCCCTTCTGATGCAAGCGCGAGACTGAGACTGCAAAAGGCCTTGTTGGAGGTTTGGTGGTATGCTGGAACAGAGCAGGGGTTGGGCCCCTTTCCCATCACACCCCGTCTTCTAGTCCTCACAGGGGGGACCGAGGGCCTTCCAAACATTATAAAATAAAGGAAGCTACACACAGTAGGGCACTGTGTCATCACTTCCCAGGATGATACAGTTTTTGAGAGCTGAGTTTCCTAGGAAGTTATTGAGGTTTTCTCATTAAGATCAGACTTGTGAGATTCTGCGGTCCGGTGGGTTTTGTCAGGATGCAATCATGCCCAAACCAGTTGGCTTTTCCAGCAGTGCGATTCCTTAGCTTCAGGGCAATTCCACACACTATCTGAGGTATCCATTTTGAGCTACCATTCCCTGCACAGAATACCAGGCCCCACAAAGGCTTAAGTGTTCCTCAACTGTGGATGGAGTTAAGACATCAAAAGTATTTTCCAGAAGGTGGGAACTACATAATACAAGATATATGGGGTAGTCACTTCAGGAGTCCTGCCTAGGTAGACTTTCTAGAAGAACCTTGCTAAGACAGAAAAGCCATGTGTTACTTTGACATTTTTCTAAAAGTCAGACTCATTGTCTAAGAGGAGAGAAAATTGTAGGAGGACCCCAGCCTAGGCTGCCTTCCCAGACTAGCCAGAGGAGTTTTACCTTTTTCTCAACTTCGGCAGCAGTCTGCTTGGTGATCTCTAGGTTTTCCACCAGCACTGTTTCTCCCAGGAAGTTCCCAGAGGCGGAGGAGAGGCGAGAGAGAAGACTGTCTTCCAACGTTTTCAGGGTAATTTTGAATCCATTCTGCTGCTTTGTGAGATCGGACTGCAAATATCAAGCAAGAGACAGTCAGGTGCAGATGCCCAGGGCATCCTGCTCTAAGGATGTGTCTGAATAGGGCGAGAGTCCCTTGCCTTAAAGATAGTAAAGTGGAGGCAGAATGGCAAAGAGCTTCAGACCATGAGCAGGAGACAAGGAGTCAAATTGGTGCCCAACTGTACAATATTCTGGGCACATGACCTTGAGCCAGTTTACCCTCTTTACTCTTCTGTAATCCCAGTCCCAACTTTTAGGATTTCTGTGCTATGCTTAATGCACAATGGGCAACACACTGCATTATCAGTGTTCACTAAACGGAGCTTATTTGTGTAACTAGAGGGTTAGGGTCCAGTTTTAGTTCTCTGGAGAGTTCTCTCTATTACCAATTTACTTTAATGAACAACTCTCCTATGGCTTACTTAAAAAAAAATCAGCAGAATCTGTCTTCCAGTTTTAAACTGTGTAAAACCATGGCAGACTGTGTAAAAGCTTCCTCGAGGCTGGAGTGGGGTGCTGGTATCCAAGTGGATCTCATCTCTTCCTCTCTTTATGCTCCATATCCTAAAGCACTAACTTCAGGCAGCTGTAGTGTCTTTGCCCTTGTACAGCCTTTGGATTCGTGGGAAGAACAACCTTCCTGTTGGAGGTTCCAACCACAGCCACCCTGACCTTTCTTGTTTCTTAAAACCACATATCTTGATCCTGCCTTAAGACCAGGATTTGCTGTTCTCTGTGCTGGGAATGCTCTATGCCCAGAGGCTTTACAATTATTTAGGAATTAGCTCAGATGCCAACTCCTCACCGAATCTTTTTCTGACCACCACTGTTTAAATTTGCCCTCTGGCTTTCCAGTATTACCCTGTTTTATTTTCTTAAAAATTCTTATCACTATCTGAATGGCATTGTTCATTTGTTTACGTTGCTGTTTTCTGTGTTCCTCCACTAGAGTGTAGATTCCATGAAGGCTGGGACATGGTTTTCTTTGTTCACTGCTGAATCCTCCATACCTCAAATCCTGCCTGTTACAGAGGTGGTGCTCCCTAGGTATCTGTTCAATGAATGAATGATTGCAGGAAGCGGAGTCCCAGGGAGCCCTGAACTCAATCTCTCATGCACTGGAATTCCACCTACCGACCCCGCCATATTGTATAATCTAATCACATTTAAAGAGAGGACAAAAAGCACGTTATCTGCTGTGGATTGAATTGTGTTGTCCTAAAAGTCCTATGTTGAAGCCTTAACTCCCCCATGTGACTATATTGGAGATGTGGCCTTTAAGGAGGTAATTAAGGTTAAATGAGGTCATCAGGGTGGAGCCATGGCTTTCTTTATGTGCAAAGAAGAGGTCATGTGAGGTCACAGTGAGAAGGCCGCTGCCTCCAAGGCAGGAAAAGAGGCCTCACCAAAAACCAACATGATCGCAGACTTCCAACTTCCAGAATTATAGGAGAACAAATATGTGTTATTTAAGCCACCCCGTCTATGGTATTTTGTTATGGCAGCCCAAGCTAAGACATGACCCTAACACTGTTGGACCTAGTTCTGTTACCCTTGTAGAATTTCATTCCGCTTAGTTCTGGCACGTGGACCTGTGTGATCAGCAGCACTCATGTTCATGCCAGGCTCTGCTCTTGGTCATAGGAGTGTCCAGTCTCCAAGCTGTTTTTTTTTTCTTTTTTTTGAGACAGAACCTCGCCCTATTTCCAGGCTGGAGTGCAGTGGCACGATCTTGGCTCACTGCAACCTCCGTCTCCCGGGTTCAAGAGATTCTCCTGCCTCAGCTTCCCGAGTAGCTAGGACTACAGGCTAGCGCCACCATGCCCAGTTAATTTTAATATTTATTTTTTAGTAGAGATGGGGTTTCACCATGTTGGCCAGGCTGGTCTCGAACTACCGACCTCATGATCCGCCCACCTTGGCCTCCCAAAGTGCTCAGATTATAGGCATGAGCCACCATGCCCGGCCTTCAAACTGTTTTTGCTTCTGTTCTTCAGCTCACCCATCCTTCTTTCCCCAGTATGGTATTCCCAGGTTGCTACATGGGGTCAGCAGTCTTCCAGAGTCTAGCAGAACCCACCTAACTCAATCCAGGAAAAACAGCCCCCCTCTGCAACCTCTCCCAGAGTGGAGTACACTGCAGGCTCTAGTGGCAGAACATTTTCTCCCTTCTGTCCTCACCTTCAGCTGCTCCAAGTCTGGCCTCTCCATGCTGACCACAGCGGCCAGCAACTGGTCCTCCAGGCCATCCCTGGTCACGGTGAAGTTGATCAGGGTGGCCTGAGCCTGCAGCTCAGGCTGGTAGTGAGGATTAGCCAGCTTGGTGTGGAGGATGAGCCGGAACTTGGGATTGTATTCACATTCTTTGTCTCCAATTTTAATGAATCTGGAACATAAAGGCTCATGTGAAGGTAAGGTGCCTTCCTGCAAAATTTGGTTGGGGTCAGAATTTGAGATTTTTTTCAAACAATATTGCTATATTCAGATGGATTCCTCCTATGTCTAGGATGAGCCCTGGGATTCTTTTTTGCACTAATGTTGGGAACAGGTGTGGAGGGGGATAGATGTTTTCCCATGGCCACCATGTTTGGTTCTGTACTGTGCAACTCTAGGAAGAGCCATGCCTGTTGTGTCAATGTAGATTAGTACATTATGAACAATTTCCAGCAGATGGCAGTGAAGTGTCTGGAGGAAGGTGAACCACCTTGCAGTTTCCACAAACGTGCTTTATACGCCAGCAATAGGGCTTACTTTTCCTCATGGCTGACATGGGAATGACATCTATGGGTGAAAATGATTAACCAAGTAAACGAGCACGACTTGAGGACAGTAAAGGCAACGATGGCCCCAGCAGTGGGTGAGGCTCCTGAGTCAAGCACCCCTTCATGATAATTACTCTGCCCTTCATACGAACCCATTGCCCGTCTCCTTCCTCTCTTTTCCTCTCCACACCACCCCCTGCTTTGCCTTGTGCTTGCTAAGCCCTCATCATGAGCCAGCACTCAAAGCAGCAGAGACTCATTAAATTGACAAGGAACCGAGTTGTCAGAATTCAGATGACTGGCTTGTATAAGATGCTCGTACTTAAAAGTCAGTCTGCTTTTTGACCGATTTCCTTCTCAAGTTTTTCCAAAATTGTGCACTGTGGCCATTTAGAAGGAAGTCAGTTGGGACACTGGCTGATGGAAGCAAAGTTTCTCCAGGAAACTTTCTCTAGGAAACAAAGGCCACTAAATAGACCTCTGCTGGAAGAAAGAAAGGTGGATGTGCTGCAGGGAGCTACTTGACATGAACTGAAGAGAGGAAATTCTAGGAAGAGCAGACCTCTTCATGATTCTAACCAGGGCCATGAACCAGCTCCCCCCGAAGGGTCAGCAACACAGCTGAGTCTTACCGTCCTTTTTTAATGACTTCTCTCCCAAGCAGGGGTCCCAGAACAGGATCAATGGACTCCTCTAGATTTTCAATCAGCACCACAGCTCCAGCTTCCAGGGCCTGCTCTATGATTTGAAGGTAGCTAGGGAAACAAGTATGAGTCCGGGAGTATGAGACTGTGGCAAGCTATGGAGTTGAGACCATTTAATGAGACAAGCGTGACCTCTAAGACATGGTGGTATAGTTGGAGGCACAGCTATTTGGAATGTTTTCAGTGGCCACATTTCTTCCCTATGTAAAGTGATATTTATGTGATTCTATACACTTTTAGAAATAGGGAGAAATTATAAAATACAAAAAAGATAATGAAAACCATAATGTGTCTTCAACGTTTTGGTGTATACTACGTATATTTGAATATATTATATTGTCAAGTTTAGCTTTGAGAGTATTAGATTCATATGGTGTTTTGTTTTATAACCTGTTTTTTTTTACAGAAAATATATTGTAATCACTTCACCATGTCATTAAACATCCTTCCATGTAATTTTAAATGACTGGGTATTAGGCCATATTGATACACCTTAATTTATCAATCAATTAACAAAGATTTAGGTTACTTTTAACTTTTCAGTGTTATGTAGAGTTTAATAAATATGTAAATAGCTTGATTTTCTTAAAGTCAATTTATAAAACTGATATAATACAACTCAAACAAAGAATAACAATAATTTATAAGACTGATATAATACAACTCAAACAAAGAATAACAGTAAAACTTTATGGAACTCAACCAAAGATCTTAAAGTTAACCTAAAAGAATACAGTGAGGCTGGCAAGGAGAAAACCAATAAAGAAGAAGAGGAGGGAGTCATTATCTAATACTACATATTTTATATATATCAACAATATAGATGTGTAGAAAGAAGGCTTAAAGGACAGCATATACCAATAAGTTAGCAGTGTTTTTGAAAGATGAATTATAGAAGTTTTTATTTCTTTGTTTTTTATGATAACTCCTACCCCGCCCTCTCATTTTTCTTTACAGTGATGATACATTACTTTTGTAATGGGAAACACCACAATAAATGTTACTAAATATAAAAGTAAATAAGAGCTGGTGTAGTATTAGATACATAGAAAAGAATAATGACCCTATTTAATAAAATAATTTAATATATAGTAAAATGACATGTCTAATTAATTGAGGAAAGAATGGAAAATTTAATATTTGGTATTGAAACAATAGCTAACCACTTGGAAAATTAGTCTGTACCACATATAATAGCTTAAACTATATTTAAATTGATTGGATTTCCATGTAAAAAGAAAACTCAAAAAACTTAAAAATGGGCCAGGCCTGGTGGCTCATGCCTGTAACCCAGAACTTTGGGAGGCCAAGGTGGGATGATTGCTTGAGGCCAGGAGATTGAGACCAGGAGTTTGAGACCAGCCTGGGCAATATGGTGAGACACCCTCTCTACAAAAATCCAAAAATTAGCAGGGCATGGTGTTGCACATCTGTAGTTCCAGCTACCTGGGAGGCTAAGGTGGAAGGACTGCTTGAACCCCGGAGGTCGAGGCTGCAGGGAGCCATGATTTCACCACTGTACTCCAGCCTGGGTGACAGAGTAAGACCCTGTCTTAAAACAAACAAACAAACAAACAAACAAAAAAACTAAAAACTAAAAATGTAGGTGAATATTTTAAAAATTCTTGGAGAGAAAAGACTCCTCTAGGCATCACTTATAGAATAAATGGCTGACAAATCTGATCAAATAAAAAACTAAAATAAAATGAACTGTAGTAGGTAAAACCTCACAAAAGTAAATTAAAAGACAAATGAGACGAACAAATTTTCATTCATATGAAGAAAGAAGACTATACATATTACATATAATGCAACATTTGTATTCAAATAATATACAACAAATCTAGAAAACCATTCAACAGGAAAGTAGTTAATGGACATGAACTAAGAATTAATTGAACATATTTATTAAGGGCCTACAATGCATTCGGCAGTGTTTTAGACACTAGGGACACTGCAATGAGCAAAAAGAACATACACCTGTCTAAAATGCATTGTTAGTCAGCTGGAAAAGAATATTTTAATTAAAGTTTCGGGAGAAGGCCAGGGTTGGATTACTATGTGACTAAAGATGCAAATAAAAATATATCATATTGGCCGGGCGCGGTGGTTCATGTCTGTAATCCCAGCACTTTGGAAGGCTGAGGCAGGTGGATTACCTGAGGTCAGGAGTTCAAGACCACTGGGCAATATGGTGAAACCCTGTCTCTACAAAAAATACAAAATATTAGCCAGGCATAGTGGCACACGCCTGTGATCCCAGCTACTCGGAAGGCTGAGGCAGGAGAATAGCTTCAACCCAGGAGGTGGAGGTTGCAGTGAGCCGAGATAGCGCCACTATATCTATCTATATATATCATAGCATGCCTTGGCATTCACTTCTCAACAAAGTTTGCTCTATAAGATGGATGCATTTATAATATTTAATGTTTGACTTGGTTAACTATTATTTTTAACATCATGTGTTCAATTTGAACAACCCCGAGTGATCTGGACCTTAGTGCGTGCATGCTTGGGACACGTGGCCAGAGCAACAAAGCTCACTTTGAGTGGCTGTTTGCTGGAGTGGATAAATCTTAGGTTTCTAAGTGAGGATGACCCAGCTTCAAATACTGCCACCATTACTTTTTTTTTTTTTTTTTTTTTTTTTTTTTTAGACAGAGTTTTCGTTCTTGTCCCCCAGGCTGGAGTACAATGGCACGATCTCGGCTCACTGCAACCTCCACCTCCTGGGTTCAAGAGATTCTCCTGCCTCAGCTTCCTGAGTAGCTGGGATTACAGGCGTCTGCTACCACGCCCAGCTAATTTTTGTATTTTTAGTAGAGATGGGATTTCACCATGTTGGCCAGGCTGATCTTGAACTCCTGACCTCAAATGATCTGCTCGCCTCGGCCTCCCAAAGTGCTATGATTACAGGCTCGAGCCACTGCGCCCAGCTGCCTCCATTACTTTTTAAACATATTTATTAATTAATATATTTAAATTGTGGTAAAATATATGTAACATATATTGTGTGCCGTCTTAATGTGTACAGTTCCATGGCTTTAAGTACACTGTTGTGCATCCATCACCATCATCCATTCACAGAACTGTTCTTGAAAAACCAAAACTGGCCGGGTGCAGTGGCTCACTCCCAGCACTTTGGGAGGCTGAGGCAGGCAGATCACAAGGTCAGGAGTGCGAGACCAGCCTGGCCAACATAGTGAAACCCGGTCTCTACTAAAAATACAAAAAAAAGTTAGCCGGGTGTGGTGGTGGGCGCCTGTAGTCCCAGCTACTCAGGAGGCTGAACCAGGAGAATCGCTTGCTTGAACCCGGGAGGTGGAAGTTGCAGTGAGCTGAGATCGCACCACTGCACTCCAGCCTGGGTGACAGAGTGAGACTCCGTCTCAAAAAACAAACAAACAAACAAACAAAAAAAACAAAACCTGAAACTCTGTACCTGTGAAACACTTAACTCTTCATTCCCCTCTCCCTCGCACTCCCTGGCAAACACCATTCGACTTTCTGTCTCAATGAATTTGGCTACCCTGGGAACCTTGGATGAGAGGAATCATACCACATTTGTCTTTTTGTCACCAGCTTATTTTACTCTGCATAACACTTTAAAGATTCATCCATGTTGTGGCATGTGTCAGAATTTTTTCCCTTTTTTTTAACTTCAATTTTATTTTATTTAAATTGTTTTCTTTGAAAACATTTTTTACTTTTAATTTTTATGGGTACATGGGTGTATATATTTATGGGGTACATAAGCTATTTTGATACAGGGATGCTATGCATAATAATCACGTTATGGAAAATGGGGTATCCATGTCCTTAAGCATTTCTCCTTTGTATCACAATCTAATTATGCTCTTTTAAGAACTGTTTTCCTTTTAAGGCAATAATATTCCATTGCATGTGTACATCACATTTTGTTTATCCATTTATCTGGGTTCTCTTCACCTTTTGTCTATTATGAATAATGCTGCTATAAACACGAGTGCCAAATTTCCATCACTTTTAAAATGGCGAACTCCCCAGGGAAATTACTTAACTTCTGTGAACCTCTGCTTCCTCGGACGTGAAATGGAACCAATAACCTTACTGGTTATTAACCAGTTGATTACTAACCTTATTAACTGTGTGGATTAAGGACGGCATTTGAGATAAAACCTCTAACACCAAGACTGATGCATATCAACCTCCTAATGAATGATGTCTGCCTCACTTCCTCTTCCCCATTGCCCCATCCTGTTTCCCCAGGTGTCCTGATGACATAGAACAGGATGAGTACTGAAACCACAAGGCTAAAATGAAGGGAGGCATGAGGGATGTCAAGGCCCAAGCCACTGAAGCCTGGTGGGTGCTGGCCAGACATTCTCAGTGCCATTCAAGTCCCTTCACGTGGTAACTTTCCCACAGGTAAGTACGAAGCCATATGGCAGGTACCAAGGGCTCTGAAGGTTTCATAACTAACTCAGCTGCTTCATGGGACCTACTGAAATGTTCAACTGTGCCTCAGGAGGAGAGTTTTGTTCTTTGTATGTGGCTCTAGGGCAGAGGTAGAAATAATGGGTAGAGGAGAGATAAGGGAGGCAGCTTTAGCTAAGGGTGAGGAAAACTTTATAAAGCACAGAGCTATGTGACAATGGGATATGAAGTTTGGGGAGGAAATGTTTAAGGGACAATGAGAGGATGAGCTCAAGGGATGGTGAAGAAAGGACCCCAGAATGGGTCGAGAGGTTGTGGTACATAATTTCTCATGTGGATAAAAAGCAAAGACTTAGTACCCAGGCATCTTTCATTGAGATGTTTGCTAAAATGGACGGAGAAACGTGAGAAGCCTGATGGAGAGACCAGGAGTGTACAAACCATTCACTGGGCTTAAAATCTGCTCATGATCTATACATTTTCCTGCACAAATGGCTAAAGTGGGAACTTCTGTGCTCAACCACTTACCCTTTCTGACCAATCTGCGTGACCCGGAGATCTTCACCATATTTATTCTTGATCCATTTGATGCCTTGTAGCTGAGGGTCAACCATGAGTGGCCAGCGCTCACAGTTGATGAGAATGGTGGCATTCTCCACGGACATGCGGTCGGCTGGGAGGCCCTCGTTCTGCCAGGCAGCCACGTCAGCATCATCCATCAGCATCCTCAGGGGATCCAGGGCTGGGGTGACTGGAATGGGAGTCTGGTGAAGAAGAAACACCACCCCACGCTCAGAACAGAAGCAGACATTCTCAGCTGGGATGAATGCAGTTACTCACCAAATGACACAACTCCTTTAAAAGCAAGATCAACATCCCACTGAAGAATGCCTTTCTGGCTGTGTGATTATTTCTGGAAGCAGGTTCTATTAAAGTCCTGATAGCTTTTTTTTTTCCCCTCCATGGATGAATAACTGCAGAAATTCAACTCGTGTGACTGATTCTTTGTTTTTCGGTATCTTTACCTAAGTCAAGTTTCTACTATATTATCTGTATTTTAATCTACGACCTCCTACACACTCTCACCCATGTTAACAGTGTTATTTCTCTGCTATATGTCTGTGTTTCTTGTGCACGCTCCATGAACCAGCACCAGGTCCCATGCCTAGTGGGTTTGCTCCTGTCTGTACCAACCGGCACAAACCACTCTTTCCTCTCCTCTGTTTCACCAGCTTGCAAGAGGCTGGACGGGTTTTCTTTTTCTCTTCCCCAAACACCCCATTCACTTGCAGGACTCTTGCAAACCTGCCTGCTGGTGCCTGTGGGGAAGCTGCCGAGTATTTATCAGTCTGAGAACTTGCCTGTGGCCTCTCTTAGGCCCCTTCAGGGCTCCTGTGTGTGCCCTAGACACTGCCTTTTCTTCTTTGTTAGCCTTTCTCTGCTCACTCAGTTCTTTTTTTTTTTTTTTGAGATGGAATCTTGCTCTGTCACACAGGCTGGAGTGCAATGGCGTCATCTCAGCTCCATGCAAACTCCACCTCCCGGGTTCAAGTGATTCTCCTGCCTCAGCCTCCCAGGTGGCTGGGATTACAGGTGCCTGCCACCACACCCAGCTAATTTTTGTGTTTTTAGTAGAGACGAGGTTTCACCATGTTGGACAGGCTGGTCTCGAACTCCTGACCTCAGGCGATCCACCTGCTTCGGCCTCCCAAAATACTGGGATTACAGGCGTGACCCACCACGCCGGGCTCACTTAATTTTTTTTACAGGCAATCTTTTTCATTGATGACCCATATATATTTTTTTAAATTAAGGTAACATTGATATGAAATAAATTAATCATTTTAAAGTGCACAATTCAGTGGCATTTAGTCTATGCATAACATTATGCAGCCATCGGCTCTACCCCCAAAACATTTCATCACCCCCAAATCCCATACTCATTCAACAGCCCCCGCAATTTCTGTCTACCCCCAGCTCGTGGAAACTATGAATATGTTTTCTGTCCCCTTGGATTTTCTTATTCTGGATATTTTACTATAAATGAATCCTACAATATGTGACCTTTTGTGTCTGGTTACTTTCACTTAGCATAATGCTTTCGAGGTTTAGACAAATACCCTTTTAACTCCTTCATCTCACTCCTCTCTGAAGTTTGTTCTGCCCAATTATCCCAGGGAAACCTCTCCAAACCATCTCCCATCCTCTTAATTGTATCTAACAAGGGCACAAATGGCCAGTACTACAGTATCCAGCAAACCTCTGAAGGGAAATCAGCCCCTTGGGGATTCTTATCTGGGACCAGAATTGTGTTCCAATATATTTTTTCCCTTTGTAATCTCATGCATTCTATTTGACGTGTCAAAATCATTATTCTGAGAAAGAATCCGTAGGTCTCACCAGACTGCCAAAGACGTCCATGACACAAAAAAGCTTAAGAATCCAAACAAAGCCAGAAAAATCCTCACTAAGCTGCTACTGAGCTCTTCTTCTTCATTCACTCAGTTAATGATGGTTCCTTCAACAATTTCCTTTTTCCAAAAGTGTTTAGGATGAGTCAAACAGCTGCTTTATTTTTTGTTTATTTGCTAGCATTTTAAAAACTACGGTTCAGCTAATTGTCAGGTGAGCAGGGTTTTATGAGCTGATCTGAGAAAACAATCATCACTACAGAAAGAGTTTTTGTTCTAAGGTTCTACTTACAAATAGATCTGGAATACAGCTTTTACCTTATGTTGTGAAATTTGGGGCTGACTTTCACCCTCACTGACTGTTTTTGTTTGTTTGTTTTTTGAGACGGAGTCTCGCTCTGTCGCCCAGGCTGGAGTGCAGTGGTGCTATCTTGGCTCACTGCAAGCTTCGCCTCCCGGGTTCACGCCATTCTCCTGCCTCAGCCTCCCGAGTAGCTGGGATTACAGGCGCCCGCCACCATGCCCGGCTAATTTTTTGTATTTTTAGTAGAGACGTGGTTTCACTGTGTTAGCCAAGATGGTCTCGATCTCCTGACCTCGTGATCCGCCCGCCTCAACCTCCCAAAGTGCTGGGATTACAGGCGTGAGCCACCGCGCCCGGCCCACCTTCGCTGACTTCTATGAGCCTAATCTCCTCAAGTGGACTGGGAACTTGCCAAAGGTATCCCGGTCTTGAACGTTTTGTGTGCCTCCTGTATAGTGGAGTGGTAGGACACACTAAATACACAGGAAGTATTTGTGGGTTGCTAGAAGTGATGCGAAAGTGCCAAGAAAATATTAGAACTTCTGATGCTCGCGTCCAAGTATAGCTTTGAATCCCCTTTAATGGGAAACCAGTATTTCTCCATTTAGTTACATTGCAGGGGGTGGGGGGCGGGTGATGTAAAGGGATGGGTTGGGAGTAACATCCACCTAGCCACACGAGGAGGACAAGCTGAACTGCCCAAATAAGAAGCATGTGAGCAGCTGTTCATGGGATTATGCAGGACGGAAGCCGACGAAGGATATCTGTGAGTCACTGGCACAAGCTGTGTAGCTTTAGGGCCCAGTAACAAGGTGCAATGTAGGATCTGGGAAATGGAACGTCCCCTGACTGCTCCTATGAAGTCTGGCTCTGGAGTGGGGAGATCAGAGACGAAAATGGTTCTTTTTCTATCTCTCAGGTTTCACAGCTTTAAGGATTGCTAGGAGACAGCCCGCGGGGAAGAGGACTAGTGTTCCCATGGAGGACTACATTCAGAGGAGAGGTGCTGCCCCCAGGTGGCCTGGAGGGCAGTGGGCAGCAATGCAAGGCAGTGTGGAAGGACACGGGTACGCAGGTTTCACACCTGGTGCTCAGGGGGTGGTGGGGATGAGTGTGCAGGAGGACACCAGAGGATGCGAATTATGACCGTGATGTCTTCCCATTGGTGCCCAGAGGCTGATGTGGTCGGGAGAAATTCAGGCCATACGTACTTTCAGCTGGCTCAGGTAGGGCCTCCAAGTTCTGTCCAGGAGGCTCTGCCGGTATTTCTTTGTGAAGAAGCCAAGGTAGGAAATGAAAGCCGTTATAAGTAAAATGTCTCCACATAACGTCCTTTCCTGCTGTTTGAAGTTCTGCACGGCATCTGCCCACCTCACGTTTTCAGAAGCGAGTCCTCCAACCTACCATTTCAAAAGCCAGAGAGGAGAGGAGGCGTGTTACACAGTAGGTGATAGAGCCGTGATTCCATCATGGAGAGCGCCCGCTGCACGCTTCATAGCGGGAAGAGGCAGAATATCACTTATATGGCCCTTTCCGTTAATGGGGATTTGTGCTGCCTGTAGCAAAGCTTTCAGTACACAAGCCCCCATTCTGTGTCATGCATCACATGAACCATGGAAAGATGACAGGGTTTGACTCTGCTCTTTCTGTGTGTGGAGACTGATACCACTTAATCAAAGGGTTGTTGAGAGGATGAAATATAATCATGTATGTTTATTATTTAGCACAATACCTGGTCTGTGGAACATGTTAGAAAATTAGCCACTTCTTTCTCCTTTCCAAATGCTGGGGAAATGAAAATAAACAAAATCAAGTCCATGCACCATAAATAATTCACAGCGGGCGAGGAGACAGATGTGCTAATTGAGACACAGAGAAGCATGGTAAGGTCATGGGTGTGTACAAAGTCCTGACCCCCCAGCCCTCTTTGGGTTGGTACAGTCTCCCTGGGAGGAGAGCCATTCTTTCTACAGAGGACTGTTAGTGGTATGGCGGAGCTTTGCTTCTGCGTTAGGACTCACCCTTTATTTTTTCTTCTAATGATAACATCATGGAACGTCACAGTCTGGACAGACCTTAGAGATTTGCCAACCCAGTCATTCACATGCCTGTTTTCAGATTACACAAAGGTCAGAAAGTCCAAATATCTCACCAGAATCTCTAGGTCGGTAGAGACAGGGGTGGCTTCAGAGCCTGAACATCCTGACTCCTAGAGCAGAGTGCTACACTGCCTCCCATGAGCACTGACTCAGAAAGTGCTCCAGCCAGGCAGAGAAGGCTGCGCTAAGTTCAGAAACCAAGCAGGGAGGTGAATGGAAGGCAGGCCAGCTAGGAGATCTGGAGGACTTCTTGCACATTGGCAAGAGTTGCTATCTCTAAACTGAACTGTTCAGCTAAACGGATCATCTCAAAGCCACACAGAAGCTGGTCCAGTGACAACTGCACAGACACACATTTGGGTATGGCAGGTCTTCATTACATCACAGCTCCATTCAGTGATCGCTATGACTCACTGTTCCCCAGATTAAAACATCTGGCTCTGCTGTGTAATTCAGTGGTGGCTGGAATAAATGTCAACAGGTGTGGAATGTACTTCCCTTCACTGGTGAGGAGGGTGCTGTAAAGTCTCTAGCTTGAAGAGAAATCATATCCATTTGACTTGCTTTGCAGAGTCTTAGCTGATATATGGGATGAGAAATACAAGCCATAGGAGATTTAAAAGGCTGTAAATTCTTTGACATTCCTGTCATTAAGAGTTGCTGTCTGTGCTCTCTGCCCTTTAATCTGTGACTGCTTTGACCTATAGAGTACAGCGGAAGTGCTGTTGTGCCAGTTTTCAGTCCCAGGCCTTCAGATACTGGGACTTTCCACTTCCTGCCTCTTGGGACACTTGTCCTTGATGTCCTGAGTTACTGTGTAAGACGTCCGACTACCCTGCTAGAGGGAATGCGTGGAAATGCCCTGAGGAAGGGAGAGAGGACCAGCTGCACCCTCCCTTCCAATCATCACTGCCAAGATGCCCAGCATGTGAAGGAAGTCATCTCGGGGGCCTCCAGCCCGGCCACCAGCTGAATGTACCAAGTGACCCCAGTCATGGCCACATGGAGCAGAAAACCTGGCCAGCTGAGCCCTGCCCTCAACAAACTTGTGAGATATTATGAAATGGTTATTGTACAAAATCACTAAGCTTTGGAGTAATTTTTTTATGCAGAAACAAACACCCATAACACAAGCACCGCTGCCCTGACCTGCAGACTTGATTTCCCAGGAAGGCCGGAGCATGTGTGTATATGTGTGTCTGTGTGTGTTTTCTGAAATACTCAGGGTCAGTAGGTCTCATTCTTTTCTGTTTCTATCTCAGTTCCTAATCTTGGCCACACCCTTATAATGAAATGTTACATAGATAGGAATGTCATGGTTTGCCTATAAAATGCTGGCTTTGTCTTGTAATGTTTCCTCTGGTCAATACACATGAATATAAGTGTGTTACCATTTTGCATGAGCTGCCTGATAGATCCAGTGCTCCCATCCTCCCAACCATGTCTATAAGAAAACTCCTTTGACCAGATTAGGGTTTATGCATCCACATTTTCCTCAGGACTCAATTCCTGCATTTCAGCACATTTTAATACTTCCCTCCAAGTCAAAGCGCTGCTGTGCTGTGCTCATCTATCTTGCACCTCCACGGCATTTGACAAGCCTGCTAATATAATTACAGCTCGGGCTGCTGTGGCTTACACTCACCAGGCGGTTGGCAAGGGAGATGGTGACTGCGGTCACTTCGGCTTCTTGCTGACATTTGAGTTTGTCTGCTGTTGCTTTCTCAAACCTGGCTGTGAGCTTTGCCAGGTTTTCATTAAGGTGCTGTTTAGGAAGGAATACAAGGACCATCAGTCATTTCGGCCCATGTAACTACCAGTGCTCATTAGATGAGGGTTCACATGGAGGTGGTTCTGAAGGAAGCACTCTGCGGGGGCATTCCTATGGGACCAGGGAAAGCAGGGCAGAGAACGAAATGAAAGCACATTCGGGGAAGATCTCAGGCGGGTCCTAGCAAGGACTTCATCTTGGTCCTGCAGTGGGAGGGTGGAGTGGACATCCAGAAATGTCCTACTCCAAGATGAGAGAGCTGAGCTTCATACCCCACCACCGCAGTCATCGAGGTGTTGAACGCTACGAGGTGTCAGGGATGTGGATGGGGGGAAGGGTGCATACATTCTGCCTCTGCTTGAGTTGGAGAAAAATGGGTTCCAGTAGCCTGACAAAATGGTGCAGGTGCTGCTATTAGAAGCAAGAACACATCAAAACTGGGGTTAGCATGAAAAAGGTCAACAGCAACCCACGTGGGCCAGGGAGGACAACTGCCAGTATCTGCTGCAGCTAGTCTGGGGCTGGGCTGTCCGGAATCTAAGTCCTCCACTGGCTCTAAGGTCCTAGAGTACAAGGTAACTTTTACTTAACCTCATCTAGTCTCTCCCATTAACACAATGTATAGGAACATAAAAAAGACATAATTTCAATATTTAAAAATGTATTAAGAATTTAAAATTGAAGTACGTAGCTTTTGTTGTCCTCTGAGTACATATTTTTACACACAAAGATACATGGACACACAGCAGATACCTCCAAATACATCTCAGGTCTGTGCAATAACTGGGGTTCAGGCTGCTTTGTTGGTCATTACTAAGGCACAAGAGAAATCAATGTAGGGCCAAGCTTAAACATCCAAGCAGTTTAAAAAGCAGGTGGTGGGCCATCCAATTAAGGATGGCAGACTGGCCATGCTCATTTACCTCCTACACTTCCCAAGACTTCTCTAAAATGATTATGAAGCAATTAAAATAGTCATAAGCCCATTACACCAAGCAAATTGGTGAGGGCCATTTGGAGGGTGAGGGAGTCCAACAGATTTATGGAGGACCACACTGTTGAAGAAGTGGAGACCGCTGGAGCAGGGCAGAGGACGTGACAACTTAGAGTTAGCTGTTGTTCACCAAAGGGGAAACTGATCAGCACACAGAGCCCTATACAAACTGGAGATCTCAGAAATGTCAGGTGTGATTGAAGGGGAAGATGAAAATATGAAGATTAATTGGAAGCCTATTGATTCTTGACCTCATATCTCCATCCACATGCACAGTATGCAATGCCACCAGTCACCTATGTCACCATGTAAGAAAGTCAATAGAGGCAGAGAATAAAGGTGCCACATCTTGGCATAACTCATCAGATTTTGAAAACAAATTCTACCAGTCAACCAGCTCTGCCCTTGCCTGCAGACCTAGAATTAGCTTTTGATCGCTACTCTTGTAAACATGAAAGGACAAGAAGAGATTTAATGCAGGCTTAGATTAAGTTAAACAAGATGAAAAAAATGACCTAGGAAGAAGAGGCAGAATTTTGGTAACAACAAAAACAGCAACTGCAACAACAAAGTTAAAACTTTCACAGTTTCTCAGACAGATTCAAGATGATTCATCCACAAAACAAGAACAGGATGTTATTAAAAGGAAGAGAGAATAACAAAAAAAAACTCTTGTGGAAATCACTATTGTTGTTAATATAAAATATAACAAAATCAAGGGAAAGGTTAAAAGGAGAATTTGAGGAAATTTCCTGAAAAGCATAAGAAAACAAACAGTAACAAAAAGATGGAAGAAAACAGAGGACTGATCTAGGAGGTTCAACATCTGACAGATATGCTTTCCAGAAAATAAGAGTAAACAGTAAACAGAAGGGAATTTACCAAAGAAATAATACAAAATAATTTTCTAGAGCTGAAGAAAATGAATCTTTACATGCCAAACACCATATAAAAAAAGAATGGAGAGGAGCCAAGATGGCTGAATAGGAACAGCTCTGGTCTCCAGCTCCCAGCGTTAGCGACGCAGAAGACGGGTGATTTCTGCATTTCCATCTGAGGTACCAGGTTCATCTCACTAGGAAGTGCCAGAGAGTGGGCACAGGTCAGTGGGTGCAGCGCACCATGCGCGAGCTGAAGCAGGGCGAGGCATTGCCTCGCTCGGGAAGCACAAGGGGTCAGGGAGTTCCCTTTCCTAGTCAAAGAAACGGGTGACAGATGGCACCTGGAAAATCGGGTCACTCCCACCCGAATACTGCCCTTTTCCGATGGCCTTAAAAAACAGTGCACCAGGAGATTATATCCTGCACCTGGCTCGGAGGGTCCTATGCCCACAGAATCTCGCTGATTGCTAGCACAGCAGTCTGAGATCAAACTGCAAGGCGGCAGCGAGGCTGGGGGAGGGGCGCCCGCCATTGCCCAGGCTTGCTTAGGTAAACAAAGCAGCTGGAAAGCTCCAACTGGGTGGAGCCCACCACAGCTCAAGGAGGCCTGCCTGCCTCTGTAGGCTCCACCTCTGGGGGCAGGGCACAGACAAACAAAAAGACAGCAGTAACCTCTGCAGACTTAAATGTCTCTGTCTGACAGCTTTGAAGAGAGCAGTGGTTCTCCCAGCATGCAGCTGGAGATCTGAGAACGGGCAGACTGCCTCCTCAAGTGGGTCCCTGACCCCTGACCCCTGAGCAGCCTAACTGGGAGGCACCCCCCAGTAGGGGCAGACTGACACCTCACACGGCCGGGTACTCCTCTGAGAAAAAACTTCCAGAGGAACAATCAGACAGCAGCATTCGCGGTTCAAGAAAAACCACTGTTCTGCAGACACCGCTGCTGATACCCAGGCAAACAGGGTCTGGAGTGGACCTCCAGCAAACTCCAACAGACCTGCAGCTGAGGGTCCTGTCTGTTAGAAGGAAAACTAACAAACAGAAAGGACATCCACACCAAAAACCCATCTGTACATCACCATCATCAAAGACCAAAAGTAGACAAAACCACAAAGATGGGGAAAAAACAGAGCAGAAAAACTGGAAACTCTAAAAAGCAGAGCACCTCTCCTCCTCCAAAGGATCACAGTTCCTCACCAGCAATAGAACAAAGCTGGACGGAGAATGACTTTGACGAGTTGAGAGAAGAAGGCTTCAGACGATCAAACTACGAGCTACAGGAGGAAATTCAAACCAAAGGCAAAGAAGTTAAAAACTTTGAAACAAATTTAGACGAATGTATAACTAGAATAACCAATACAGAGAAGTGCTTAAAGGAGCTGATGGAGCTGAAAGCCAAGGCACGAGAACTACATGAAGAATGCAGAAGCCTCAGGAGCCAATGTGATCAACTGGAAGAAAGGGTATCAGTGATGGAAGATGAAATGAATGAAATGAAGTGAGAACGGAAGTTTAGAGAAAAAAGAATAAAAAGAAACGAACACAGCCTCCAAGAAATATGGGACTATGTGAAAAGACCAAATCTACGTCTGATTGGTGTACCTGAAAGTGACGGGGAGAATGGAACCAAGTTGGAAAACACTCTGCAGGATATTATCCAGGAGAACTTCCCCAATCTAGCAAGGCAGGCCAACATTCAGATTCAGGAAATACAGAGAACGCCACAAAGATACGCCTCGAGAAGAGCAGCTCCAAGACACATAATTGTCAGATTCACGAAAGTTGAAATGAAGGAAAAAATGTTAAGGGCAGCCAGAGAGAAAGGTCGGGTTACCCACAAAGGGAAGCCCATCAGACTAACAGCGGATCTCTCGGCAGAAACTCTACAAGCCAGAAGAGAGTGGGGGCCAATATTCAACATTCTTAAAGAAAAGAATTTTCAACCCAGAATTTCATATCCAGCCAAACTAAGCTTCATAAGTGAAGGAGAAATAAAATACTTTACAGATAAGCAAAGCTGAGATTTTGTCACCACCAGGCCTGCCCTAAAAGAGCTCCTGAAGGAAGCACTAAACATGGAAAGGAACAACCGGTACCAGCTGCTGCAAAATCATGCCAAAATATAAAGACCATTGAGACTAGGAAGAAACTGCATCAACTAACGAGCAAAATAACCAGCTAACATCATAATGACAGGTTCAAATTCACACATAACAATATTAACTTTAAATGTAAATGGACTAAATGCTCCAATTAAAAGACACAGACTGGCAAATTGGATAAAGAGTCAAGACCTATCAGTGTGTTGTATTCAGGAAACCCATCTCACATGCAGAGACACACATAGGCTCAAAATAAAAGGATGGAGGAAGATCCACCAAGCAAATGGAAAACAAAAAAAGGCAGGGGTTGTAATCCTAGTCTCTGATAAAACAGACTTTAAACCAACAAAGATCAAAAGAGACAAAGAAGGCCATTACATAATGGTAAAGGGATAAATTCAACAAGAAGAGCTAACTATCCTAAATATATATGCACCCAAAACAGGAGCACCCAGATTCATAAAGCAAGTCCTGAGTGACCTACAAAGAGACTTAGACTCCCACACATTAATAATGAGAGACTTTAACACCCCACTGTCAACATTAGACAGATCAGCGAGACAGAAAGTCAACAAGGATACCCAGGAATTGAACTCAGCTCTGCACCAAGTGGACCTAATAGACATCTACAGAACTCTCCACCCCAAATCAACAGAATATACATTTTTTTCAGCACCACACCACACCTATTCCAAAATTGACCACATAGTTGGAAGTAAAGCTCTCCTCAGCAAATGTAAAAGAACAGAAATTATAACAAACTATCTCTCAGACCATAGTGCAGTCAAACTAGAACTCAGGATTAAGAAACTCACTCAAAACCGCTCAACTATATGGAAACTGAACAACCTGCTCCTGAATGACTACTGGGTACATAACGAAATGAAGGCAGAAATAAAGATGTTCTTTGAAACCAATGAGAATAAAGACACAACATACCAGAATCTCTGGGACACATTCAAAGCAGTGTGTAGAGGGAAATTTATAGCACTAAATGCCCACAAGAGAAAGCAGGAAAGATCCAAAATTGACACCCTAACATCACAATTAAAAGAACTAGAAAAGCAAGAGCAAACACATTTAAAAGCTAGCAGAAGGCAAGAAATAACTAAAATCAGAGCAGAACTGAAGGAAATAGAGACACAAAAAACCCTTCAAAAAATTAATGAATCCAGGAGCTGGTTTTTTGAAAGGATCCACAAAATTGATAGACCGCTAGCAAGACTAATAAAGAAAAAAGGAGAGAAGAATCAAATAGACGCAATAAAAAATGATAAAGGGGATATCACCACCGATCCCACAGAAATACAAACTACCATCAGAGAATACTACAAACACCTCTATGCAAATAAACTAGAAAATCTAGAAGAAATGGATAAATTCCTCGACACATACACTCTCCCAAGACTAAACCAGGAAGAAGTTGAATCTCTGAATAGACCAATAACAGGAGCTGAAATTGTGGCAATAATCAATAGCTTACCAACCAAAAAGAGTCCAGGACCAGATGGATTCACAGCCGAATTCTACCAGAGGTACAAGGAGGAGCTGGCACCATTCCTTCAGAAACTATTCCAATCAATAGAAAAAGAGGGAATCCTCCCTAACTCATTTTATGAGGCCAGCATCATCCTGATACCAAAGTCGGGCAGAGACACAACCAAAAAAGAGAATTTTAGACCAATATCCTTGATGAACATGGATGCAAAAATCCTCAATAAAATACTGGCAAACCGAATCCAGCAGCACATCAAAAAGCTTATCCACTGTGATCAAGTGGGCTTCATCCCTGGGATGCAAGGCTGGTTCAATATACACAAATCAATAAATGTAATCCAGCATATAAACAGAACCAAAGACAAAAACCACATGATTATCTTAATAGATGCAGAAAAGGCCTTTGACAAAATTCAACAACGCTTCATGCTAAAAACTCTCAATAAATTAGGTATTGATGGGACGTATCTCAAAATAATAACAGCTATCTATGACAAATCCACAGCCAATATCATACTGAATGGGCAAAAACTGGAAGCATTCCCTTTGAAAACTGGCACAAGACAGGAACGCCCTCTCTCACCACTCCTATTCAACATAGTGTTGGAAGTTCTGTCCAGGGCAGTTAGGCAGGAGAAGGAAATAAAGGGTATTCAATTAGGAAAAGAGGAAGTCAAATTGTCCCTGTTTGCAGACGACATGATTGTATATCTAGAAAACCCCATTGTCTCAGCCCAAAATCTCCTTAAGCTGATAAGCAACTTCAGCAAAGTCTCAGGATACAAAATCAATGTACAAAAATCACAAGCATTCTTATACACCAATAACAGACAAACAGAGAGCCAAATCATGAGTGAACCCCCATTCACAATTGCTTCAAAGAGAATAAAATACCTAGGAATCCAACTTACAAGGGATGTGAAGGACCTCTTCAGGGAGAACTACAAACCACTGCTCAATGAAATTAAAGAGGATACAAACAAATGGAAGAATATTCCATGCTCATGGGTAGGAAGAATTAATATCGTGAAAATGGCCACACTGCCCAAGGTAATTTATAGATTCAATGCCATCCCCATCAAGCTACCAATGACTTTCTTCACAGAATTGGAAAAAACTACTTTAAAGTTCATATGGAACCAAAAAAGAGCCCGCATCGCCAAGTCAATCCTAAGCCAAAAGAACAAAGCCGGAGGCATCATGCTACCTGACTTCAAACTATACTACAAGGCTACAGTAACCAAAACAGCATGGTACTGGTACCAAAACAGAGATATAGATCAATGGAACAGAACAGAGCCCTCAGAAATAACGCCGCATATCTACAACTATCTGATCTTTGACAAACCTGAGAAAAACAAGCAATGGGGAAAGGATTCCCTATTTAATAAATGGTGCTGGGAAAACTGGCTAGCCATATGTAGAAAGCTGAAACTGGATCCCTTCCTTACACCTTATACAAAAATCAATTCAAGATGGATTAAAGACTTAAACGTTAGACCTAAAACCATATAAACCCTAGAAGAAAACCTAGGCATTACCATTCAGGACAGGCATGGGCAAGGACTTCACGTCTAAAACACCAAAAGCAATGGCAACAAAAGCCAAAATTGACAAATGGGATGTAATTAAACTAAAGAGCTTCTGCACAGCAAAAGAAACTACCATCAGAGTGAACAGGCAAACCACAAAATGGGAGAAAATTTTTGCAACCTACTCATCTGACAAAGGGCTAATATCCAGAATCTACAATGAACTCAAACAAATTTACAAGAAAAAAACAACCCCATCAAAAAGTGGGCAAAGGACATGAACAGACACTTCTCAAAAGAAGACATTTATGCAGCCAAAAAACACATGAAAAAATGCTCACCATCACTGGCCATCAGAGAAATGAAAATCAAAACCACAATGAGATATCATCTCACACCAGTTAGAATGGCAATCATTAAAAAGTCAGGAAACAACAGGTGCTGGAGAAGATGTGGAGAAATAGGAACACTTTTACACTGTTGGTGGGACTGTAAACTAGTTCAACCATTGTGGAAGTCAGTGTGGCGATTCCTCAGGGATCTAGAACTAGAAATACCATTTGACCCAGCCATCCCATTACTGGGTATATACCCAAAGGACTATAAATCATGCTGCTATAAAGACATATGCACACGTATTTTTATTGCGGCACTATTCACAATAGCAAAGACTTGGAACCAACCCAAATGTCCAACAATGATAGACTGGATTAAGAAAATGTGGCACATATACACCATGGAATACTATGCAGCCATAAAAAATGATGAGTTCATGTCCTTTGTAGGGACATGGATGAAATTGGAAATCATCATTCTCAGTAAACTATCGCAAGAAAAAAACCAAACACCGCATATTCTCACTCATAGGTGGGAATTGAACAATGAGAACACATGGACACAGGAAGGGGAACATCACACTCTGGGGACTGTTGTGGGGTTGGGGGAGGGAGGAGGGATAGCATTGGAAGATATACCTAATGCTAGATGACGAGTTAGTGGGTGCAGCGCACCAGCATGGCACATGTATACATATGTAACTAACCTGCACATTGTGCACATGTACCCTAAAACTTAAAGTATAAAAAAAAAAAAAAGAATGACAGCTAAGCACATCAATGTAAAGTTTCAGACATCAAGAACCAAAAGGAAAAGATTAGAAGACTTCAAGGAAAGAGGGGAAACTGTGCATACACAAAGGAACAAGACATTGACTGTCCACGAGACTTCTCACCAGACAAAAGCATAAAACATTCAGTGTTCTGGCAGGGCGCAGTGGCTCACCCCTGTAATCCCAGCACTTTGAGAGGCCGAGGCGGGCAGATCACCTGAGGTCGGGAGTTCGAGACCAGCCTGACTAACATGGAAAAACCTCATCTCTACTGAAAATACAAAATTAGCCGGGCATGGTGGCACATGCCTGTAATCCCAGCTACTCGGAAGACTGAGGCAGGAGAATCGCTTGAACCCGGGAGGCAGAGGTTGCAGTGAGCAGAGATTGTGCCATTGCACTCCAGCCTGGGCAAGAAGAGTGAAACTGTCTCAAAAAAAAAACAACAAACAACAAAAAACAAAACACAAAGCAACAACAACAAATTCAGTGTTCTGTGCACAAAAAATTAGCAACTCAGAATTCAATACTTTGCAAAACTGTTAGTTCAGTTTACGAATAAAACGAAGACATTTCTAGACAATAACAATGCAGAAAATTTACCTCTTCCTTAACATTTCTGAGAACGTTCTCTGAGAATGAGCCAAAGCAGAATAAGAGAGAGAAAGGTTGTGGCAGCAAAGAAGGACAAACAAAGAATACTTAATTGTAAATGGAAAGTTTAGAAATAATGGATGCCATGCAAAAGGAACTAATGCAAGAGAAAGAGACAATAAAGGAAAGTAGAAACTCTGGGGAGTGGGGGTGAAGAGACTGTGTAAAACAAGAGAATGTAATTCTAGATCTGTTATGAACAATATAGACACGTTCACAGAATAGAAATGGAATTATTGCTTTTTTAACTTTGCAGATCAGTCTATGGACAGAGCATGGGTCACTTAGTTTTGGTTACAGAAGAGAATGTATTCTCAGTTTTGGTGATTACAAAGCAAAAGTAATGATAAGCAGTAATAACAAAAGTTGGGAAGTAGAAGGAAGGGAGCTGAAGGCAGGGGTAAGAGTGTCATCTTGTGCTATGGTTTGGATGTCTGTCTCCTCCAAATCTCAGGTTGAAATGCGATTCCCAGTGTTGGAAGTGGGGCCTGGTGGGAGGTGATTGGATCATGGGGGCGGGTCTTTCATGAATGGTTTCGCATCATTCCCTTGCTGGTAAATGAGTTCTTGATCAGTTAGTTCAGGGGAGATCTGGTTGTTTAAAAGAGTGTGGGACCTCCCTCTTCTCTCTCTTGCTCCCGCTCTTGCCAAATGACATTCTGGCTCCCCATTGCCTTTGGCCATGATTGTAAGCTTCCTGAGGCCTCGCCAGAAGCCAGAACCATGCTGCTTGTAAAACCTGCAGAACTGTGAGCCGATTAAACTCCTTTTCTTTACAAATTACCCAGCCTCAGGTATTTCTTTACAGTAATGCAAGAATAGACTAACACATCTTGAAAGCTGAGAGCTCCAAGGGAGCTGCCTCTATGTAATAGAACAGGAAATAAAGGTTACATTAACTGTTAGATTGGCACAAAAGTAACTGCATTTTTTTTTTTTTTTTTTTTTGAGACGGAGTCTCGCTCTGTTGCCCAGGCTGGAGTGCAATGGCACGATCTCAGCTCACTGCAACCTCTGCCTTCCAGGTTCAAGCAATTCTTCTGCCTCAGCCTCCGGAGTAGCTGGGATTACAGGTGCCCACCAGCATGCCCAGCTAATTTTGTATTTTTAGTAGAGATAGGGTTTCACCATGTGGGCCGAGGTGGTCTCAAACTCCTGAGCTCAGGTGATACACCTGTCTCAGCCTCCCAAAATGTTGGGATTACAGGTGTGAGCCACCATGCCTGGCTGTAACTGCAGTTTGTGTCATTACTCTTTTTTTTTTTTTTTTTTTTTGAGACGGGGTTTCCCTCTTGCTGCCCATGCTGGAGTGCAATGGCGCAATCTTGGCTCACTGCAACCTCTGCATCCTGGGTTCAAGTGATTCTCTTGCCTCAGCCTCCCAAGTAGCTGAGATTACAGGCATGTACCACCACGCCGGGTTAATTTTGTATTTTTAGTAGAAATTGGGTTTCACCATTGTTGGTCAGGCTGGTCTCGAACTTCTAACCTCAGGTGATGCAACCACCTCAGCCTCCCAAAGTGCTGAGATTACAGGCATGAGGCACTGTGCCGGCCATTAAAGTAATGGCAAAAACCACAATAACTTCTGTGCTAACCTAATAAAACTGGTTACTGTAACTATATTGGGAAGACATGGAAATGGACAACTTATAGCCTTAGCTAGCTAGCAGAAGGTCAACTGCCTCAATAAGATACATCAAAAAATAGATATCAGCATAACACATGGACAGAAGTCAGAAATTCAAGTGATCAGAAAGTGGGAAGATAATGGAAACTTGTCAGATGAGTCTAGTGTTGAAAAAAATAGAAGTTGGTGGGGATTATGACAAAATGAGCAAAACTGTGTGAATGGGAAGCCATTACTTGACTCTAGGGTCAATTAATGACATATGAGAATCTTTTGATTATTTTTAGACTGACCTAAAATAAGATTTTTACGTAAAAGTACCTGCTATTTTAAATATTGGCAATTAATTAAATCATCTGCAAATAGACTGCGTGGGCCAACTGGAACACAGTTGAGCTGCTAGGTAGCAGGCTCTGATGTGATCTCAAGCACCAGAAACAGATATACGAATTAAAAGGGATTCTTGTTTCTCATCAGAAGCCTTTCTCTACTATTTGATATTTCACTCTGTGTGTGATAATATGCTCACGGAAAATGCCTCCTTTGTTCTTACTATTATTTTTATAAATCATAACATTAATATATCTTCACTACAGAACAAAAGAAAATGTAGATTAGACAAAACAGCCATCCAAAATTCATCACCCAGAGATCACCACCACTGTTAACATTTTTGTGTGTTTCCATTCTGTATTAGGCCATTCTTGCATTGCTATAAAGAAATACCTGAGACTGGGTAATTTATAAGAAAAGAGGTTTCATGGCTCATGGTTCTGCAGGCTGTATAGGAAGCATACTGCTGGCATCTTTCTCTGGGGAGGCCTCAGGGAGCTTCTACTCATGGTGGAAGGCAAAGCAGGAGCACATCATATGGCCAGAGCAGGAGCAAGAGGGAGTTGCGGGGGGCAGGTGCCACATACTTTTAAATGACCAGATATCACAAGAACTCACTCACTGTCATAAAGACAGCACCAAACTATAAAGGATTCTCCTGACAACACAAATGCCTCTCACCAGGCCTCATCTCAGGCACTGGGGATTACAATTCAACATGCGATTTGGGCAGGAACAAATATCCAAACTATATAATGTCCTGCATACAGTAATCAAACTGAAATCTGTCTTGAAATATGCTTTCCACCCACTTTCTGTATTCTGAATATAAGATTATTTACTTGGAATTATCCTAAAATCCTCAAAGTAAGACTTGGGTGTGTGTATGTGAGATTGGACTAGGCTGGAAATGGCCCTGCAGCATATAGGAATCCTCTTGCCCTGGGTGGGTCTCCAGGTTAGGGATGGGTGTTAGCCCATCTCCTGTGTTATTAGCAGGGAGTGCCCACATTCCTGGGATGTTGACGGGGATGTGTATAAGTGGAGGATGGAGAGGAGGTTGTTAAAAGCAAGAATACATTTTTTTTTCCAGAAAATATTTTGGCAGAAAAGAAGTGCCTTCCAAAGGTAGCCAAGGAATTTTAAAATATTCTTATTGCTTTCGCAGGTTGAGTGGGCCCGTCATGTGAATGTTGGCTACTGAAAAGGTATAAACATTTTGAAAACATTCTCTTTGCACCAACTGTTCCTTTAGTTAAAATAACTTGAGTCAAGAGTCTTTGAAAATGCAGTTCTTGTTATATTTTCTGGAAGAGACTGAAAAATATAAAAATTATCGGGAGATCTTTTCCTCCCAAAAAGCAGGAATATGGGCTGGACATGGTGGCTCATGCCTGTAGTCTGCTTGTAATCCTAGCTCTTTGGGAGGCCAAAGCAAAACGTTCACTTGAGGCCAAGAGTTCAAGACCAGCCTGGGCAACATAGCAAGACCCCTTCTCTAAAAATAAAAAATAAAAATAAATTCAGGAATGGGGATGTGACGGTGTCTTGCATGTGATGTTCTTTGAAGGGAGCAATTGTTATGGTGATTATCATCTATTTTAAGTAAACTAGTCCATGAACATGTGCATTATAAAACAAGCATATTGAGAGGAGGTGAGTTGCTTTGCCAAAGTTCTTTTTTTTTTTCTGAGACAGGGTCTCGCTGTGTTGCCCAGGCTGGAGTGCAGTGGCCTGATCTTGGCTTACTGCAAGCTCTGCCTCCCAGGTTCACTTCATTCTCCTGCCTCAGCCTCCTAAGTAGCTGGGACTACAGGTGGCCACCACCACGCCCGGCTAATTTTTTTTTTTTTGTATTTTTAGTAAAGACGGGGTTTCACCATGGTGGCCTGGATGGTCTCGATCTCCCGGCCTCATGATCCTCCTGCCTTGACCTCCCAAAGTGCTGGGATTACAGGCATGAGCCACTGCACCCGGCCCAAAGTATCTTTTTAAATAGAGAGATTGGTCTCAAGGATCTTTGATCTAGAGCCTTTTTCCATAGATTTTAATCTAACAATCAATAAACCCATGTCACGTGGCATACAGCATGTCTACAATCCTACCTTTCATAACTTGTAAAATCCTCCTTATCATCATGACAAATTTGTAGCAAGAATCTTATTTGCCTAGAATGCACATACAGAAATTAAAGATCCAGAAAATTTTTTGGATTGAACTTGATCACAGCCGTGATTGAGTCCATGCAAGAGGTTGGATGTGCATGTGGTAGATGGCACATGCTGTCAAATGGGGCAGTAGCAGTTGAGCAGTTATAGTCACGCTCACACAGTAGTGGTTGAGCAGTTATAGTCACACAGCAGGGGGGCAGCTCCTGCTGCTCCCTTCATCATGGGCTGGGCTCTAGTCTCATGCTTTATACACATCACATCCTTTAATTCTCATAATAGTCCCATGAAGCAGGTACTATTACTGTGTCTATTCTACTTCAGGAAGCTAAGGTTTGGGCATTTTGGAAACCTTTCTAAAGGTCACACGATCAGTAAATATTACAGCTTGGATTGGAACTAAGCTATGTGGAAGGATGGAGTCTTAGTTGCTATGCTATCTTCCAGGATTCTGATTTCTACCTGTTACTTTGTTAATATGCATTTTTATGGGCAAGGTGAAGTTCAAGCATATGAAAGTAAGTAATTCAAGATCTAAGCTGTTGGAACTTTAAAATATTTTGAGCCTTAAGGTAATGTGATTATAGGTCTCGAGTCACAGGACAGGCAGCTATAACCTAGGCAGTTGTAACCTTTATTTCTCTGATTATAGATTGGCCTTTTTCCTTACCTACATTGTCTTGTAAAACTTTGCAAATGACTAAAGGGCACCAGGGAAGACTCCTTCCAGCTTCATTGCTGATCTTTGTTATAGATTAACCTCTCTTTCACCTTTCTCACACAAAGACTCCACATTATCTAAGATGGAAGGTTAAATACACTCTTTGGAAAGGAAGTGAAACAAGCTGTACAGAAAACTGTAATTAATTAAATTGTTGTAACTCATAAACCAGCCTATTATAGAAAATTTCTTTGTTTTCTGCCTATATAAGTAACACCTTAACGTTTTACTTTGGAGCACTCACTCTATCTCTTTGGAGTTCATTGCCAGTTTTTCACTTAAATCAACTCTTGAAGCTGGATTCTGGGCTGGGCTCAGTGGCTCATACCTGTAATCCCAGCACTTTGGGAGGCTGAGGTGGGAGGATCACTTGAGCCCGGGAGTTCAAGACCAACCTGGGCAACATAGGGAGACCCTGCCTCTACAGATTAAAAAAAAAAATGAATTCTGATCCTTTCAATTATTTCAGGTTGACAAGGAAAATCTCCCAAATAGGTGTGAATCCAAGATCACCATCCCCATCTCCAAATCCTGGGTGAAGCAGACATAATAACAATATCTACATGAGTTTATAAAAGCTAATGACCCTCACAGTTTTATATTTATGGACTAGGGGCCACCCACTAAGTCACAGTGTATAACTTGCTTTAACGAACTTCCACAAAACAATGCAGATAGCTGACACATTTCCACACATCCATGCTACTGAAAGTGAGACAGGCAGATAGTTGGCTAGAACTGAAGGGAACAGGTAAAAAGGGTAAGGTGGCTAAAATCCACATTTCCAAGGAGAAAGAGAAAAAGTCTCAAAATTTTAACCTTTTGTTCAGAAAAGGAGAAAACCTTTTCGCACCACAGCTTGTAAACCAGTGGTCCAGTGGAATTGTCTTGTTTGGCCTATACAGTGTTTGAGAAAGAAATGTAAAAAGTTGCCTCTACTGAAAAATGAGATTTTGCATGAAAATGTGGTTTTCCTGCTTCTCTTTAAAAACCGTAACGTTAGGTGTTAGATGGTGTCTGAAGAGCGTTGTTTGTATTGGAGGCGGACTAGCAGGGTGAGGGGCTCTGGGGTCACTCACAGCGATCTTGGCTTTGATGGCAGCCAGCTTCTCCTGGGCAGCTGTGAGGTCCGCGGTGGCTTTGTTCAGTGCCTGGCGCTTGGGTTCCACATCACAGAACACCTCATAAAATCTCACAATATTGATGACCCAGGAGCAGAGGCCTGCAGCCGCATAGGATTTGGTGGCCACAAACTCAGGATTGAACTCGGGGTCTTGCAGATACGGCCTGATGGCTTTGAGGCAGTTCTCGTGAATGTTCTCTTTGTTGAAGTTTATTAGCGAGTCCAGGAAGCCATCCACTTTGGCCATGGTGACCTTAGCAGCCTTCCAGCTCCGGTCCTTGGGCACCCTACCCCTGGGAGCCATCAGTACCATCACCGCAGCGCTGACATTGCTGACGGCCAGAGGCGGAGAGCCAAATGACTTCAGCTCTGTCAGGTTGGTCTGGGAAAAGAGAAGGAGGTGGTTAGGGGAACATGAATGGGCTTTCTTTGTCCTCTGCCACTGATGGAGTTAGGTTGTGGAGCGATCGGTTTGAAAGGGCTGCTTTGAAGCCTGCAGCAGCCCTCTGAATTTTAAATATCATGACTCATCAAAAGGAAACCAAAGCTACTCCTCAGTGGCTTCAGACTTCTCTGAATGGTTAGCCAAGACTCAGCTATGTTCTTTCAGCACTTTAACTGACTCGCAGCCCATTAGAAACACACAATTATTTCACATTCAACTGAGAAATACAAGGATGCCGACATACTCTGAAATATGCAGCATGCTATGAATAAAAGATAAGGTTATTATAAATTAATTTCCATCTTGGATTGAAGAGAATAGCACTGTAACCCAAGTAATTTTTTTTTCCTTAATTAAACTGCTTTGTTCCATGAGCTTGTTCTAACTACACTTGACTGTCCTGATAGCAAAACAGCATTTTCTGCCAAGAAATAATTCAGACAGAAACAAGGCACAGCCTGTGAGTCAGCTGCTCTGCCTGGTCCTGGGTTTGTCCTTTGCTCAGAGTTTTGCTTGTTCCAGAAAGACACGGCTGAAAGAGTTGATCTTGGCAAATCACTTAAACCTTCCAGAACTTGCCACCTTCATCTGTAAATTGGGGGCAGGAGAACTCGCTACTCTGTACATAAAATGGTGTCATAAATGCGTATGAAGTTGATTTAAGGCCTGCTATGACATTCGGTGAGAAGCCTACAATCAGGTGTAGGGAATTCTAATTTTCTGTTGCTTGGGCATCCATTTTGAATATAGGTTTAACTTTATTCATACCAGAAGCAGGGCTCAGTTACCCTGGATACAGTTTCCAGTTCTATACCACACCCAAATGACTCAAGCCAGTAGCCAGAGAATTTGGATCTCTCCTAGGCAGGAGCTCCCTGCTTGCCTGCCACTTCCTTTAAAGGGACCATTCAGGCATTTGCTGAAAACCTAAAGTGACCCACATCCTACTTTCTTATATATACTTATATATTAACATAAGATATATCTTATATTAAATATGAGAAATATATTTCTTGTATATACTTTCTTTTATATATATATATACACATCCTACTTTCTTTTATATATACACACTTTCATATATATATATATATATATATATATATATATATATATATATATATACACACACACACACTTTCTTATATATATCTCTTATATATACTGCCGGTTGCCATGCACTTCTATGCACTTCTCTTTCTCTCTGCCTCACTCTTCATTCCTACCTGTCGTGACCCAGGGACAGAGCACTACCCTCCCAACTCATTGCATTCTCCCTGCTCAGGATCTGTAAGTAAAAATATTTGAATGTGTTTCCTGTTGTGGTGGTATACTGAATTTGCACCTTCCATCTGAAGAACCAGGGGCTGCTCCAGGCTGGGTTTTCTCCAGGTACTGGGCTGAGCTCCCAGCTCAGAGTGATGGTCAGGCAGGCATAAACTGGACATGGATTGGACAAGAGCCACAAGGGGATCCGCCAATATAAACAAATTTCCCATGTGAAGGACCCCCTGGTCATGGGTCAGACAGCTAAGCATTAGGCTGTCTGCCAGGTGAAAGAAATATCCGTGAAAGGTACATTGCAGACTCCCACGCCCAGCTCCCTACCACTTCCTATTAGGGCAGTGGAGCCCCAATGTAGCTGGAGGCTCTTAAAATGCTGTGAAACCATTTGCTTATGGCGCTAACTTTGTCAGTGGGGGGACAACTTGATTTCAAAAATTAGATTCTTATGCCAAATTAATTTGAGGTGCTCTTGATCCACAAACAAAGAGAATTATTTCTAGCTCCGAATGGAAGTACTGTGGCAGATGCTCCTTTCATTCTTGCAATGGATTTCACATTTGGTCCCAATACACCTGTGAGGGCAGGGAGGTAGGCAGCACAGGTGTGAGAGGGATACCAGCACACCTGTTGTCACGGCCCCCTGAGGTGACAGAGGGCAAAGTGAGAAAATACAAATGTAACCAAAGAATGCCATGATTTTAAAACAGCATAAGTTAAGCAATGTACAGAGATGAAAATGAATTTTATAACCCAGATATATCACGGTCGATGTTTCCACGTACAGTAACTCCTCCTTCCAGTCTTTTTCATATTCATATATATCTATAAATTAATCATGACTCTTTTGGTTTTAGTGACAGAAACCCTAGATGAAGTACACAGGGAGATTTTCTCACTCGAATATCTGGCAAGGGCAGGCATGGAGCTGGCAGTATGATGAGTGGAATCCCATTCTCAATGTTGTCGGCAGGGCTCTGTGGACTTTCTCTTCCTTCCCTGTCTCCCTGTGTGTGGGTTGCTTTTTTACACCCCAGTTTCTTCATGTTGGAAGGCACACGGTCTAACTCTCTGACTGTGGCCCACTTTCTCCTTTTCTCACTAGGCTGTAGCTGTGATCACCTTCTTTCAGTGTATTGACTTGCCAAGCTCATTGCCACCTCAGGTCTCTGCCTGGAACACTTCCTCCTAAGACATTTGCATGGCTGATACCTCTGCATCCACCAAGATCTCAATTCTGGCTGGGCATGGTGGCTCACGCCTGTAATCCCGGTACTTTGGGAGACTGAGAAGGGAGATCACCTAAGGTCAGGAGTTCGAGACCAGCCTGGCCAACATGGTGAAAACCCCATCTGTACTAAAAATACAAAGATTAGCTAGGTGTGATGGCAGGCGCCTGTAACCCCAGCTACTCTGAGGCAGGAGGCTGAGGCAGGAGAATCACTTGAACTTGGGAGGTGGAGGTTGCAAGGAGCCAAGATCATGCCATTGCACTCCAGCCTGGGTGACAAGAATGAAACTCCATCTCAAACAACAACAACAACAACAACAACAACAACAAAACAACCTCAATTTAAACGACCCCCACCCTGTAAGACTCTACCCACCAACCTCCCCTTCTTAGTCATTTCCCATCCTAGAGCCATGATGGTTTCCTTCAGAGAACCTGAAATGATTCTCAGTTTTTCCTTGTTGACTTACTGTATCCCTCCTCTTCATGAGAGCAGGGACCTCCATTTATCTTGTTAACCATGGAAGCCCCAGTGTCCAGAACAGAAGAAATTATGTAGTAAATGCTTGTCAAAATATGTGTTGAGTGATTGGATGGAAAGAGAAGGGAAAGAGACTTTTTATCCAATGCAAGTCAAAATTTAAAAAATCCCTGGGTAAAGATCTTGTTTGGTTAAGCATGGGCCCTCAAGTCAACTCTCATGGGGCAGGCAGATAGAGCAGCGTGGTGCTAATAGAAACACAAGGCTGGAAGAAACTTTTTTTTTTTTTTTTTGACATGGAGTCTCACACTGTCGCCCAGGCTGGAGTGCAGTGGCATGTTCTTGGCTCACTGCAACCTCCACCTCCCGGGTTCAGGCGATTCTCCTGCCTCAGCCTCCCAAATTACAGCTGGGATTACAGGCACCCGCCACCACCCCTGGCTAGTTTTTGTATAGTAGTAGAGACAGGGTTTCATTATGTTGGTCAGGCTGATCTTGAACTCCTGACCTCAAATGATCCACCTGCCTCGGCCTTCCAAAGTGCTGGGATTACAGGCGTGAGCCGCCATGCCTAGCCTGGGAGAAACACTTCTCAGAAGGCAGGAATTGTTAGGCACAGGCGCTCTGGGCTCCACTCCACTCTGTCTTAGGACTATTGTTCTAGCTGTATGGCTGCTCTTCCCCAAATATCTGCCCGATGCATTTGTTCTTCTCCAAGTTTTTCTCAGACGTCTCCTTCCTAAGAAGGCCTACCACCTCTGCCTCCTCCCACCCATCCTCTCCAGATGCCCAGCCTCATTGCTTCTCCTACTCTACTCCACATTTTTCTTTTTTCCCCACAGCATCTGTCATGCTCTACTACATTATATAAGTCACTTTGAAGTTGTATTTATTGTCTCTTGCCCCTTACTTCTGCTAGAGTATAAGCTTCAGAGAGGCAGGGATCTTCCCTCATGGATGTATCACATGTACCCAGAGCAGTGCCTGGCATAGGAAGAGCACTCAAAAAGTCTTTGTTGAGTGAATAAATGAATGAATCAATATGTGTGCAGTCATCATTGGACAAATATTATTTAGTATGTACTAGGCATTCAGTTTGAGTGACGGGGATACAAGAAAGGCAAAGTCCTTTTGCTCATTCAGGTGGGGGAGACAGGCAACAAAGAGATAGATCTTTGATATTTTAAATACTGAGAAAAACAAACACAAGGGCTCAGGAGAGAGAATTCTTGGAATGTGATGATGCCACATTAGTTAGGAAGGTCTCTTCCTCTGGGAAGGCATCTTCAAGAAGCTACATTTCACTGGGATCTCAATGATGGGAAATGGCCAGCTCTACAGACTGCAGGAAGACTGTTCCAGGCTGCTGAGCAAGCAAGTGTAAAGGCCTGTGGCAGAAGCAAGCTTGGCTATGATGTACAGTGGGGAGGACAGTCCAGAGAGTGGTGGAGAGGATGGCTGAGAGGCAGCTGGGGCCAGACCACCAGAGGCTCCGGAGGCCATGGGAAGAAGTATGAGGAGTATGGATTTTACTCTAATTTCACTGGGAAGCCACTGGTGTGTTTTCGGCAGGGAATGGAATGATGAGGCTTATGCTCTCAGATATGCTTGTTGCAGTGCAGACACACTGTGGCAGGGGAGAGTGGATGAGGAACAAGAGAGTCAGGAGGTAGCTTAGCCATCTAGGCAGGGAACTGAAGGTGGCTTGGTCCAGGCTTTTTGCAGGGGAGATGGTGAGAAGTGATTGGATTTGGGACATATTTTCGAGCTAGTGTAGGCAGAACTTATGAATACTTTTACAAAGAGGTGGCCAGGTGCGGTGGCTCACGCTTGTAATGCCAGCACTTTGGGAGGCCAAGGCAGGTGGATCACGAGGTCAGGAGATCGAGACCATCCTGGCTAACACGGTGAAACCCTGTCTCTACTAAAAATACAAAAAGTTAGCCGGGCATGGTGGCAGCCGCCTGTAGTCCCAGCTACTTGGGAGGCTGAGGCAGGAGAATGGCGTGAACCCGGGAGGCAGAGCTTGCAGTGAGCCGAGATCATGCCACTGCACTCCAGCCTGGGCGACAGAGCGAGACTCCATCTCAAAAAAAAAAAGAGGTGTGAGAGAAGGTCACTAGTTCTTCTAGAGAGGATTTTTAAAAAGTCTGTATATGGACAATCTACACTTTATCTAAAATTTATCTAATTTCTGAAAATGTAAGTCATTTCCCAGAATTTACCTCACAGATAATGCTTTGCTGAACATTGTTCTATGTAAGTGAAAATTTTAGTTACTTACGGCAATCTTCTTGGAAGTGGGATTTGCCGGGTCAAAGGGTAAAAACATTTTTAGTATTCTTTGTACAAATTGTCATTAATAATTATTAAATTATTTAACAATTATTTGATTTATTCAATAATTATTCAATTTATTAAATTATTATTAGTAATAATTATTATTTCTCAGAAATTTCAATCCCAATCATCAGTATTTGAGATAACCTATATGCACTCCCATCCTTTCAACACTGGGAAATATTATTTAAATAAAAAAAAGGATAGATTAAAAATAAGATCACAATATTGGTTTAATTAATGTATGCATATTATGCAAATATATGTGTATTTACTAGTGATGCTAAACTTTTTTTTCATGTTGACAAACTATTTGGAGTTTTTATTTTGTGAGTTGTTTGTTCTTGTCCTTTGCCTACATTTCTACTGGGCTATTTATCTTTTTCTTTTTGATTACTGTAATTGTTAGGGTTTCTGCAGGCAAAATGATGATACAACACACCAGCTCTTTTGAGGACAGTTAACTAAAGGAACTATTTATGAAAGTGTAGATTGAAGAGACCTACGAGAGAGTACATTACTCTGGGCTAGTAATGTTAGGGTGAGTGGAGCTGGGGAGGTTCCAGTTCCACTCTGGGCTTGAGGAGAAAAGGGAGAGGAGGGGTTAGCAGAACCTGGAGAGACAGAGACAGAGAGCCCTCTGGAGAAGGAGCCCTACACGAGCTGTAACCGTTAGTGGAGGGCAGGTGGAGGCCGAAGAAATGACTACCGGGATCTCACTCTCTTTCTCCTTCCTATGACCTTCTGATACTCAGCATGGCCAAAGGTCACAAAAACCTAGAGGGCAAAGGCAGTCCATTGATATAATTCATGCAAATCAAGTCTCTCAGGTTAGGGAAAGAACAGAGTTGGGAAGGGCAAAGTGTAACTGGGTTGGGGGCAATAAGAGGAGGGGAGCAGAACGAATGGGAGATTCCCAGTACAATTCACGAGAGCTTTTCATATATAGAGAAGATTTATTCTTTTCACATATGTGTTGAAAATTTCTTTTAAAATTTTGTTTATGGCACTGGTACCAAAACAGACACATAGACCAGACCAATGGAACAGAATAGAGAACCCAGAAATATAAGGCCACACACCCACACCCATTTGATCTTCAACAAACCTGACAAAAACAGGTCATGGAGAAAGGACTCCCTATTCAATAAATGGTGCCGAGATAACTGGCTAACCATTATGTAGAAGATTAAAACTGGACCCCTTCCTTACAACATATACAAAAATTAACTCAAGATGGATTAAAGACTTAAATGTAAAACCCAAAATTATAAAAACCCAAGAAGACAACCTAGGCAATACCATTCTGGACATAGGAATGAGCAAGGATTTCATGACAAAGATACCAAAAGCAACTGTGACAAAAGCAAAAATTGACAAATGAGATCTAATTAAACTAAAGAGCTTCTGCACAGCAAAGAAAACTATCAACAGGGTGAACAGAGAATCTACAGAATAGGAGAAAATTTTTGCAAGCTTGGATCTGACAAAAGTCTAATATCCAGCAGCTATAAGGAACTTAAATTTACAAGAAAAAAACCACCTCATTAAATCCTATTCAACATAGTGTTGGAAGTTCTGGCCAGGGCAATTAGGCAGGAGAAGGAAATAAAGGGTATTCAATTAGGAAAAGAGGAAGTCAAATTGTCCCTGTTTGCAGACGACATGATTGTATATCTAGAAAACCCCACTGTCTCAGCCCAAAATCTCCTTAAGCTGATAAGCAACTTCAGCAAAGTCTCAGGATACAAAATCAATGTACAAAAATCACAAGCATTCTTATACACCAATAACAGACAAACAGAGAGCCAAATCATGAGTGAACTCCCATTCACAATTGCTTCAAAGAGAATAAAATACCTAGGAATCCAACTTACAAGGGATGTGAAGGACCTCTTCAAGGAGAACTACAAACCACTGCTCAAGGAAATAAAAGAGGATACAAACAAATGGAAGAATATTCCATGCTCATGGGTAGGAAGAATCAATATCGTGAAAATGGCCATACTGCCCAAGGTAATTTACAGATTCAATGCCATCCCCATCAAGCTACCAATGACTTTCTTCACAGAATTGGAAAAAAACTACTTTAAAGTTCATATGGAACCAAAAAAGAGCCCGCATCGCCAAGTCAATCCTAAGCCAAAAGAACAAAGCCGGAGGCATCACGCTACCTGACTTCAAACTATATTACAAGGCTACAGTAACCAAAACAGCATGGTACTGGTACCAAAACAGAGATATAGATCAATGGAACAGAACAGAGCCCTCAGAAATAACGCCGCATATCTACAACTATCTGATCTTTGACAAACCTGAGAAAAACAAGCAATGGGGAAAGGATTCCCTATTTAATAAATGGTGCTGGGAAAACTGGCTAGCCATATGTAGAAAGCTGAAACTGGATCCCTTCCTTACACCTTATACAAAAATCAATTCAAGATGGATTAAAGACTTAAACGTTAGACCTAAAACCATAAAAACCCTAGAAGAAAACCTAGGCATTACCATTCAGGACATAGGCATGGGCAAGGACTTCATGTCTAGAACACCAAAAGCAATGGCAACAAAAGCCAAAACTGACAAATGGGATGTAATTAAACTAAAGAGCTTCTGCACAGCAAAAGAAACTACCATCAGAGTGAACAGGCAACCTACAACATGGGAGAAAATTTTCACAACCTACTCATCTGACAAAGGGCTAATATCCAGAATCTACAATGAACTCAAACAAATTTACAAGAAAAAAACAACCCCATCAAAAAGTGGGCAAAGGACATGAACAGACACTTCTCAAAAGAAGACATTTATGCAGCCAAAAAACACATGAAAAAATGCTCACCATCACTGGCCATCAGAGCAATGAAAATCAAAACCACAATGAGATACCATCTCACACCAGTTAGAATGGCGATCATTAAAAAGTCAGGAAACAACAAGTGCTGGAGAGGATGTGGAGAAATAGGAACACTTTTACACTGTTGGTGGGACTGTAAACTAGTTCAACCATTGTGGAAGTCAGTGTGGCGATTCCTCAGGGATCTAGAACTAGAAATACCATTTGACCCAGCCATCCCATTACTGGGTATATAGCCAAAGGACTATAAATCATGCTGCTTTAAAGACACATGCACACGTATGTTTATTGCGGCATTATTCACAATAGCAAAGACTTGGAACCAACCCAAATGTCCAAAAATGATAGACTGGATTAAGAAAATGTGGCACATATACACCATGGAATACTATGCAGCCATAAAAAATGATGAGTTCATGTCCTTTGTAGGGACATGGATGAAATTGGAAATCATCATTCTCAGTAAACTATCGCAAGAACAAAAAACCAAACACCGCATATTCTCACTTATAGGTGGGAATTGAACAATGAAAACACATGGACACAGGAAGGGGAACATCACACTCTGGGGACTGTTGTGGGGTCGGGGGAGGGGGGAGGAATAGCATTGGGAGGTATACCTAATGCTAGATGACGAGTTAGTGGGTACAGCACACCAGCATGGCACATGTATACATATGTAACTAACCTGCACATTGTGCACATGTACCCTAAAACTTAAAGTATAATAATAAATAAAAAAAAAAAGATGGTAAAAAAAAAGTGGACAAAGGACATGAACAGACACTTCTCAAAAGAAGACATTCATGTGGCCAACAAACCTATGAAAAAAAGCTCAACGTAGCTAATCATTAGAGAAATGCAAATCAAAACCGCAATGAAATACAATCTCACGCCAGTATTGGGTCCTAGGCTTAGTATCTGGGTGATGAAATAATCTGTACAACAAACCTTCATACCTTCATGACACAAGTTTATCTATATCACAAGCTTGCACATGTACCCTGAACTTAAAAGTTAAATGATAAAAAAAGATGTTACTGGCTGGGTGTGGTGGCTCATGCCTGTAATCCAAGCACTTTGGGAGGCTGAGGCAGGTGGATCACAAGGTCAGGAGTTTGAGACCAGCCTGGCCAGCATGGTGAAACTCCGTCTCTACTAAAAATACAAAAAATTAGTCGGGCATGGTGGTGTGCGCCTGCAATCCCAGCTACCCTGGAGGCTGAGGCAGGAAAATCACTTGAATCCAGGAGGTGGAAGTTGCAGTGAGCCGAGATCGCTCCATTGCACTCCAGCCTGGGTGACAGAGTGAGACTCTGTTACCATGATGTGGCTTCAAAGGAAATGACTAAAACAAAATTTCAAAAAAATCTTTCTTCACGTTGTAATAATATATTAATGTACAAAATATCAAAATACAATCTGGACTTTTCCCTTCAAGATTATAATAAATTATTAAACTTCTATTTAATGCAAAAAAGTTTGTTTATGGTATTTTGTGATCTACAGAAATTTAAAGCTTTTAAGAAGTCACATTTAACAGTCCTTTTCTAAATATAGTTCTTTGTTTCTGCATTTAGAAAGACCTTTCACATACATAAAAACTGATCTGAAAACTTTTGAGAAGTTTTCTAGTTCTTTTACAGTTTTATTTCTTTATTATTCTTAACTGTTCTACAAGATAATACTGTTTTGTCCATTTATTAAGAGTATATACTTATTGTGGAATATTAAGCAAAGATAAAAAACAAGATTCATAATTTTACTAACCAGAGATAAAACATTATGTCCTGGTGTGATTCATTCAGTAGCTTTCTTTTTTATGTCTCTCTATTATTCTCTCTCTCTCTATGTGTATATATATATATATATATATATATATACACACACACACACACACACACAAACACATATACATGTATATATACAAATATACATATCAATCACTATACTAATTTCAAACCTACTGTTTTACTGAAAATAAAATCTGAAAGTTTTTCTTGTCAATTATTTTTGCAAATATGATTTAAAATAAACAATGCACACTTTTCTTCCATCTGAATATACATAATTTATTTGGCTAACTTTATATTATTGAACATGTAGGTTATTGGATCTTTAATAATTGGTTAAATGATAAGAACTTTTAATAACAGTAGAGATGAATATGCCAAAAATCAAATTGGAGTTCAATTAGAGTAGTATTTTATTTTTAAGTAAATTGGAGAAATAGTGTCCTTACAAAATTGAATCTCCTAGTACACAAAGTATATATGTTTATTCATATCTTTTAAAATATCCTTCAATAAGGATATGTAGTTTTCTTCACAGTTTCAACAAATTTCTTTACACTTATTTGTACCATATGTTTTGGTTGTTATTTTGAAAATATATTTTCTAACTGGCTATTGTGGATATTAGGAAAGGTATTGCATTTTAAAATTTATTTTGCAATGAGTCCTTAACTTTCCCTTTTATTTTTTATATCATCCATAAATAATATTATGTTTGATATTTCACAACATTTAGGTGATTAAGTATTTTAAATTTATTATTGCATTGGCTAGAAATCCAGGACACATTTTTGAATTACAGTAGTGAAGGGAGCTGTCATTGCACTTTCTCTACGTTAATGACAGTGCCTCTTGGATTCTGTCATTAGATGGAATGTTTTGCTCCTGGATTGGGATTGGTTTTCATCTGCTAGCGAAATAGCCAAATATTATTTTATTCCTACTTTACTGAGAGTTTTAATGAGGAACAGATGTTGAATTGTGTTAAATATCATTTTGACATTTCTCAAGGTGACTGTGATGGTTAACATGAAGTGTCAACTTGATTGGATTGAAGGGTGCAAAGTATTGTTCCTGGGTGTGTCTGTGAGGGTGTTGCCAAAGGAGATTAACACTTGAGTCAGTGGACTGGGAGAGGCAGACCCACTCTCAGTTTGGGTGGGCACCGTTTAATCAGCTGCCAGCACTGCTAGAATAGCTAGAATAAAGCAGGCAGGAGAAGGTGGGAGAAGCTGACTTGCTGCGTCTTCTGGCCTTTATCTATCTCCTGTGCTGGATGCTTTCTGCCCTCTAACATCAGACGCCAAGTTCTTCAGGCTTTGGACTCTTGGACTTACACCAGTTGTTTTCCAGGGGCTCTCAGGCCCTTGGCCACAGACTGAAGGCTGCACTGTCAGCTTCCCTACTTTTGAGGTTTTGGGACCCGGACTGGCTTCCTTGATCCCCAGCTTGCAGATAGCCTATTGTGGAGCTTCACTTTGCAATGGTAGGAGTCAATACTCCTTAATAAACTCCACTTCATATATACATCTATCCTATTAGTTCTGTCCCTCTAGAGAACCTGACTAATACAGTGACTACAAAGCTTTTCTTTTTAATGTATGCTTGGGTATGCATACATAAATAGCATTATATACTAAATTAACTTTACCAGTTGGTGGCATATTGTTTGAATAAACTGCTAAAGTCAACTTACTTGTATTTCACGTTGATATCTTACACCACTATTAATAAGTTAGATCAATCTGAGGTTTTATTTTCTTGTGCTATATCTATCACTTTTAGTATTAAGCTTATAATGAAGACCCTGACTTCTCCTAGAATTCCCCAAATTATTTGATTTTAAAATCTTTTTTTATTACTTGTTAATATTAAGTTAGAGGACAAATAACAGACTGGGAACAATATTATAACATACATATACCAAGGGACTCATAGCAAAAGTTTATAATGAGAAACTGTATAAAAAGAAAGGAAGGAAGGAAATAAAAAGAAGGAAAACTACCTTGTGAGAAAATGGGCATAGGATCTGAGTAGGTAATGAACAGAAAAAGAAATCTAAAAATTTGAAAAGATGCCCATGTGAAAGGAAAATAAATCTCAGGACCCCAAACTCACTAAGCCAAAGGGAAAAGTCAAGCTGTGAACTGGGTCACGCAAACCCACCTCTCATTTGGTTCCTAAATAAAATAGCTACAAAGATAAAAAAGCTACATACTTCCCTCACAATTTGCCCACAAGGAAATTCCTTGTGGGCCCCAAGATCTTTATCCTAAAACAGTTCTGTTGAATTTCACCCTGACAATGTAAATTGACAGCTTATCTTCACAGGTACGGGACAAAGGACAGAACTCAAAATCATCCTTCTGTTCACCTGAGACAAATACATGTCTGATTGCTTCCTCTGCCCTATGTTTATATTATCTTATGTAAAAATGCAGATTCACTGAGCAAGATGGACGCATAAGTGACTGTTCCCCTACCCTCCTCTCACGTGTGAATGGCTGAACAAAGACTCAAAAGGATGCAACCATTTGCCTCTTAACTTACCCACACGCTTTAAAAAATGTTTTTTCTCTTTCCTCAATACCTGCTCCTTTCCTTTTAAACACTGAGGTTCCCAGAGCCTCTTTGGAAAAAGCATGGACCACATTTTTCTCGTGGCTCTGTGTTCTTTCCTGGGCATATCCTTAATCTTGGCAAATAAACCTCCTAAAATGATTGAGACTTGCCTTGATCATTTTCTTTGATCAACACCCAGTCTCATTAGAATGAAACCACTTAAAGTTAAAATAAAAGTGAGAATTTGAAAAGTCATTTCATTGAGTAAAACTGAAGTGACTAAAAATATCTAAGGTTGGCCAGGATGTGGGAGGAGCAGTGTTCAGAACTGTAAGAACAGCTATTTTGGATAGAAACTTGGCAGAATGTATTTTTAAAAAAGAGCATATTATTTTAAGAGGTTTCTATTGTTTCCGTAAGAAGTTAAAACAAACTTCCTGACTCAAAACAACATGGATGTACTATCTTGCCATTCTGGAGGTCACAAGTCCTAAAATCAAGGGGTTGGGAGGGCTGATTCCTTCTGGAAGCTTTTGTGGAGAATCCGTTGCACACCCTTTTCAGCTTCCAGAGGTTGTCCGATTCCTTGGCTCGTGGCCCCATATCACACAATATTTTCTTCCCTCTCCCTCTGTCATCACGTCACTTCCTTCTCCCGACCTTTTTTCTCTCTCTTCTATGGACCCTTGTGATTACTTAGGGCCCACCTGGATAATCCCAGATAATCCCCCTGTCTCAAGATCCTTAACTTAATGATATCTGCAAAGTCACTTTTGTTATATGAGGCAACATTCACATGCTTCAGAGATTAGGATGTGGAACTCTTTGGGGGAGAGGCATTATTTAGCCTACCATGTTGTTCTGTCAAGCAATTATACTTCTTGTTTGCCCAGAGAAATTCTTACACACAAACAATAAAGATATATGTATAAGGAAAATTGTATTGAAAAAAGTAAACTAAATGCTCAAAAATAGATAAATAATTAAATAGAATGCAGTACTATTAGACAGAGTACTATGAAGCATTAAATAAATGAGGTTTCAATACATGTACTGGCATGAAATAAAGTAATCTTGTATCAAGAGGGAAAGCGAGATTCCACATGTGAGACCATACAGTGTATTTCTGTTTATGTCTGACTCATTTCACTTAGCATAATGTCTTCTAGGCTCATTAGTGTTGTTGCAAATGCAGGATGTCTTTCTTGTATAATGTCGATGGACATTTATGTTTTCTCCATATTTTGGCTTTTGGGAATGAGGCTGCAATGAATAAAGGAGTGCAGATATCTCTATGAGGTGTTGATTTCATTTCCCTTGGGTATATACCCAAAAGAGGGATTGCTGGGTCATATGCTGTTTCTATTTTTAATGTTTTGAGAAGCCTTTGTATACTGTTTTCCATAGCAGCTGTACCAATCTGCATCCTCACCAACAGTGCACAAGCATTCCCATTTCTTCACACTTTGACCAACACATATTATTGCGTATGGGAAATTTGCTAAGAAAGCAGATTTTAGGTGCTCTCACTGTACATACATAAATATAACTATGTGAGGTGGTGAATATGTTAATTTGCTTGACTGTGGCAATCATTTTACTATGTATATGCATATCAAAAGCATCATACCTTAAATACATACAGTAAAACAGGAGGGAAAGTAATTTGGTAATTTCCATTTGTATTTAAGATTTGTTTTATATGTGCATTAATACAAACATAAATGTGTAGAAAAACTGCTGAAATAGACACACTCCAAATTATTATAGGAGCCATCACTAGGAGAGGTCAGGGGCTGAAGCGGAAAGTAAGGGTGACTTTTTGTTGACCCTATATATTCTATACTATTTGAGTTATTTTCTTTTTTTTTTTTTTGAGACAGAGTCTCGCTCTGTTGCCCAGGCTGGAGTGCAGTGGCGCGATCTCGGCTCACTGCAAGCTCCGCCTCCGGGGTTCATGCCATTCCTCTGCCTCAGCCTCCCGAGTAGCTGGGACTACAGGCGCCTGCCACCGTGCCCGGCTAATTTTTTGTATTTTTAGTAGAGACGGGGTTTCACCGTGTCAGCCAGGATGGTCTCGATCTCCTGACCTCGTGATCCGCCCGCCTCGGCCTCCCAAAGTGCTGGGATTACAGGCGTGAGCCACCGTGCCCAGCCCTTGAGTTATTTTCAGCAACAAAAATGCTGTTACCTATTATTTGTATAAGAAGAAATAAGTTCACTGTAAAAAGATGCATGGGAAATAAATAGACCATTCCAAGTAACTTTGAGGGGGTGGGAGGGAGACCATGAAATTGCAAGATAAACCATTCCTAAATGAAGGCAGAAAAAGTTATACTGGATTTATTTTAGTTCAGCTATAAAAACAAAATAAAACTGCCAAAATGGAGACTTAAAGTGTGCAGAGACTTACTACCCACCTCTGATTTATAGGTATTCTTTATGTATTAGCTAAAGATTTATTGCTAACTTTGAAAATAATGAGAAAACAGAGAAATGGTCCTTAAATACCAAAGTCCTGTGAGTGCAGAAGGGTTTAAAGACAGTCGAGGAGTCCTTGGGCTCATGGAGCAATATTCGTCCTTACTACAGGTGGTGTACTATGGACCACTCTATTTCATAAAAACGGGCTGTTGCAACCCAGTAATGCATTGCCACCTGTAGATTGTGAACCGGTCTACAGCTAAACTTCTTGGTGACGGATGGACTGTTAATTGTCTTGTTCAACTCACCTTTAGAGCCTCCCCTGCCACATCACCTTCTAAGCCACCCACTTCTGTACCCACAGCTCAGATATACCACACCCTTCATTCATCTGGGTCTTCACAGAGGTCGTTCCTTCCTGGGATGTTCTTTTCTACCACCTTCTCCATCTAGTAAAATACTTATCTTTATACTATCTGCTTCATGGGGTTTCTCTTCCCTATTTCCTACCTGGCCAGGCAGTTCACTATGCCTTCTTCTGTGATCTCAAGTCACTGAAATTTTTTAATTTTTATTTCTGCTAATGTAACACATGCACATAGTTTACAAGCTGTAATACCACTACAAGGCTGGGAACAAAACACATGCCCATTTCATGCCAGTTCTGTCTCTCTGGAAGTCACCACTTTCAGTTTCTGCACCATTACTTCTAGATTATACTCCTTACTGATAAAGAACATGCTTATGCTGCTACTTTTTCATTTAAGACATTATCAAGTGACTTCCTACCGTAGAATGTGAATATTTAGTTACCGTTACTGACTTCCTTTCCCTCTCCCCATTATGGTTATATCAAACTTTTAGTTAAATTAACATTCAGTATGCACATGAATATGACTATAACTATTGTTCACTTTGGATTAATTTCTTTCTTGTATATCTTAATTTTTTTCTGAAATTAATGAATGCCTTTATTATTTGCTTCCTGATGAGGTGACTTTTGGGCAAACACTTGAAAGAAGAGTGGGGAACCATGGAGATAGTTGGAAGATGAACCTTCTATGCAGAGGCAAGCACTAGTTCAAAGGTCCTGGGGTGAGACTGTGCTTGGAACATTTGAGACCCAGCAGGAAGGTTGGCGTGGGTGGAGTAGAACGGCAAAAGGAAGAGTAGTAACTGATGCAGAAGAGGTGGCACAGGCAAATAATGGAGTGCCTTTTAGGCCATGGTGACATCTTCGGGTTTTATTCTGAATGTGATGGGAAACCATGGAAGATTCTGAACACAGAGATGACATGGTCAAACACCTGTTTTACAAAAAGATTACTCAGATTGCTGTAACGGACAAAGACAGTGTTGGATTATGGGTAGGAGCAGAGAGAGCAACTTAGGGGCTATTGCCATAGTCCAAGGCAGAGATGATGGTGGCTTGGACCTGAGTGGTAGCAGTAGGGAGGATCCAAAGTATTTGAATTTTGGATATATTTTGAAAGTAGTTTGTTAATAGATTGGATGGGAGTGTAAAGTGACATAAAGAACCTGTTAATTCCTGTTTTCCCCTCTCTAATACTAGGGAAAAGAAACTGAGGAATCAAGGACTTCAGTGACTTGCACCAAGCTATACACTAGTTCGAGGACAGCATCTATCATATTACCTGGCACATAGTAGGTACTCATTCAAAATGAATTTTACTTCTGTTGTCTAGACTTCAAATCCAGTGTGATTTTCAGTATCCTATTCCATCACTTCACAAGTTACATACCTATTATTTATTTCAATCTATCAATTAATCAAATTAACCAACAGTATTTATAAATGTTCATTTTGTTTGCAGTTTTGTGGAAACAGAAGTGATAATTCTGGTTATGACAACATCACCACCACCACTACCAACAACAACAAATATTTACTGTGTAGCTATCATCTGTTAGCTACTTTTCATACACTAATCCTTGTAACAACGTAATGGGAATGGTATTATCATTGCTTCCATTTCACAGATGAGAAAACGCAAGCTCAGAGAAGATAAAATTATTCCCAGAGCCACAAAGTTACTAAGTAGTGCAACTAGTATTTGAACGATAGTCATCTTAGGAAATATAAAACCTGTATGAAAAGAACTTATGAAAGACGTTTGTCTTCTTGGCAAGGAATGATCAGTGAACAAGACATGAAGGTGTGTAAATAAAGTGGTTCTATCTTTTGTGTTCTGGAAATCAGAAACAGAAGGCATGGATCTGGAATGTAAGGTTGATTTCGCAATTTGGGTAAGATTTAGACGGAATGAATGGAGAGGGACCCTAAATGAGGAAGGGGGTGGGTACAGTCTAATTAAAGGCCTACAGGTGAGCAGAGTGTTGCTGTGAGGGGCCAGAGAGAAGCCTGTCTGGCTGTAGGAAAGCTTCAGGCTCAGAAACAGTGGTACAGCCGGGTCACACCTCTGATCCTGGCCTACCCAATGATATAACAAATTCCTAATGGAAAAATCTTGTGTTTTTCTTTGCAGTAGAGGCTCATTTAAGAACTTTACTGGTCTTGGACACCCTTACTTTTAGGGTTTCCTTATGCCACATCATAAAAAATACAAAAATGCACTCACATCTCACATTAAATATAATTTTATTATAACCATCTATAATAGGATTTTACAATGTGCCTAGTTGAGGCCCTGAGGCAATAGATGCTACATTCCAATGTGAGGTATGAGGTGACAATGCAGAATTCAAGAAGGTTTCAGAAGATTAGCTTTTTTGACTTTTCAACCCTTTACTCTAATTGAGGATATAAGAAAGTCAGGAGGTTAGAGATTAAGAGGAAACTTCCATGAGGATTACTGGTGCATCCCACCCACTGTGCCTTCAAGGGAGGATGTGGCAGCTACCCCTTTTCACATGAAATATGGAAGGAGGGACTTCAAAAAGACTACTCAGTGAGCTTAATATGTTTCTCCTGAAGTTTGACTGGCACGGTGGACTGGGGTCTAACTTACATCCCAGAAATCTAGAGTGCATACAAATAGCGGGCTAGCTCCGAGGCATGTGGGCAGAGTATTCGGCATGGGGGGCCTCTTAGAGCTTGTTCAGGGAAAGGTGGTGTGGAAATCTCCAGTGGACCAGATGTGAGCCACTTGCATGGCTCAGCCGCCATAGGTTGTTTTAGAACTTGCCCAAGTGTTTCATTTGAAGGAAGAAAGGGAACTGCCAGACTCTCGGGAGAAGGCAGAGAAAGCAATCTGTAGGGATGAGGTCCCCAGTGACTGGCAGAGGATCTCCAAAAAACATATGTGAGCATCTCAACAGAAAAGGGGGCAGCTTTCTGTCCATCTCTGGTGCCAACTCATAATGACTTGAGTCTGACTGCCCCTCTTTTCCTTCCACCTTTGCCTCTCAACCATGGTTATCCAAGTGGGAAAAAAAGTTAATTGTGAAAAATGAGAAAAGAAAAGAGTGGCTAAGCCTCGTGCCCTCCCCACCTTCCTTCCAGAGTAAATTTATGAGTTTAATTTAGTTGACATACAGTTATGTGGTTGCCACTTAATTACTTACCAATTTTGATTTTATAGATTAAAAAGTATATTTTGAGGCTAACATATTATTTTATTCTCTTATCTTAAACATTTAACATAAAAACCTTAAAGGGCTCGTGTGTCCCACAGAACCTAAAGGGCAAAATGGTCCTGGGTTACTGGAGCAGGAAGATCCCTGGGATTAGATTTTGAAGATGTAAATTCAAGTCTCTGCTCTAATATTTAAGTTTATGGGTCTGGCCTAGTCTGTCCTCCTCCCTGGGCCTTGGTTTTCTCATACATGAAGTAAGGAGTTTGGATCAGCTGACTTTTCATGTTCTGTCTGGTTCTAAGATTCCCATCTCCGGGATTTCATTGGTAGCTCATGGAACCGAAAAGATAGTCCTAAGAAATGTTTGCTTGCTTAATGAGCAAATCAGTGACAGTTGGAGCCCACCCTAAACTCTCCCAACATTGTCCTTGCATCTCTTGGGAATGCCAAGGTGGTCTCTGCGTCTACCAGCCCCTGAGGGATGAGCAGGTATGGCAGACAGTCCTCCTACCTTGTTCAGGGTGTTGAGAGCTGCCTGCGCTGCTGTGAGTGCTGGCTCAGCCTTTGCCAGGTCCTCCTCACAGTCCTTCTGCTTCTGTTTCACCTCTAGCATGATGACGGCCACCTTCTGCTCCTCTTCATCTGCCATGGCTTTCTCTCTGCTCACTTTGTCAGTCTCCACACCCACGACCTGAATCAGTTTGTCTGCATCTTCATTTTTCTGCTTCAGCTCTACTTCCTGGGCAGCCAGCTTTGCTTTCAGATCATCCACCTGCATTGGAGAAGCACGGGACTTATCAGGAGTTGTGACTGGAGGGACTGTGGGCACTGGACTAGTCACTGGCCTGTTGGGCATGACCTGAGGACCCAACTCTGTGGAGCAGAATAGATGACAGCTCCTGATACAAAGGTACAAAGCTGCGCTGTCAGATGGGACCAGGCTCCCTGACCTGGGTTTCTTTCCCAGGAACTCTTGATGTCCTCTCTCCACCATAGTAAATGTGCTGGAATATTCTAAATTACATGTGCCCTGACCTTTCTTTTTTATTTCTTCTTCTTCTTTTTTTTTTTTTTTTTTTTTGAGACGGAGTCTCACTCTGTCACCCGGACTGGAATTCAGTGGCGTGATCTCGGCTCACTGCAACCTCCGCCTCCTGGGTTCAAGAGATTCTCCTGTCTCAGCCTCTCAGGTAGCTGGAACTACAGGCATGTGCCACCAAGCCCAGCTAATGTTTGTATTTTTAGTAGAGATGTGGTTTCACCATGTTGGTCAGGCTGGTCTTGAACTCCTGATCTCAGGTGGTCTGTCAGCCTCAGCCTCCCAAAGGGTTGAAATTACAGGCATGAGCCACCACACCCGGCCCTGACCTTTCTCCCTGATGCCAAAACAGCTTAGGCTGCTTCTCACTGACATTGGTAGCTATTGCTTATAAAGCTTCATGTACTTAACATAATACTTTTCATATAGTAGGCCCTTAATAAAGATCAGTCATAATTTAATTAAAAGTAGCCAGTGTGGAGTGTGCCAAAGATTTAACAAGATACAAAAAGGGAATGTCTACTGTGAATCCTGAAAGACTGAATGTCCAAGTGGACAATGATAGAACATATATAAAAACTGACCTCTGATCCATAATCTGAAGCAACCTGCTTAGGAACCAACCCTTTTTCTACAATAACCAGCCCAGGAAGCCAGCTTGCTAAGTCAGACTTGTAGGAAGTCGGACTTCTATCTCTAGTAATATTGCAGGAAGACAAACAAAAACCCCTATAGCAAGTGGCTCCAAATGGCCAGGACTTGATTAACAATAAACAATTTCCTTAATTTTTATCCCTGCTTCCAACTGTGGACCACCCAGAGAAAGCCAAACATGCTCCCCTAACCAATCACATAGAACATCAGACTTCCAGTGAGCCCGCCTACCGCAGGGCACACTGGAAGCCTTCCCTCTTTTGACTATAAAGTTTTTTCACTTTTCTGCCTGCCTTTGAGTGGCTAAGCACAAGTAATGGTGGCTGACTTTCTTGCTAGAGCAAGCTCTGAATAAATAGCCTTTGATTGTTCTCATGTGATTGGTCTCCATTTATTTACACAGTCCTTACTAGAAATAGATGGCCAGATTAAAGTTGAACAGTAAGAATCCCAGTGGCCCAGGCCAGCTGAATTTCCCATCCAGCCCAGCCTCTGAAGTCATATGACACCTGGAGGCAGTAATAAAGTGATGGGAATATCAGCACCTGAGAAAACTTCCATTCTGCTCATGAGCTGGGAGAGAAGGATGATTTTCTATCTACTTTCAGATCAGCAGAGTGATGTGATCCCTGGACCAGCAGCATCAGCATCACCTAGAAACTTGTTAGAAATGCAAACTCTCAAGTCCTAATCCAGATGTACTGAATCAGAAATTCTGGGGGTGGCAATCTGTTTTAACGGTGACTCTGATGCCCGTCTAAGTTTGAGAGTCACTGGCCTAGTGTAATGGCCTTTTCAGATGCAAAGGAAAGACACAGACCTATTTATTTCTAGAAAGTAAAGAAGCTATTTGTATTTGCAATACGGCCCATAAACTTTACATTCCAGAATGGCCTCTTGCCTCTCATTTTTCTGCAGTCTATTTCACGCAACAACCAAAGGTTACTTCAGAGCTCCTGGAACACGTCAAACAGATTCCAGTGCTTTATGATGCAAAATGCACAAGGGGAAAAATAAAACTGAGGCTTACACGCTGTTGATAATTCCCTTTTCAGGGCAGATCAAAAGAAAAGAAAAGGAAAGGGAAAAAAGAGAATGCTCTTTAATTTTGTGTATTCATTGAAACGGGAGACTTTGTGTTAACCTCAAACGGAGGCCTGCTCCCTAGAACTTGTCTTACATTCACAAGTTGGAAGGTTAATCCATTTCCATCTCCTGTTGTTCAGCTGCGGAGAGTTATTTCTACAGGGACAAAGATGCAATTGTAAATCAAAATGATTGAGCGGCATAATCACTCCAGTCAGCAAACACACCAGTAACTTTTTGTTCCTTTTTAAATCTTGGGAGATTTGAGAAAATTGAAGTGGCTTTTTTTTTGGTTGTTGTTTTGTTTTGTTGATTGCAGATATGGCTTATGACCTCAGGTCCAAGGTAAATAACCACCAGCACTGTGAATAGGAGCTTCACAGCTCTTAAACCATGACATGGAGTGACAGGAGGGTCCCATCAGTCAGAATTAGGGCTCCCCCAACCAAGCTTCACAAGGGGCATAACTCAGGTCCATTTTATGGCTTTTCTGCAATAGAATGGGAAGTTGAAATGGTTACTTTACATCTTTCTCTTCTCCCTTATTTAAAACATCCCAGCTACACTTTGGAGGTCTCCTTATTTAGACACAACCACACTTGGATGGGAAGGTTGAGAGGGAGCATGCCATAAACACAGAAGAGACCCTTTCCCTCAGCCCTGCTGGTCCCCTGAATCGGGACCATGGTAGTAAATGGTGCTGACTGAGTGGGGTGACAATACAGTGGTGGTGGGTGATGGGGACCATGGTGGTAAATGGTGCTGACTGAGTGGGATGACAATGCAGTGGTGGTGGGTGACCATCCCTTCTTCAAGAACCAGGCACATGATGCTAAAGAGAGCAGTCATGATGTTTCTGCAGTGCTCCAGTCAGCTTGGGCATAAAACTGAGAAGGAACTAGAAGAACTGAAAAGGAGTGTTTTCCCCGCATTGCCTGTGGGGGAGAACTTTCTTTCTTCAGGCAGCTCTAGGATTTGGGGAAAGATGGGATAGCATCACTGGTTGCCATAGAAGGAGAAGAAGCCCAGGGCAACCAGCAGCAATAAATACTACACTGAGGGCTGGAGACTGTTATAGTCTGGATATTTGACCCTCCAAACCTCATGTTGAAAATTGATCCCCTATGTTGGAGGTGGGGACAAGTGGAAGATATTTGTGTCATGGGGGCGGGTCCATCATGAAGAGATAAATGCCCTTCCTGTGGGGGTGGGTGAGTGAGTTCTCACTTTATTAGTTCCCTTGAGAGCTGGTTATTTTTTAGAAGCCTGGCATCTCCCTCCCCTCTCTCTCTTGCCTCCTCTCTTGCCATGTGATATCTGCACACATCAGCTCCACTTTCCCTTCCACCATGAAAAGAAGCAGCTTGAGGCCTTCATCAGATGCAGACATTGGTGCCATGCTTTGTGTATGCCTGCAGAACTGTGAGCCAAATAAACCTCTTTTCTTTATAAATTGCCCAGCCTTAGGTATTCCTTTATAGCAATATAAACGGGACTAAAACAGAAGCTTAGAGATATTTTCCTGCTTACGCTGTGTCCATATAGTCATCCAGCTCTTTCTGATATGAATTTGAATTTCAAGGAAGCTTTCCTTTTAGATATAGATGTGTCCTACCTATGCCTGTAATGTCTGCCTGCCTAATAAATGTTCACCTTTATTCTGGTAACTTAGTTTAAGTTTCCTTTGGAGAACTCTCCCTTCCAAATCCTTATAGTTTCAGTGGGGCTTATTCCAGCTGTCATTTGATCCTGCCTTGGCCAACGAGAGTATCCAAGTCACAGAGATTCTTCAGCTATGGGAAAACCAAGATGTACAGAATATCATGCAAGTCTCTAGCTCCAGCCCTGTTCAAATTAAGCCCTATCTTTGACTTTTCAGTTATACAAACGAATTCATTTATTTTATTTTGTTGTTTTGCCTAAACCAACTTCAGTTGGATTTTCATTGGTTGCCATCAAAAACGTCTTGATAACGACATCATGTAATCTCAAGATTTTCTCTTTCCTCTCTCTATTTTCCCACCCGTCCCTTCCCATCTTCCCTTCCTTTCATTTTTCGTTTTTTCTCACTAAATGAATTTGAGTTAGAATTTTTCAGTTACAACCAAAAGAATCCTAGTACATCATCATGAATTATGAAACTGTCAACTTCAGTAAGTTTGATGACCTGAGACTATTTGAAAACCCCAAGATAAACTGAATTTAAGTTTCCAGATTGACAGATGTGTGGATTGAGTCCTATATGCAGGCAATTGGCAATGGCCTTGAGGTCTTTTATAAACATTTCTTCTATCCAACAACCCTCTTTTCCTCATGACTACACCTGAGTTAAATGTAGGTGCTGGGAGGACAGTGGCATGTGAGCAGTGCCAACGAGGGACAAGTGAAACCTAACTCAGGAAAGGGGGACCAGGCAATGCCAAGAGAAAGGAAGCAATGACACCAGCTGTGAGACTTCAGCTGACATTGACGCAGAAACAGAAGATGCCACCTAAAGATCTGGTAGGACCAGCACTGGCCACCAGAGCCAGTGAGAACTGGAGGAGTTCACCAGGATGTTTTGTCAGCTGCCTTTGGAAACCCAAGTCCACCACAGAGAGGAGAAGGAGGAAAAGTCCCTCCAGAGGGAAACAGGCCTGTGGGAGAGTTTTAACTCTGAACTGACTACTGTCCAAAGACTAAGTTTTTAACTTGATGTGACTATGTCACAATGCAATGCAAGATTAATATTAAGAGCTTTCTACTCTTAAATGAATAAGATGGATCCAGAGCCATGTTGAATTCAGCTATAGAAAAATAAAGTTACATTTATGATCAGCTCTAATAATGAAATTATAAGTCTAAAGTTTATGAACTTTGACCAGGTGTGGTGGCTCATGCCTGTAATCCCAGCACTTTGGAAGGCCCAGGCGGGAGGATCACCTGAGGCCAAGAGTTTGAGACCAGCCTGGCCGGCATGGCGAGACCCCCATCTCTACTAAAAATACAAAAATTAGCTGGGCACGGTGGCACGCACCTGTAGTTCCAGCTACTTCAGAGGCTGAGGCATGAGAATCGTTTGAACCTGGGAGGCAGAGGTTGCAGTGAGCCAAGATCAGGCCACTGCACTCCAGCCTGGGTGACAGAGTGAGACTCAGTCTCAAAAATAAATAAATAAATAAGCAAATAAGTAAATAAATAAGTTTGTGAACTTTACAATATAATTGTTAATTTTCATCATTATTACAATTATCATTCCTACTTCTAACACAATTATCATTGCTAAATAGATTTGTCTTTTATCTGAGCTAAGGCTATAATGTTCATTTAGCCTCCTCCCGCCAGATTACTAGCATCAAAACCTCTCATAATCAAGCGGTAGGATACCAATACAAAATAACTCAAGTCCTTAGCCTTATACCACTATTTTGATGGTATACTTCAGTCTTTTTATACCAAAGGAACAACTGCAGATTAAGAGTTTGTTACAGAGTTAGGAACCATAGATACCATTTTTACTAGAAGAATCATTATTATAACCATTGCCAAGTGTTTATGGAATGAATACCATGTGCACAGTATTGCCGAGAATTACCCTCCACCCCCACTCTGAGCTCGCAGGTGATGTTGGGATTGTTCAGTGTTAATTTGCCTCTCCACCCTTCATCTATTCACCTATCCATTTATTCACCCATTTGTAGAGTGCTTGCCATGTGTCAGTTCCTGATGCTAAAAGAAAAATGAATCCTGGTCCCTGCCCTTGAAGGATTAATAGCAGTATAGCTTGATATATTCAGGAGTGGAGACATAATTCAAGGATGGAACCCAGAGAGAAGGGAATGCATAACTGCTCAGAGTTTAGAAAGGGCTTCTGGAGCAGTGGGGAACAAATTGTTCAGGTCTCGGAAGTGATGACAAGGTGGGGGTACATGTAAAGATACAGAGATGTGAACCAGTCGTAGAGTTTTGGGGGCGCTGCAAGAGTACTGTTGGACTCTAGGGTACAGTGTGGTAGAACCGAGGAAGAAAAGGATGCAGAAATATGCAAGGGTAGTGCTGGTCTAGTGTGCTACCAGCATACAGTCTGGGAAACAGAATGTTATTCATTCAGTAATTTATTCATTCAACAAATATTTAATGAGTGCCCACTCTGTTCGGGCACTATTTTTTTTTTTTTTGAGACGGAGTTTCACTCTTGTTGCCCAGGCTGGAGTGCAATGGTGCGATCTCAGCTCACTGCAACCTCCACCGCCCAGGTTCGAGCAATTCTCCTGCTTAAGCCTCCCGAGTAGCTGGGATTACAGGCGCATGCCACCATGCCTGGCTATTTTTTATATTTTTGTGGAGACAAGGTTTCACCATGTTGGCCAGGTTAGTCTTGAACTCCTGACCTCAGGTGATCCACCCGCCTCGGACTCCCAAAGTGCTGGGATTACAGGTGTGAGCCACCGCACCCAGCCTCTGATTTATGTTCTAAATTGACCACTCTGGCTGCTCAGCTGAGAATAGACTACAGAGGGGCAAGAGTAGAAGCAAATAAACTAGTTAGAAGGGTCTTGTGGCTATGAAGGTAAAAGATATCCATGACTCAGCAGTAGCGCTTTGAAAGGAGTGAGATGTGGTGGGATTCTGGGTGTATTTTGAAGTCAGAGCCAATAGTGATCTTCTCATGGTTTGGGTGTAGGTGTGAGAGTAAGAGGAGAGTAAAAAGAACCAAGGACGTGGATCACCTGAGGTCAGGAGTTCGAGACCAGCCTGACCAATATGATGAAACCCCATCTCTACTAAAAATACAAAAATTAGCCGGGTGTGGTGGCGCATGCCTGTAATCCCAGCTACTTGGGAGGCTGAGGCAGGAGAATCGCTTGAGCCTGGGAGGCGGAGGTTGCGGTGAGCCGAGATTGTGCCATTGCACACCAGCCTGGGTGAGAGAGTGAAGCTCCATCTCAAGAAAAAAAAAAAAAGAACCAAGGATGATCCCAAGGACTTTGGCCTGTGTGGGTAATATAGTTTGAATATACATCCCTGAGAAATTTCAGGTCGAACTGTCAAATGCTGGAGGTGGGGCCTGGCGGGAGGTGACTGAAACATAGAGGTATATGTCTCATGAATGGCTTAGTACCATCCCCTCGGCACTGCACTTGTGGGAGTTAGTGAGTTCTTGTGAGACGTGGTCATTTAAAGGTGTGTGGCACCTCCTCCCCAACTCTTGGTCTTACTCACATTCTCACCATGTGAGATACTTGGTCCTCCTTCGCCTTCCCCTATCAGTAAAAGCTCCCTGAGGCTTTCCCAGAAGCCATGCAGATGCCAGTGCAATGCTTCCTGTACCGCCAGCAGAACTGTGAGCCAATTAAACCTCTTTTCTTTATAAATTACCCAGCCTCGGGTATTTTATAGCAATGCAAGAATGGCCTCACATAGTGGGTGATGCAAGAGGTAGTGGGTGATGCTGGATTGAGAGTTCAGTTTGTTGAAATCATCCAGGTAAGAAGTGTCTAAATCAAGATGTTGAAAGTAGGGACTCGGCCAGGCATGGTGGCTCACGCCTGTAATCCCAACACCTTGGGAGGCCAAGACGGGTGGATCACTTGAGGTTAAGAGATTGAGACAATCCTGGCCAACATGGTGAAACCCCATCTCTACTAAAAATACAAAAATTAGCTGGGCATGGTGGCGGGTGCCTGTAGTCCCAGCTACTCAGGAGGCTGAGGCAGGAGAATCACTTGAACCTGGGAGGTGGAGGTTGCAGTGAGCCAAGATTGCACCACTGTACTCCAGCCTGGGCGATACAGCCAGACTCTGTCTCAAAAAAAAAAAAAAAAAAAAAAGAAAGTAGGGACTCAACAAGAGGACAGAATTGAGAGATATTTAGAAAACATACAGAACTGGCTGGGCGCGGTGGCTCACACTTGTAATCCCAGCACTTTGGGACGCCGAGGCGGGCGGATCACGAGGTCAGGAGATCAAGACCATCCTGGCTAACACGGTGAAACCCCGTCTCCATTAAACATACAAAAAAAAAATTAGCCGGGCATGGTGGCAGGCACCTGTAGTCCCAGCTACTTGGGAGTGAGGCAGGAGAATGGTGTGAACCCGGGAGGCAGAGCTTGCAGTGAGCCGAGATCGCGCCACTGCACTCCAGCCTGTGCGACAGAGCAAGACTCCGCCTCAAAAAAAAAAAAAAAAAAAAAAACCAAGAAAAAGAAAAAGAAAACATACAGAACTTAGTAATCTTAGTAATTTTTAAATGTGGGAACTGAGGAAAGGGAAGAGTCTAAAATTACCCCCCCAGCTTCCGGCCTGGGGAATTGGATAGCAGAAGCATCATTCATTGAAGTAGAGAATATAACCTAAGAAGGTCATTGGTGGTGGTCTCCAATACTGAATCTGATGCCAATGAGGCAGGCAGCAGGGAATCGGCTTGATTACTTGCAGGTGACTAAAAGCAATGCAAACGAGGCCAAACAGGTTAGCACAAGGACCCACCCCCTAGTAGGAAGCAACTGTTACAACAGGCTTAACAATAAAGACAGATTGCACACATCCTTCTTTAGGCACAGATAAGAATGGAACAAAGAAGAAACCAGCTGAAACTGGTTAAATCCAAGATGGCCAAAAACCTGACCAGCTGTCAGTCCTTGGCTTCATTATGTCCTATTACCATAAAATTTCCATGGGGAACCCTCCCACTCCCATCATGCACCTGACACCATGATAGTTCCAGATTAACCATATTTAGTCAAGAAAAGTCCTGATTCTGGGAATTGCCTGCCTATTTCCTAGAAAACCTCTTCCCTCATTATAGAATATTTTGTGCTTTCATTATGCTTTTCCATATAGTATGTGAGCTCTGACCACACTGGGTGTGGCTTGTTCTTTTTAGCATGCCTGCATTCCTCTCTTGAGTGTGTGCATAAAGCTTCCATACTATCACTTTGGTCTTGCTTTCAAATTCTTTTGTGTGGCAAAGACAAGAACCTGTGCTGGCTCCTGGCAAGATCAGGACTTGGGAGGATTCTCCACTATGTGCAGCTAGAGCTGCAGTCACCTAATGGTATAGCCAGGCATCTCCTTGTTAAATAGAGATCACCTACAACAGTAACACAGAAACTGTGCTTTCTTCAGTCTCTGCTCAAAGACCCAGGCTCTGTACAAAATAGAATACTGGGTTCTGCTCCATGAGAGGATCAAAGTATTTTTCCTATCCCTTACTTCCTGGCAACCATTCTTCAAACAGATGGGCCAGCAATTCCCAGAGGATAAATAGATAGGAGGGAGAACAGGGCTGGTGGAAAATGTTGTGAGGGCATGGTAGGCGGTGAGGAGAGGAAGCACAATGGGGAGGTGGAAGATGTTTTTAAAAATCTGGTAGTACTGCATTCTGAGATTGTATTCTATGCTGTTTGCTACAGATTCAGAGATTGAAACAAACAGAAAGTGATCAGGAGAAAAGATGTTACCTTTCTATAGCAAAGGTAAACTCCTAGGACCTAGACTGGGATCTGTGTAGCTTACGATGCCCTGAACTGGAATCCTAAGAAGAGGTTTTCGTCATCATACAAAGGGAAAGACAGGGGTATCACAGATAATTTGCACATGCCATTTGTTGGCAAACGTTGAGTTTGAAGTGATCTCATGTTTCCTGAAGGTAAATAAAGAAAAAAAAAGGTCTATATAAAACCACAGAGCAAAGAATGGAATAGCATGGAAAAAGAAGAAGGAGGGGGAGGAGGAGGAGGAGGAAGAGGAGAAGGAGGAGGAGAAGGAGAAGGAGAAGGAGAAGACAGTACTGAAAACGATCCATTACCAGACCTAGAAAAAACATGGAGGAACCTGTTTGGCATTATCAGTAGGACAGTTTCTGTGAAACTGTAGCAGAAAAACAGGCCAAAATAAAATAGTAATAGGATGCACCGAAAAAAGAAAAGGATAAAATGCGAAAGGGTTGTTAGGAAATTAAAAATTCAATGGCATAATTAAAGTCTTTATTGCAAGCCTAAGAAGAAGAAGCAATATTACACACTATTAAATTAGTATTGGTGAGGGTAAACTTGAAAAGCTCTCCTACAATTTAGAGAAAAAAGCCAACAGGATGAAAGCAACACATGAGAACATAACAGATATGGGGCACAGGGACCCCATCCAACTGACTATTGCTCCCAGAGGAGAGACCAGATCTGACGAGTGAAATCATATCACAGAAGGACCACTTCCTGAGCAGAAGAAAATCTATGTGTACAGATTGCGAGGGCTCACTGCATCCCACTAAATGAACTTAAATCCTTTAGGTACATTTAATACTTCTGAATCAAGAAATTGAAGAGGGGCAAAAGGACAAGTCAAAAGGAGAAAGTTCAATAGAACAATTCCAAAGGCAAAATGAAAGGCTCAGATAACTACAGGAACACATGATGTCCAAGAATTAGGTGGATCACAATTTTAGTTTAATTGTGCAAATTCATGAAATTTCGCCACCTTAATGAGAGGCTGGCTCTGCTGCTGGAGAAGAGAAAATAGAAAGGGGTCATCAAAGAGGCAGTATTTGATGGGCGTGAGCAGAGGCGAAGCAGCTGCAAGAGTTGGCCCCAACTCCCAAGGGAAGATGAGCAAATTGACTGAAATAAACCTGTTCCATTTGGAGAAGTAAACAGAAAAACATAACAAGGACAGGATGACAGGGGATTTCTTTCTTTCTTTTTTTCTTTCTTTTTTTTTTTTTGAGATGGAGTCTCACTCTATCACCCAGGCTGGACGGCAGTGGTGCAATCTCGGCTCACTGCAATCTCCGCCACCTGGGTTCAAGTGATTTTCCTGCCTCAGCCTCCTGAGTGGCTGGGACTACAGGCACCCGCCACCATGCCCAGCTAATTTTTGTATTTTTAGTAGAGATGGAGTTTCACCATGTTGGCCAGGATGGTCTCGATCTCCTGACCTCGTGATCCACCAGCCTCGACCTCCCACAGTGCTGGGATTACAGGCGTGAGCCACCGTGCCCGGCCGACAGGGGCCTTCTTTCCATGGCCAACTACTCAGATAGAGATAGATGACTACTTAGAGATGCATGAAATGAGACAGGGCTTTTTGAAAAATTGAGGTTCCAATGGCTCTTTGACAAATAACAGAGTAAGACAAAACAAACAAAAATAGTATAACCCTGCAGCCATTCCCCATTTCCTTTCACCATTCATTTCTTTTGGTTTTGAGGATGGAAGGGAAGTGAATTGGAGAGGAAAACGAAGAAATTGCAAAGAGGAAGAGGGAAGAGGTGCTTCAGGGGATTCCAGCATCAATGAGAGCGGATGGATCAGACCTGAGCGGGGCATATGCACTTCTGCTGGGGAACTCAGCCTGAACTTTTGGTACTGTTTCTGATGGTGAGGATACTGTTACTATGGACAAGGATAAACTTGAAAAGCTCTCCTACAATGTAGAGAAAAAAAGCCAAAGGGATGAAAGCAACACACGAGAACATAATAGATACTGATGACATGGGAGTCTCTGGAAAACCGTACATATTTTTCAGATCTTGATTGTGATCCCTCCAGTTCACTGGAAAGGGCTGCTTCAGCTCCCTCCAAGTCCCCTGCAGGTGGAAGGAGCGGGACATTGCTCACCTGGGCAGAGGTGCTATGCAGCTTCAGCAGCCCGTTCTCCAACCGCTCTGTCTTGCACTTGAGCTCTTTTCTGTGCCTGTGCAACAAGCTCTGGTAGAGTCTGATGAACTCCAGAAAGGACTTGGGAGTTGTATAGTTGTAGCGCTGTTCATTGCTCAGATAAGACTGGGATGTTTGGTTGACACTTGTGTGGACAAAGGCCATGAATTTGCTAATCGACTGCTTTACTGTGGGCTAAAACCAAAGAGCAAGAAATGAAAAGATTATCTTGTGTTGAAGATTGGAGGCAACTGCTCACCCCTCACCCCAGCCATTCCTCCACCATGTGGAAACTTATGCTTCAAGCTTGATCTTTAACCCTAACATCCTGGACAGGGAATTCATTGTACCCTCATCTGGGAAGGACTTTTAGGAGTGTCTCCTTTTCTCTCTCACCTCAATGCCCTCTGTGTTCTGCAAGAAGCGGAGGCTGACAGACTCCAATGCTTGCTGAGGCCACTCGTGGAACCAGTGGATGGCTGTGCAGTTCACAATGGCTGGGAACTTCCTGCTGCGGACTCTTAGCTTGTTTCCCACAGGGGAGAAACAGAGAGTCACCTGAGAAGTCAGAAGGGTGGGGAGAACCAGGAAGGCATCAGAGAAATACTCACGGAGAGGCAGATATGGCCTTGGGTTCTCTAGCTCCCAGAAGATTGGGAAGCACATCCAACAGAGATAATATCTGTAAATGCTAGCCAGCCTCACCAGCCAAGAGATCAAAAACGCTGGGACTGCGTGATCCACAAGGGATGCTGCTGCCCTTAAAGCAGATGAGAAGGGTGTCCTGGCAACTGTGCTCAGGCTGAGAAGGGTGCCGCACACTCACCACCTACTCTAGACAATCAATAAGGACAGTTGTGCCCGAAATATCAGTGGAAGCTCCCATGAATCATCTCGGGTCTCTGCCTGCCCCTGTCAGTAAATGCTCTTTACCTTCAGCTGTCGCCGGATCCGATCTATAAAGAACTTCCAACAGTTCTCTCTGTTGTCAACCAGACCCTGGCTCTTGACTTCATTCCTCACATTGCTTATGATGTTTTCAACTTCATCATCAGAGTAGAGATCTGGGATCTCCCCTGGGAAAAAATGGAGCACAGATAGGCAGCCTTGGCATCTCGTTAAATGATGCAATCAGACATGGGAAGTTATCCTACCTTAGGACACAGGTCAGTGGTTTTTAGGCCATGTACCAACTCTCTTGCTGGTGAAGCTGGACAGACACCATGTCTACTCCAAACCCAGGGCAGAAGAACGAGTATGTTAATGATTGGAACAGAGTGTAGGGTACCCTCTTGTCCTGGGGTAGACAGTTGGTAACACAAGAGCCTTCAACAGTCTTTTTTTCTTTTGCTCAAAGCATTTGTTTCCCATCTACTGTATTTTTTGCCCTTTTTGTATTGTGCCCTCCAGGAGTTTAATATTTAGCAGGAAACATGGCTAATAGGATCCAAAATACCTAAAAGACCCCCGGCAAAAAGGGCCATAACAAACATACAGATAGGTCCATATATTTAAAAAGAGCAAGCTATCACTGTTTATGAGAGAAAAAGGGGAGAAAGCAGAATGGCTTCATGGAATTTAGTACATGATAAGCAGGACGCCTTAAATCAACCGGGAAAAGATTAACTTCAATATATGGTACTGCATTAGGAAAACTGGGATCTGAAAAAATTATGGTTAGATGTTGATTTTTTTTTTTTTTTTTTTTTGAGATAGAGTTTTGCTCCTGTTGCCCAGACTGGAGTGCAGTGGTGTGATCTTGGCTCACTGCAACCTCCACCTCGCAGGTTCAAGTGATTCTCCTGCCTCAGCCTCCTGAGTAGCTGGGATTACAGGCATGCGCCACCATGCCCGGCTAATTTTTTTTGTATTTTTAGTAGAGATAGAATTTCACCATGTTAGTCAGGCTTGGTCTCGAACTCCCGACCTCAGGTGATCCACCCGCCTCGGCCTCCCAAAGTGCTGGGATTATAGGCATGAGCCACTGCGCCTGGCCAGATCTTGATCTTATACAGCACACTAAAGTAAATGCCAACTGAATCAATGATTTAACTATAAAAAATGCAGGGAAATAAGAGAAAAAATGGGGGAAATAATCTCTGAGTGGGGAAGGATTTTCTAACTCTATCTGAATCAACCTGTGTTAAAAGAAAAATAAATTTCATGAATGCATAAAATTGACAAATTTGACTGCATAAAAATAAAAATATTTCATGATGAAAATATCACAGGCAAAGTATAGCAATGATAGCAAAATACAAAGAACAAACTAAGAAAATATGTTAACTCAGATTATAGTAAAGTGGTTAATCTTAGTATGTAAAGAAATTCTCTACAAATAAAGAAAAAAATCAATAATTCAATAGATAGATGGGGTGAAGGAGAGGAAAAGAAAGTTCATGGTGAAGGAAATAAAAATTTCTGTTGAATATATTAATAGATGCTTCACCTCACTCATAAGAACAGAAATGTATATCAAAACTATGCTTAGTTACTTTTTGTTTGTAGAAATGAGGTTAACGAACAAGGACAGTCAATCTTACTCTTAATGAAAATGTATATTAAAACTACACCTTATTTTTTTTTTATCAGATTGGCAAAAATCTGAAAGTTAAATGAAAACACTGTATTAATGAGACAATATGTGAAAGTAAAATTAAATGCTCAATCTCCCTGATGAATAACAATTTAAAAAATCCCAACTAAATATGTATAAATTAGTATATGATGACCAAGTGTAAACCCTGTCCCGGAAATGCAAGGATAAACACTAGAAAAAAAACTATGAAAATAATTTAGTACATTAATTGATTAACGAAGTAAAACAATATGACATTGAAATGGATGCATAAGGTTTCTAAAGACTGTTAGCAAACTAGGAATAAATGAGATTTCTCTTTAATAATAGATATCACCCCCAAACCCACAGCAAACATACCTAGTAGTAAAATACTAAAATATTCTCTTTCAAATCAAGAATATGACAAAAAATGATTGCTATTGTGTTTTCTTGTTATCATTATATAGGAGGCCCCAAACCGTGCAAAAAATTAAGAAAAAATAAAATAAAATGTTTAAGGTTAAGGATGTAATAAAACTATTATTGTTCAAAACCTAATTTTCTACATAGAAAATCTAAGAGAATATTCACAAGTTGTTTGTTTTATTGCTTTTAGTCATGTCCAAATTGTGTCAATTTCACATTGTTTTAACTAAGATAGCTTCATAAGGAGACTTGATTTCCAGTGGAACAAATCACTCTTTCTGGTTCTTTCTCAACATTGCCATTTTTCATTCTTTGCTTTTCCATAAAAATTTTAGGAAATTGATATTAAAAATCAGGAGGCAGGGACTTTGGGAGGCCAAGGCAGGCGGATCACAAGGTCAGGAGTTCGAGACCTGCTTGGCCAATTAGCTGGGCATGGTGGTGTGCACCTGTAGTCTCAGCTATTCAGAAGGCTGAGACAGAAGAATCGCTTGAACCCAGGAGGTGGAGGTTGCAGTGAGCCGAGATTGCGCCACTGCACTCCAGCCTGCGCTTCAGAGCAAGACTTCGTCTCAAAAAAAAAATCAGGAGGCAGACAAGGGCTGGACTAATTAATAAGTTATGTTAAGATAATTCAATATTGATAAAAAATATATCCTAAAATATTTGTCAGAATTAAGAAAGAAACCCATTTGATTTCTTATTGAAACTGCATTTTTGGGAAAGCGGTGATACCTCATCATCCCTCCATGAACTCAATATTTCTAAATATATAATTAGATCACTATATAAAAACAATTGTCCAAATTGTTTCGCAAGGAAATAAATTGTATTCTTTTGAGAATTTTGTCTGGGGAAGGTTCTAGGATTATTGCTTGGCTGTCACTTCAAGTCAAAGAAAGTTAATTAAAAAACGTTCAGGATGGAGATAATGGGCTATGTTTGAAATCAGAGAAGAGGGAGAGTCAGAAATTGAAAGAAAAGATGGAATAGAATAAAATTCTGAATTAGGAAGTAGGGGCGGGCTCCTAGCTCAGACGAAAAGTTGACCTTGGAAAGGAGGAATGGTAATAATGGAGGAAAAGAGAAAACTGCAAATAATAATAATAATAATAATAATAATAGTAATAATGGAGACAGACTGTGATGTATAAAGTAGCTGTGAGGCCCAAACTAAATGACATCAGTTTTCTCAATGAAAAAGATGAGACTGAGGGAGGTAAGAATGAACGAAACACTATAGCTAAAAAGTTGAAAACAATGGATATGATGTAAAGGTGAATGTGGTTCACTCCAGAAAAGCAATGGGTATCAGAAAAACAAAATTTTCCCATTTCTAGAACAAGTCTTTAGGTAGCTGTTGAAGTTATCTGGGACTGGAATCATATACAAGCTCTTCTTTAAAGTTGTTTTCCACCAACATGATGCTTTTGTAAAATTTTTTTTAAAAGCTGTTCACACATGCTTTTACCTTCTTCTGTAACTGACAGAAATGTTAGCATCATAGGAATGTTAGTGATGAAAGAAGTCATTTGGGCCATCTTATATCCCACTTTCTTTTCTCTTCTTTTTTTTTTTTTTAAATACGGAGTCTTGCTCTGTCACCAGGCTGGAGTGCAGTGGCATGATCTTGGCTCACTGCAACCTCTGCCTCCCAGGTTCAAGCGATTCTCCTGCATCAGCCTCCCAGGTAGCTGGGACTACAGGTGCACACCACCATGCCCAGCTAATTTTCGTATTTTTAGTACAGACGGGGTTTCACCATATTGGCCAGGATGGTCTCGATCTCCTGACCTTGTGATCCGCCTGCCTCGGCCTCCCAAAGTGCTGGGATTATAGGCGTGAGCCACCACGCCCGGCCCATCCCACTTTCTTATGGACTTTGGTGAGGTCCTCAAAGTGAGTGGTCTGGCAAATGATCAGTAATAATCAGAGTGTGAGTAATTGTGATTGTATCAGTCATTGAAGCTGCTGCACTTTCTTGAACTACTGTATCTGGAGGAAACTCATGCCAACTTTCCAGCAAATTACGGACTTCATGGTTTGATAGCACTAAACCAATTAGGAGTCTACTAAGAGTTTCATACTAATTAGCTTTTATCATTTAAAAGGTTGAAATAAAAAAATGAATTATCATGAAAGTGATCATTTACTGTTTTCTCTTAATTGTACCAACTTATTTAATTTCTATTCTTTGAGATAGTTAATGACATGCATATAAAATTCCTGTACTATAATTTGTCAAAATCAAGATCTTACTAATAGAATGACTCATTTCAGCCTCTTCTGATAAAAATAGGAGTGAAGGAAAACCGCTAAGAAAATAAAATATTTAGCATGTGTTGAAAGTTTAAATAATAATATTTAATGGAATGTGGAAATTATGTGAAGTTCAAATTTTATTGTTCATAAATAAGATTTAATTGACCATAGCCATGATCATTAGGTATTATCTATGGCTATTTTTGCCCTACAAGGACAGAGCTGAGTATTTGTGACAGAGACTGTATGATATGCAAAGCCTAAAATGTTTACTTCCTGACACTTTATAGAAAAAACTTGATGACCCTGGTTTATTAATACTCTTAATTCCAAGACGTTGAAAGCACCTGGGCCACTTAGAGACATTTTCCGTGCTCAAATGATGGTGGTATTTGTCACAATATCCAAGATCCCTAGAACCTTTAAGAAGAAGACCATCGGATGGAATATCTGGAGATAAACACCTCTGAATAGGGAACAAAATTTGCATTTTCATATTTGTTCCTATAATTCCTTCTTGACAATATTCTCGTCACTTGTTTTGTGATGTAGGTAGTCATGCTGGAAGCAGGAAACTGAACTGCCAGAGGGGATTTTGTGATGTGAACAGGGGCAGAGGCTATTTAAATATTTGAGAAGTTTCCTCCTGAGACCTAAAGTTCGGAAACATTATTATTATTATTTTTTTTTTTGAGACGGCTCGCTCTGCCACCCAGGCTGGAATGCAGTGGCGCGATCTCGGCTCACTGCAAGCTCTGCCTCCTGGGTTCACGCCATTCTCCTGCCTCAGCCTCCAGAGTAGCTGGGATTACAGGTGCCTGCCACCACACCCGGCTAATTTTTTGTATTTGTAGTAGATACGAGGTTTCACCGAAAGTTGGGAAACACTATTTGTAACTCCAAGTACTTTCAGGCTTCATGCAGTACTTGGAGTTAGAAATAGTATTGAAATATTCTAATAGTTTGGAAGCCAGACTATTCACCATCTTCTGCCATCTTCTGTATGTTAGTATGGGACTCCTTAAAGGCCACAGCTGCTTTTCAGGAAAGAGATCCTGATAATTTAACGTGGTTTAGTTAGTTGGACTTTGGTGATAAAAAGGGTGAAGCTAAGGGCTAGATTCTAAACTTCACACTGGTGTGAGGACTTTGACCCTATCTAGACCTGATAGTTTAAAAAAAAATTTCCCTATTCTTAAAGGAGAAAACGCAAGTGAGTGTGGTGGCTATTTCAGTACTCTGTCCCTTTGTCTTCACTGCTGGAAAACTTTCCAAAGCACATGTCCAATAGTAGTATTTAATGGCACATCATTCTCATGCTGTTACTTACTTTACTTAAAGAAGTACCTCCTAAATGTCAATTATGGGCTGGGAGATGTATTAAGAGCTGACCGTATAAACGATGAAAAACAAGACTCTGCACAGAGTAATAGGTATATATCAGTGTTGCTGTATTTCCTAAACTGAGAAGTAGCCATTTAATCCTTCTTTTTTTTGTATTTCTGGATTGTTCAATAACGTAAATTAATCAACAGCAAACACAATGGTCTCTCCCTTTCATAAATTTACAATCTCGTTTCAATACAGTGGTGGTACGTGCAGCTATCGAGTGCTGTAGGAATATGGGGAACTCATTCCTAAGAGTGACAGTGGATCTGTCTCTAGATTTTCTAGAGAGGGAACGCCTAAGGTAAGTCTTCTACTGTGGGTAGAAGTTAATCCAGACAAAGAAGGGCATGAGGTTCAAAAGGAACAGCATAAGCAATTAAGGATGTCAGCAAGTAGCACAGTGTGTTACCTTAAGGAATTAGGAATCACTAGATCACAAGATGGGAAGTGAGACTAGCAAGGAAGGAAGGAAACAGGACAAAGAAGCTTGGAGTTCATTCTGCAACCAGTTGGGAACTAATAAAAAAATTACAGTGTTTTTGTTTGTTTGTTTTCTTTTTTCTTTTTTTGGAGACATGGTCTTGCTCTGTCAGCCAGGCTGGATTGCAATGGCACAATCACAACTCATTGCAGCCTCAAGCTCCTGGGCACAAGCGATCTTCCCACCTTAGCCTCCCGAGTTGCTGGGACCTGAGGTGCGCTCCATCAAGCCCCGATACTCTTTGTACTTTTCATAGAGATAAGGTTTTGCCATGTTGCCCAGGTTGGCCTTGAACTCTGGGGCTCAAGTGACCCGCCCATCTTGGCCTCCCAAAGTGCTGGGATTACAGGTGTAAGCCACTGCTCCTGGCCAGGAATTATAGTTGAGATAGACCCTTTTGCAAGGAGTGAGGAGAATGGATTGGAGTGGGGATAGCATGGGAAGTAGAGAGATAAGTTAAGGAGTGTTGGCGTTTGTCAAGGCAAAAGAAGGCAAAACCAGTGGTAGTGAGGATAGAGAAGATACGGATTCAGAAATAGATAAGGGGAAAATTGGTGGCAATAGATTATCTCTTGGACATAGGTGGTAAGGGAGAGGTTAGCAATATAGGGAATCCACAGAACACAAAGTCTCTTGAGTAACTTGTATAGGACTTCAGTTCCACAAGAAAAAAAAAAACAGTTTATTACCACAAAAGGAAAAGAAAAGTCTGATTGCTCATGCTTCTTTTTGCATTGCTCTTTGGGAGTTTCTGTTTTGCAGCTGGAGAACCAAACCGGTCCTGGTTTAAAGTTCCACTGTCTGTGGTTTGAGGGCACAGCCAGTGAGCAGATCTAATGAGTCCACTAAGTATGTCTTAGAGGATCAGTGCATGCTTGATGGTTGCTTTTTTGCCCCAACTTTATTGTTTTTTTTTTCTTTCTAGGGAAACTGGGCCAGAATTCAATTTATTTAACAGCATAGATGGCTCCTCAGGAAGTCCAGTTCCAGACGGCCACCAGAGGAGAACAATCCAATGCCAAGTCTGTTATAAACACTTCCGGGCTCTGCATTCTCATAGGATGTGTGTTGAACACTAACATGTCAACCCTAGCTCTAATCCTAAAGCACCTAGGATATGAGGTGGATCTTTTTATGTTCTAGATCCTAAGAGGAGATTTGGCCCACAGATATATAAAAAGAACAGTTTGGTTTAGAGATAAAGAAGAATATGACTTTAGAAGAGAGGGACCCCATTGGTTATAAACTCTTCCATGAGACTGCACAGAGGTTACATGTTATTCATCTTTGAGCACAGTACCTAGTGACTGAGCATGCACACTTAGTAAATGATTATTGAATATATGAATACATAGAAAGTCATCTAGCCTGGGACAGGAAAATGAATTATAATTTTGAATAAAACAATTCAGCCTTTTGGAAAGCAAAAGGAAAATCCTAACATAGGATTCCAAAATAAAATAAAATACAAAATCTGTCATAGCTAGGGGTGGAAGAAACATCACACTTGGAGCTGACTAGGTTTTCTTAGCTGGTTAGTGCTAACTGGCAGGGGCACCAGAGTAAAATGGGCCTTCTGGAAGGCTGGAAAGCTGGAGGAAGAGGTGTTTTCCTGGAAAGCCAGGGAATAATTCTGATTTTTTTTCCCTCTAAATTAGAGTGGGGACTTGCTGAAGTTGAGTTTAAGTGAAGGTCAAAAAGAGAACAAGTTTTGTAAGAATTCCTTAAATGCCTGGGTTTGATGATCAGTGCACATTCCTCAGGAATTATTATAGCAGGTCAATAAGAACATAGCCAGTAATGAACCTTTCAGATCCAGCAAGGACTCACATTTCATGCACAGTTTCACCAGCAGTTGCATGACCCCTATCAAGGACCCCAGCAGCCAAGGGAAGTGACTCAAATATGTGGTTCATCTGCTCTTACCCTGGGCAGCCACTCTAGTTCTTATACAGTTATGTATCTTTTGCTAATTAAACCAGGAACCTAATTTAATATTTTTGCTTTGTGTGTAAGATTTCTTCATGTCCATCTATAATCCATCTGAGATACAACTGGCATAAAGATGGGTTCTGAAATGCTGTAGTTCGTGTCAGAAGTAGATTCATAAGCCAAATTACTATCATGGTTTGATTTTAGAAATGGTGTCAGGAAAACAAGAAATGAAATGGTGAGATAAAGAAGTGTGAGAGGAAACTCCGCCCAGGGCATGAGATCATTGGTTTTCCAAGGGAGATGTTTTTGGGAGAGAACTGCATTCACTATACCTTTATATCCAACCTCGTAGGACTTGTACATAACTACAGAGGGATGAGTGAATTGCAAGGTTGTCTAAGTTATGGTTTCCTAGTCCCTACTATGTTATCCAAGGGTGGAGTCATTGCATAACCCCACAAAGTTGAAAAAGTTGGGAGATAATGAGGTTCTGCGTCATCCCCGCAGCTTTGGCTGAACTGGCAGTCGGTTACTTTCTGGCCAGAAATTACTTATTTGATAGGGAAAATTAGAACCAAGATATACTCTAATTCTCCCTGTTGAAATGGTTAAGAAAAAAAGGGGGTGGGTTAGAAGACAAAAGTGTTCATCTTAACTGTATCTCCACTTGAATATGTATACACAAATTTTACCTTTTTTTTTTTCCTTAAAGAATATATAGAAGCCTTAAAATGGGGCCTAAAACTCCATGACTTTGGAACCGGCTGATTGCATTTTCACTGGGAGGGCTTTAGAAATTCGTTTGCACTTGAAAAAAAGTTGTGTTCTAAATGAAAAATTATCAATACTTAATTGAGGAATAAAATTTCAATTGGTAAAAATGTGACAACTCTGTGTCTCAGATGTTATTTTAGGAAAAGGTGACCTGGCTGGATTAGAGCCAATTGAAATACAATGGTGTGAGGCTGGCAACACGCCCGACATCTCTAAAGCTGTATTCTCTCAGACTGATTTTGAAATTAGGCTTTAGGGTAGCTTTGGGGTAGGAGGGAAGTTGGATCCTTCTCTCATTATTTAGTAAAATAATAAAAGATGAGGCTATGTTGTAGATTAAACACTATTGCAGAAGGTGATGAGATGTTAAAGAGATTGCATTTAAGAAAGGAAAAAATTGTGGCATTGGAGGAGAAAAGGTGTAAGAGTTGGTAGGCAAACTCTCTGATATAAAGCTAACTTGAACAGGGCAGGGAGGGAAGGGAATGAGGGTGGTATGAGTGCAAGGCTAGCAGCCAGCACAGTGAGGAAACCTGGGACATCGATCTCACCTGAAAGAAGCCAAAGGTTGCTCACAATGCCTGCTAGTACATGCTCTGGACCAGGGACCAGTGGCTCTTCATGAAAATGACAGCATGATGGCATGGGGTGCAATGCCACAAAATATGAAGCAGACAATGATTCCAAAGCCAGGAACTTCCTGGAGGTTGTCAGGAACTATCCTAAAATATATTACTTACAATATATAGTAGATAGACTATATACTACTATATCTATATATACTAGATAGACTATGGAGAAAGGTACTTGTGACCATGGTCCTTGGACCTTATAAACTAAACATTATTTAATCAGAGCCAGGGAATGGAGTGTGGAGAGAGAGAAGGCTTTTGAGATGCTGGAAGTCTGGAGGCAGAAATTTTGTTCAGGAACATTTGTACACTGACTGTTTTCTCAATTGAGATGAAGAGGTGGTTTTGTAGATGCTGCATTTGGTTTAAGAGCCAAGAAAGCGTATTCTTTCTTTAATATAAACATGCACATATTTATATAAATGCATAATTTATGCATTATATTGTCTTATATTCTTGGATGTATGTGTGTATGTATGTGTATATATATATATATATATATATATATATTTTTTTTTTTTTTTTTTTTTTTTTTTTTTTTTTTTTTGAGACAGAGTCTCACTCAGTCACCCAGACTGGAGTGCAGTGGCATGATCTCAGCTCACTGCAACCTGTATCTCCCTGGTTCAAGTGATTCTCCTGCCTCACCCTCCCAAGTAGCTGGGATTACAGGCCTTTTGCAGTCTCAGTCTCGCGCTTGCATCAGAAGAGCATTGGAGATATTGGTTCTGAGCAGGACAGAGCATATCTGTAACAGTGTCCAGGAACAATATACCTTTGACGGAAGATGCTTATTGCCAGATTATTGGGATTTCTCCAAATATGAAAGACTTCGTCCTAGGTAGAGACGAGGTAGGAAATATAAAAAGCAATGATGGGTAAGACAGATAAACCAGGTCATACCCACTCTGGGGTGATGGACAGCTGAGGTTGGAGTGATGAGACTGAAAGGAGGAAGAGTCAGCTGAATGCTGGGTCAACAGCAGGGATGTGACCACCAGGTTCCACTATCAGTTACCTATGGCCTCCATATCTCTGGTTGGGGGCATGAGAGTTTGTAAAGTAATTACGGTAGAGCTGCCACTGCCCTGGATAAGAGAGCTGGGGAGACAGACCCAACTTACATCAAGAGAATAGGTCAGAGGATGGGATCCAGCATACTGATCTCTTCTCCCTGCCTCTTTATCTCGTTTTATAACCTTTTTCTTTTTTTTTTTTTAAATTGAGACGGAGTCTCGCTCTGTCGCCCAGGCTGGAGTGCGGTGGCATGATCTCAGCTCACTGCAACCTCCGCCTTCCAGGTTCAAGCGATTCTCCTGCCTCAGCCTCCCAAGTAGCTGGGACTACAGGTGCACACCACCACACACAGCTAATTTTTGTATTTTTAGTAGAGATGGCATTTCACCATTCTGGCCAGGCTAGTCTTGAACTACTGACCTCAGGTGAGCCACCCACCTTGGCCTCCCAAAGTGCTGGGATTACAGACGTGAGTTTTCACTTTGTGGGGGATTGTTGGTATACGTACTGAATTCCTAAATAAAGAAGGACAATAAAATAGCAATAGCAAGCATTGAGCTTTCCATTGAAGTCCTATCTTGCACAGACAGCGTCACAGGCCACTTCACACTCTCTGTCAAGTTTTTTGGGGACCAAGGAAAACTATGTGGAACTTCCACTTTGCTCTCATGAGGTTGTAAATCACTAGTTAATTACATTGGTAACCTCATCTTGCCCTACTGTGTAAGTTTTACGCGTGCATGCTCATGCTCTCTTTTTGTGTATCTTCCTGCCAATGCCTGAGCTTCCTCAAGTACTACACACATTCTAGTTTCTCTTTGATTTGGATACAGAGAGGGAACAGCACCTTCTCTCCACAGCACATCACCAAGCTCTTAACCCTCTCTTCTTCCCATCATCAGGTCTAGTCCCACTAAGAGAGCTCCACGATTACTGTCTGTTTTGCAATGAAATAAGAATGAAAGAGCCAGGATAGCAGGCCCAGCATCAATGCTGAGAAGGACCTCAATGAACCAGTCCTTGGCTGTGTCAGTTTTCTTCCTCATTACTATGACCTTACTCTTCCCACCCTGGACGAAATCTTCACCTTTGTATAACTCTGATTCCAGGGGGAATTTATCAGTGACACCAAGTGCAAGGAATCTCTTACCAGATGCCAAAAGATCATTGATGAGCACAAGGAACCTCTCATCAGCCACTTGGGCATCAGTCATGAGAAACACTGTGTTGAGATTCTTCACTCCAGCTTTCAGACACAGGCTGGCCAGGTCCATCTGTAGGAATGGTCAATATCAGAAATCTCTGAAAAGAAGGCCTCCTTGAAAGAGAACTCCAACCCATTCTTTAGAAATGGAACCGTTTTCTTCTCTGCTTGAATGGGAATTAAAGTAAGGTGACAATGGGAAGCTGGGGGAGGGCTATCTTGCACTGACAGGCAGGAAACTATGCCTCATTCCCAGGCTTTGGTGCCAATAAAGGTGGGCAAGAGAAATTACATAGCAATGGCCTCTAATTCATACAACCATGCTAGCTCCTGTACCTCTCTTACACTGATTTAGAAATTAGGCTTTAGGGTAAAGCTTCTGGAGCTCCTGCTTTGTGCAAAGAGGTTACAGCTTTCCAAAGCCCAAAGGTGGTCCCCCATTTATCTGTCTTACACATATATAAGACTCATACAAGTGTCTTACTTATATGCAAGTCTTATATGTAAGACTTACATACTTATATGGAAGACTTACTTACGTATATGGAAGACTTACTTACATATAAGTAAGTATGTCTTACGTCTTACTTATATGTAAGACTCAAACAACTGAATGACCTGCTCCTGAAGGCAAGCCATTGCTCTTGGTCTTGACTGAGAGTGAGGTACTTGGGGCTACCAGCATGGCGGATGAATATATCTTATGCTAGCAGGGTCTTGTAGTTTTTATTTTTTATTTTTTATTTTTTGAGATGGATTCTCGCTCTGTCACCCAGGCTGGAGTGCAGTGGCACCATCTCGGCTCACTGCAAGCTCCGCCTCTCGGGTTCAAGGGATTCTCCTGCCTCAGCCTCCCAAGTAGCTGCATCTACAGGTGCGTGCCACAACGCCCGGCTAATTTTTTGTATTTTTGTTGTAGAGATGGGGTTTCACCATGTTAGCCAGGATGGTTTCGATCTCCTGACCTCGTGATCCACTCCCCTCAGCCTCCCAAAGTGCTGGGATTACAGGCATGAGCCACTGTGCCCAGCCTCTTGTGTTCTTATGACTAGCTCCAGCAAAACACTTATGTTGAAAAAAATATACTGGGGCAACACACACACACACATACACAAATGCAATCACCTGTAGGAAATTATATACATTGAAAACTGCAGATGGATGACATTTTGGGCTAGGATGCCAAGTTCTGAACTTATCCAGCTTGATCAATCTCAGTTCCTTTGGTGTATCAACCTCCCCAAGCTCAGCCATCAGTTCTTGATGTTGCCTTTCTCTCTCTCTCACATTACTCACAGCTATTTCTAACAACTCCACTCATTTCTTTACCACAGAGCTACCTTAGTGTCCAAATAGCTCCCCTTTAAATATACTGATTTTTGTTTTAGATCAATGGTTCTCATCGCATCCTCTAAGTGATCTAAGACAGTGTTTCTCAGTTCTCATTGGAATCATCTTGGGGATGCTTTGAAAAATCGTGATGCCCAGGCCATTCCCCAGACTAGTTAAACCAGAATACTGGGGAGTGGGACACAGGCATCAGTATTCTTTCTAGATCCCCAGCGATTCCCATATAGAGTAAAAGTTGAGACCCACAGTCTCAGCTCATTCTGTAAATGTGTAATTCCTATCACACTATCATGTCTTTTTTGGAAGCACTAAAGAAAGACCTAATACGAACTTGATGTATGACCTTAGATTCAGCCAGTCGTCGAGAGGCTGGGCTGTGGTTTTAGAGCAGAAGTGAGCACCTCCCTCTTCTGTCACTGGCTGAGAGATTATGAGGGCAAGTGGGTAGGACTGGCTCAGTGCTGGCTGGAGTTCTTCCAGGAAGAGCAAGAGCAGCCTCCTGATAGAAGTTACACCGTGACTTCCTACCAAGACTGTTGTGGCCATGGATAAAACAAAGCGGACTGGACACAATGACCTTTGAAGGTTGTATATAGTGTCTTTCTTTACTTTCCAGAGTACTCATCCAGCCTCCAAGTGCTGGCTGTCTGAAACCAGGATATGTCACTGAAGGTCCCAGAGGCCAGTGGTTACTGACCCGTCTTTTAAAATCTGAATTTCTTAGGAAACTCAAGCAGACCTTCAGAATTCCATCTGTCTGCTCCCACTGCCAGTGAGCTGTGTGCTGAATTTGATACAGATGTGCTTCTGATTTGAGCAAGAGTGGAGGCCCCACAGACGTAACTAGGACGCCTGAGGTCTCCCAAAGGCAGACTTTGGAAATGCCACTGTTCTCAGGCTGAGTCTAATGAGAAGTCATTCACATCACCAGCCCAGAACCTAAGACAGAAATGGACAGACATTGAAGGGGAGGCTCCAGACAGGGGAACTGGAGAACGAGTGAAGGATGATGGAACTGTGGCTGGTTGGAGGGAAGCTGAGCCTCCTCCCTGCAGCTGCCTGACCTTTTACCTTGAAGTCCTGGATCTGGTAGCCTTTGCGCAGTGTGATCTGGAAGACATCCATGGAGCTGATGAAAGCTGCCAGCCTTGTCAGGCTCTGCTTGCCGCTCCCACCTACACCAACCAGCAGAGCATTTCCCCGCGGGGACTCCAAGATGCGATTGATATGGCAGCTAAAGAGAAGGAAGCAGGCACATGTTGCTTTGATCAGACTTTCTGCAGTCAGAAGCATGTATAAAGGCTTGAGTGGGAGCAGGGGCCTTCCTTGGAGGCACGTCACAGGCTGAGCTGTGGGAAACGTTTATTAGATTGTCCCTAAACCTGGCCTCACCTTCTTGCCCGAGCTGACTGAAGCTGCCATTGCTTTGCCTTAAGCCACAGCCTCTAGTGAACTAGGGACAGCCTGGGGGAGCCCATGGAAGGGAGCAGGATTGCAGGGGATGAGTGATGCGATAGGGAAGGGACTCAGGATTGCTTTTGCTCTTCTCCGCACCATAACTGACCCTGCCACACCTCCCACTTCAATTCTTTTGGGCAAGAAGAGGGGACGGAAAAAGCGAAACAGTTGAAAACACACAATTTAAAAAATTCAGGAAAGGCTGGAGGACAAGGCAGGAGCAGAAGTTGGTTCCTCTTAGGAAAGAAGAGAAGCCAAACCAAAGTCAGCAGGAGAGAAACAGGGAGCCCGGACAGAACTCTTCTGTCTCCCTTCTTCAATCCTTCCTGGGCGTGGATGACCCTGTAATGAAGGTTTGTGGGTTCTTATTATCAATAGGTAAGACAGCTGCATCCCTGGCTTCTGGATTCCTCCCTTCACAGCCTTACTGCTCACCGCTCTCAGTGCCCATATTCCTCTCTCCTTGCCCCCTTCCTTGCAATGGAAGACTATTCCAGACCTCATCTTCTTCAGAGGAAACCACTCTTCCTGCCCTCCAGCCCTTCCTCAAAGGCCACCCTCCATCAGCCTCTCCTCCAGGATCCGCTTCCAATCGTATGTCTAACCCCTCTCAGCAGTATGCATATACCTTATGCAAGGTGCTACACCCTTTATAAAAAGAACCCTGATTTTCTCCTTTTCTCATCTTTAAAACAATGGCTCTGCATTGTACAAAATGCGTACAATACAGAAAAAAATCCACAGTTCTACTATTTAGCAATAAACACTACTGATGTGAATTATAGGCCCTTCTAGACTTTTTTCTAGTGTTTGTCTGCATTTTTATAAATATATATGTACATACATTGTTTGTACCTGAAAAGTCAATATATTTCTGTTATGTGTATTTTAAAAATTGAGTTCATGTTGTATACTGAACACAGTCTTTTGAAAACTTTTTTTTTTCATTTAGCAATATACTGTGATTGTTTCCCTAAGCCATTAAAAATTCAGCTAAACCAGACTTTTGATGGTAGAATGGTATTGTGTAGAATACCAACATTGTGTTGGTAATAAGGATAGAATAAATTGCCTGTCTGTAATAGCCTGCTCTTGGATATGTATGTTGCTTCCAACATTTTCCATTTATAAATAACACTGTATATATTTTTTAAGTTTATATCTCTGATTATATCCTCAGGATAAGTTCTAGAAGTAAAACTGTTGAGCCAAACAGTAAGACAGTCTTTAGAGACTGCCGCGCAGAATGACGGCACCGACATGTACTTTTCCTGGGTAGAATTGATCAAAAGGTGGATCTGCTATATTGGAGGATTTGAATATACTGGATGTGTTAGTTGAATTAGGATGTGTTAAGTCAGCAAATTCAGGGCTACGTAACACAGTGATCAAGCTGCTTTAGAGAAATGTTTTTGGAAGAAGAGACAACAGGTATTGGTGATTTGGGGACCAAAAGAGTGTGAGAATAGGAACTCGGGCTGGGAGCGGTGGCTCACATCTGTAATCCCAGCACTTTGGGAGGCTGAGGCAGGAGGATCACCTGAGGGCAGGAGTTTGAGACGAGCCTGGGAAACATGGTGAAACCCCATCTGGAGAGGGTTCAAGATTTCAGTCTGGATGCGTGAAACATTTGTAGCAATAAAAAGTTCTTTGGAGCCCAGGTGTGGTGGCTCATGCCTGTAATCCCAGCACTTTGGGAAGCCAAGGTGGGGGGATCACCTGAGGTTAGGAGTTCGAGACCAGCCTGGCCAACATGGTGAAACCCTGTGTCCACAAAAACACAAAAATTAGCAGGCATGGTGGTGAGTGCTTGTAATCCCACCTGCTAGGGCAGCTGAGGCAGGAGTATCTCTTGATCATAGGAGGCGGAGGTTACAGGTTACAGTGAGCCAAGATCGCTCCACTGCACTCCAGTCTGGATGATAGAGAGAGACTCCATCTCAAAAAAAAAAAAAAAAAAAAAAAAAAAAAAAAAAAAAAAAAAGAACTCGGGTAAAGTTTGGCCAAATAGAGTAGAGGATACGTTTGAGATTGAATTGCATGGGCTACAATCCTGTGCTCCTGTCTGTGTTAATGATGTTATAATTAGAAATGCCATATTCAAATTAAGTAGGGTGGAGCAACATAAGGTCTAGCTAGCTCCAGTTTGGAAGAAACTCTGGACACGGGTTTTGGTGGGTGGGGTTCAACGCATGAACAACATGTGAGTGTATATAAAGTTACAGAGCTTGTGTTGAGCCTCTGTGGTTTGAAGTTTCTTATTTCTGCAAATTTCTTGCATGTACTGATGACCTGTTCACAATTAACATAAATAAACTAAACGTTTGTTGTTCCTCATTGCCCCATGTCTCCTGTGGGGTGCGCTTGCTGCTCTGAAATCTTGCTAGCAGTGTGTAGGAGTCTGGCCCCCAACCCTTGTTGACACTGAATCTTACATCTAATTTTTTTTTTTTTGAGACAGAGCCTTGCTTTCTCGCCCAGGCTGGAGTGTAATGGTGGGATCTCAGCTCACTGTAACCTCTGCCTCCCAGGTTCAAGGAATTCTCCTGCTTCAGCCTCCCGAGTAGCGAGTAGCGGAGATTACATTTGCATGCCACCACTCCTGGCCCCCAAAGAACTTTTTTTTTTTTTTTTGAGACAGAGTCTCGCTCTGTCGTCCAGGCTGGAGTACAGTGGCGCGATCTCGGCTCACTGCAAGCTCCGCCTTCTGGGTTCACGCCATTCCCCTTCCTCAGCCTCCCGAGTAGCTGGGACTACAGGTGCCTGCCACCACGCTCGGCTAATTTTTTGTTTTTTTAGTAGAGATGGGGTTTCACCAGGTTAGCCAGGATGGACTCGATCTCCTGACCTTGTGATCCACCCGCCAGGCCTCCCTCCCTGGGATTACAGGCGTGAGCCACCGCACCTGGCCAATCTTTGCCAATTTAATGGTGGAAAAATTACTGTTTTTATTTTTATTTATTTGGTTTCTAGGGAATTGAACATTTTTAAATGTTTATGAAGCATTTTATTATTTTTGTTTTGTAAACTTTCTGTTCATGCCCATTGCCTGCTTTTCAACTGAAGTGTTTCTCTCAATTTGTGAAACCCTTTTATGTATGTTTTCAATTATCCTCCAATTTCTCACCTTTATCTTCCAGTTTTTTAAAGATGTTTCAGATATACAAATATTTTTAGGTCTTAAAGTTGGATGTGGTTAACTACTAAATTTTATGTAGTTAAAATGTTTTGACTTAAATATTCAGGAGTTATTTATTGACCTACATTCAGTAATTTTATGATTTTACTTTTCCACTTTAATTATTTAATTGTGAAACTTATACTGTCTTATATCAGATAGATTTACACTTCTCTTGCTTTCCTATGAAACTGTAATTTCTAGATGTCTGAAGAGTACATATACTCATTTTGTATTCTCTGCAGTGACAGCACATTGAAGGTATCTAATACATTTTTGTTAAATTTAAACAGAACAACCCATGCCTTATATGAGCTCCACATTTGGGGTGATGTACGCAATGATTCATTACGCTGGGTGCAAGGGGTTATCTGCTTTGTGTCTGCATGAGATGGTGCCTGATGAAGGGAGAAGCCATGGTGCTAAGATACCCAGCCTCTCTCTCCTGATTCAGAAAAGTTGGGGCAGGAAAGGATTAGTGGAGGAAAGAGAGAGGCAGGCATGGAGGAGGAGTCAGAGGAGTTGGAGTCCAGCTGGGTTCTCTGGGTCACCCAACCCCCCAGCCCTATTCTGAAGGCCTGAACTCAGCTTAGCATGGCCCATGCCATTCAATATCTCAATGGGAAATGCATCGTTTGTGATGAAGTTTCCAGAGAAGTGTGGTTAAGTCTGCAACCGTCAGCACCGGACTCCAGCTGGGGATTCATTACCAACCTCTGATGAGGGCAAAGAACTCTGCATTTAAATTACAAAATTTAAAAAGAAGATCAATATTCTAAAGTGCTCCTGGGCCAGAAAACCAAGGCAGTCTAAGTTAAGTCCATTACTGAATTTCTGAGAGATTAAAAACAAAAGCTGAAGATGCACCATCGCACAGCTGGAGGAAGTTGATTTATTGGACTAGACACGCATGTGCGTGTGTGCGAGCGCACACACACACACACACACACCCCTAGAGAATGGGTAAGATTCTCAGGGCACAAAAGAAGTACATCTGAGGGTTTGTCGTTGTTGTTGTTAATGATTGCTAAGTGATTCTAAGAGAAGAAAATATATGTGGGAGTGAAAAACAAAGAGACAGAAAAAGATGAATGGAGATGATGCCAAAAGCGGGGGAAAAGATCTGGTTTAAAGCTTGAAGAAAAAGCAGAACAAGAATCTGCTGAAGTGGTGACGAAAGTCAGTAGAAAAGTGGTACTACTAAGGAAATAAGGCAATAGCACAAAGAAAAAAGACTTTCATATTTACTGACTGCAAAGCACTTTGCATAGATAGCAACAACCCTACGATGCAGGCATTCTTAATATCCTAATTTCCCAGGTGAGGATATTTAGGCTTGGGGGTTAAGCATCCTTCCCAAAGCATCCCAACCAATTTGTGGCAGAACAAGGATTTGAACTTTGGTTTGGTTTTTGTCCATAACCACTACACAGTGCTCTGTTACTGAGTTCAGCATCAAAACTGCAGAAAGGGAGAGCAGCAAAGCTGGGGAAGGGTGTAGGGGACTCTAACTAAAAAGAAAGATGATGCGAGCTCGAGTGGTGAGAACAAACAGCTGGATGGAGTTATTATAAAAATAGGTTCTCGCCTTGGATCCCTGGACCTGTGAGTTCCTGGGAGGGCACACACACAGTCTCCTTCCTCGTCTGCTCTGTCCTACTCCCACTTTTTTTTTTTTTTTGTCTGTGTGTTTTCTTGAGATGGAGTTTCACTCTTGTTGCTCAGGCTGGAATGCAGCGGCACGATCTTGGCTCCCTGCAACTTCCACCTCCTGGGTTCAAGTGATTCTCCTGCTTCAGCCTCCTGAGTAGCTGGGATTACAGGTGTCTGCCACCATGCCTGGCTAAGTTTTTTGGTATTTTTAGTAGAGATGGGGTTTCACCGTGTTGGCCAGGCTAGTCTCGAACTCCTGAACTCAGGTGATCCATCCCGCCTTGGTCTCCCAAAGTGCTGGGATTACAGGTGTGAGCCACCATGCCCACCCTACTCCCACTTTGCGTCTCAGAAGGTGGTACCTTTCTGGAGTGCTGTGTGTGTAGCGATGTGAGGCCATAGAGTCTTCCCACACTCTTAGGTTATCTGTGTTTCTCCCTTTACTGCCTGGTATCCTTTTTCTGATCTAAGAAGGGGAATCCTTCTGCTTTATTGGTTGGTAGAGGCAGCAACGAGAGGTCCATGAGCCCCAGGGAAGGGAGGGAATGGCAGAGCGAGGATAAAGTAACGGGTGGTTGATGTCTTTAAACAAATGTATGGGAAATTATACAACTAAATACATTTTATTCTTCAGAATTGTCCCCTTCCAGGCAGTTCATTTTCCCAGTTATTTTGCCATTGCTAAATGAGGCTCAGGCTTCTCTTTGGATACTAACTTCAGAGTTTGTTTATAAGCCTATGGAAGAAAGCCAGTGTTTGTAGCCAGTACTTATTATTTTTTTTTTCTAAAAACAATATTAGTTTGATCACCCATGTTGGAAGCCACATTGATGGAATCACTTACAATTTTTTCAAATTAAATTCGCCCTTAAAGGACAAAGACTTGCCTCAATTCCAAGACTATGACAGACATACTGGTGGCTCTTCAGGAGAAGAGAGAATACTCACTGGAGCTTCATAAGGTTGAATTTTTTTTTTCTTTTTTGAGATGGAGTTTCACTCTTGTTGCCCAGGCTGGAGTGCAATGGCACAACCTTGGCTCACTGCAACCGCTGCCTCCCGGGTTCAAGCGATTCTCCTGCCTCAGCCTCCCGAGTATCTGGGATTTCAGGTGCACGCTGCCACCATGCCCAGCTAATTTGTATTTTTAGTAGAGACGGGGTTTCACCATGTTGGTCAGGCTGGCCTCAAACTCCTGACCTCAGGTGATCCACCCGCATCGGCCTCCCAAAGTGCTGGGATTACAGGCATGAGCCACGGTGCCCGGCAGGTTGAACTTTTAATGCCTCATTTCCTGAACCCTACTATGCACTAGGCATTGTCTAAGATACTAAGGTTTCAGCAGTGAGCAAGACAGTCTGTGTGCTCAAGGAGCTCACATCAGATTAGGGGGATACAAAAAAATATTTGAAGAAGCTTCATAGGATGATGGTATAGAGCACAGACTCTGGAGCCAGATTGCACTATTGCAAGTTCTACCTATTTATGAGGAGTGTGACCTTAGGCAACTTCTCTCCTCTCAGTCTCAGTTTCCTCATTTATAATATAGAGACAATAACAAAACTTTACTTCTTCAGGGTTTTTGTGAAAACTAAATGCAATGATATATGCAAAGCACTATGCACAAGGCACACAGAGAGTTCTATGTTGAGCTACATGTCGTTTTAAATGCTACCCTCTCAGGGAGGCCTTCCTGATGACCCTAGTTATAATTAGGATCACCCTCAGTCCTCTCTACTCCCCTTCCCTCTCTGTTTTCCTCTGCATGATTTAGTCTCATATAACATGCTAAGCAGTTTTACTGAGCACCTGCTAGGTTCCACACAGTGTCCTAGAGGTTAGGATCCCGGCACTTATCCTAAGATTATCTAATCAATAAATATATGTTGGATGAGTGGATGATGCAAACAGACAGAGGTTAATCATTGACCACAGGGGCGTCATGTAATATAGGCGAGGACTTAGCAGTGAAAACTGACTTCAGCAAGACGTGTGGTCACCTCACTACAGAGGTGACAATGATAAGCACTGCTTTGTTCAAGGGCTAAGAAGTGGGCAGAGAAGGAAATCAGAAGTGAGAAAGTAAGACAAAGATGGGCAACGTTTTGGATGAGTGTCGTTGCGGATAGGAGCGGAGAAATGGGGGTAGTAGATGGAAAGGAATGTAAGAGGCAAGGAATAGTTTATTATTTTTTGATAAATGATAACATAGCATGTTTGTATGCTGATGCATATAATCCAGAAATTAATGATGGGGTAAGATAAAAGAGGGGAGAGAGAAAATAGGAGAGGGAGAAGGAGAGAGAGAGAGAGGAGATAATTACAGCGAGAGGTGAAGTCACCGAGAAGGTGAGAGGAGGTGGGATCCAGGGCGCAGGTGTAGGGACTAGACTTAGATAGGGATAGGGGTGTTCATGAACTGAAGTTGTAGGGAAGGCAGGACTTGTGGGAGGGATGCAGGGATACACATAGGCTGTTAGATTTGATGACGGGAAGACGCGAGATTCTCTTCTTGTCACTTTCATTATCCCAGTGAAATAAGAGATGTTCTTATTAACTGGGAATAAGGCGCTGGGAGTTTGAAAAGAGAAGGAAAATGTGTAATGCAGTTATCACGGGATGGTGAAAGAAGCAACATGCTTAGGGTAGAGGAGGACAATTTCTAGCAATGTTGAGACCTGTTTGATATTTATGGATGCAGATCTGGAGCAAAAACAATCAACATGGTGGGATATTTTTCCTCAACAGTATCTAGCTGCTTAGGGGCACGGGTAGAGTAAGAAGATAGTGGGGGCTGGGCGCAGTGGCTCAGGCCTGTAATCCCAGCACTTTGGGAGTCCAAGGCGGGTGGATCACCTTAGGTCAGGAGTTTGAGACCAGCCTGGCCAACATCGTTTAACCCTGTCTCTATTAAAAACACAAAAAATTAGCCAGGCCTGGTGGTGGGCACCTGTAATCCCAGCTACTTCAGAGGCTGAGGCAGAATGGCTTGAACCTGGGAGGTGGAGGCTGCAGTGAGCTGAGATCGCACCACTGCACTTCAGCCTGGGTGACAGAGTGAGACTCCCTCTCAAAACAACAACAACAAAAAAAGACAGTGCGGTCTAGCCCGAGTGAGATTTTGTGGATACAATGACAAGAAAGTTAGGGGAGCTGGCACTGGGGTGATGGGGTCTATGGTGGTTAAAAAGGAAAGTAAGGAGAATCGCTTGAACCCAGGAGGCAGAGTTTGCAAGGAGCTGAGATCACGCCACTGCACTCCAGCTTGGGCGACAGAGTGAGACTCCGTCTCAAAAAGCAATAAAATAAAATAAAATAAAATTTTTAAAAAGGGAAAGTAAAGACATGGTAGGGGGAGAGATAACGGATAACTACTTCTGGGGAAGTAGTTGGTCCAATGAATGAAGTCTTGAAGTTGAATGAAAGACCAGAGCAGATAAGTGGGAGGGTGGCAGGTACAGGTCAGAAAGTGGGATGTTTGAAGTTGGGATTTTGAAGGTGGGTTCCTATTATAGGAACATGAAAGTGAGAACTGAGGTGGGCTAGAAGAAAAGACCATGGGAGCCAAGCAAGCCAAGGAACAGAAAGGATTATTAGCTAGATGCCAAGAGTGAGTCGAGACATGGGTGAGGAGGAAGGGTGCCCAGGGACTAAGGCCATTAGCGGATGATGGGGAGTGATTGACTGTCAGCAGATAACAGTGACAAGGAGGAAGAATGAGTAGGAAAGGCAGGTGACTTGTGTTCAAAAGAACTGGGGTTTTGAAGGGTAAGAGAAGAAAGGACTTAAATGTGCCATTGGGGTGGGGGACTGGGGGTAAGGAGGTTACTTACTCCTCTCTAGGCCCTGGGGCACATAGAATGGGGAAGAAAAAACAGCTTTCCTCCACTCAGGGGTCAGTCAGGTATCAGTTAGAATTTGGCAGTAAAGGGAAAGTTCAAAGAAGTTGAAATGAAGCAGATATTGTTGCTAAGACCGTGAGTACCCTGGGGGAAGGCGGAAGGATTTTGGAGGGCAGTGAGCGCTGGCAATGGGTCTCAGATTGGGAAATGTAAGAAGCAGGGTAGGGATGGTGTTGGTGTGAGGCTAGACTGTCTTGGAGGCTTGGTTATTACTTTCAGTGATTCACTAGATAGCAAAAACACTAAAAGGATATTTAATTTTTGAAATATGTATGCACTTGAATACAAACCCTCTATCTCTCTCTCTCTCTCTCTCTTTTTTTTTTTTTTTTTTTTTTTTTTGAGGCAGAGTCTTGCTCTGTCGCCCAGGCTGGAGTGCAGTGGCGCCATCTTGGCCCACTGCAACCTGGGCCTCCCAGGTTCAAGCGATTCTCTTGCCTCAGCCTCTGGAGTAGCTGGGATGATAGGCACGTGCCACCACGCCTGGCTAATTTTTTTATATTTTTAGTAGAGATGGGGTTTCACCGTGTTAGCCAGGATGGTCTTGATCTCCTGACCTCGTGATCTGCCCGCCTCGGCCTCCAAAGTGCTGGGATTACAGGCATGAGTCATCCTGTCCAGCCTATCTCATTTTTTTAAATGGCCCTTGGACTAATAACAAGGTGGTGATGGAGGTCCTGAGCTGTTCTGGGTCCCATTTTATGATCTCAAGTCTGTTCTTGCTGTCACTGTGATTATGCCCGGGATAGCAAATGGCGGACCTGGAAATGAACCCATTCCTGCCTGAGCTCCGCACTGTGCTGCCCCCTAGGGTCTGCGGCAGGAGCTGCAGCTGCTCTGCCAGCAGCCATCTTGACTTTTAAGGCAGAAGCCGGAGCTCCTTACCTGGCTTTACGGAAGTGACCTCAAATAGCCGAATGAGACCCCTGTCATTGGGAAGAGGAAGCAACTGAGGAAAAGGAAGAGGAGAAGCACACTTACACATGGCGCATGGCATCCTCAAAGAGAACTAGGTCCATCACTGTGTTGACTTCATTGTGGTTCTCCAAGGCCTCCACCAGAGTCTGGGTCAAAAGTTCCCAAGACTGTACAGGCATGTATTTGGGCTCCCCAATACCATTTGCAAAGTGACAATACAGGTTCGGGCTTTGGGTCTGCTCCACAGGGTCTTCAATATCCTGGTGATGAGACACAGGAATAAGGGCCCTCATTATTGACTTCTGGGGCTGGTTCCACAGAGCAGAGACACCTGATTTGCTCTGCACATTCCCTGGAAATTAGGCATCAGTGCTACTTCCAACATGCCCTTCTCTTGAGAAGCCCTTTTAAGTGGATGCTTAACATCCATCTACCAGCTCCATGAAGTCTCAGGTGATGTTTGTTATTCCTTAAGGACTGAGGATGGGAAGTGGGAGGTGGGATGGGGCCTCCTCACAAGCACGGTAAGAGAGTGCTTCTGTGAGAAGAATGGATGGGGATGGATGGGTGGATTTCTCTAAGTGGGGGCTCTTTCACCAGTATTGAATGAAGGGGATCGTGGCCCAATCGCCTCACTTTCTGCATGTACATTCCAACAGATCTAGGTCCTCAATCTGCAGCAAAGCCATCCAACATCTTTTCCTGTGAGATTACACAAGTATGTTGCCAGCCCTGAATTCATAGGTTCAGTCCAGAGGGCTTGGTTTCTGAAGAATGCGCTACTAGCCACCCTCAGGTGACTGGTTTATTTATGGTAATCTTAACGCATTTATGGTAGAACTCCCTACTTACAACACTTTCGGGCTGTGTGTCAAATCTCACCCATAGGAGAAATGTTACCATGTTGAATAAATACGGGCTGGTTATAGTATAGTATAACTCAATTCATTTGAAGGATAAGGAGTCTGCGTCTCTTCACCAATATATCTCTAAGTACTGAAGAGAAGACCAATTTTTTAACTTTCATGTTAGTGGAGACAAAAAGGAACTACTTGCCTGTCAAAACCCAAATACCTGAGACTTGAGATAGAGGAAAGGTTGTCGAGGAGAAAAGTCCGAGAAAGAATAGGCTTTCTAAGACACAAATAGGAAGTTATGCCAGCATGAGCAGTTGTCCGCACCTGTCGTTTTTTCCTCCTAAAGTTCAGACTGGAAGACCTACCTGGGAAAGAGGTAACCAGTGTGTTATTTATCAGCAGGGACACGTCCCAGGGCATAAGTCACTGCAGGGTAAGCCTTGTAACCTATGGGATGAGATTCACCAAACCTAATATAGGGAAAGTGAGGAAGACAGTAACATCTATAGAGAAACCAGGGCTGCTGCCTGGGTGTAAGAAGAAAGGACTGGAAAGAGTTAAAAATAAAAAAGTTATTAGATTTTGAAGGTGATTTCAAAAACTATAGAAAACTTTTAAACTATTCTGGCTTTGCCAGACAATAACAAAAATGCTCAGACATTTGGATAAGATGTAAGCGCAGTGCAGGAGGACTATTCTTGCTATTAGGAAAACACATGAGGATGGAGGATGTAATGTGGGAAGACATTTACCCTGTTTGAGAATGGGCTAATGTCCTGGGAATCAGTTCTCATATTAGTCAATTGACAAAAACCATCTAGCGGAGGAGGAACTAAAGTGCAGTTTTGAAAAGGCTGGTTTACAAAGACTCTTTGAGGAACAAAACAAGTCTGTGATTTTATGATCAGAGCCATGCTGTGTAGAAGGCAGAGAGAAAATCAACCAACTCAGTGAATCAAAGATTCCTTAATAGTGATGCCAAATCACACAGGGCCATGAATCAGAGAAGCTTAAGCTTTGAATAGTGGAAACAGGATTTTATTGCTTTGTTGGTGAAAATCTGGCAACTTTTCCTTGATACCAATACCAAGATGTGGTGTGACCAAGGGTGCTTCAGGCTGGCATTTCAAATGTTGTTGGGGAAGGATAATGGCAATATTCATATATCTGGGTCTGTGATCAAAAGGCAGTGCTCTTCATACACAGACCCACACATGGAACTCTATTTGAAAGTTCAAGTGTTATTACTCTGAAGTGCTAGCTCAGACCGACTTGTAAAGACCATGAAGACTAATTTGCCAGGCCAACAATGAATACCTGAATTGGGTAACTCTATGATGCTCAGAGAAGGGCATCTAACATGAGGGTCTCAAACATCAGGCCCCAATAACAATGCTGAGAGAAGTGGGAGAATTTAGGACAGCTGGCTTAGTAAAAAGCAGAATAAAATAAGTGACTTAAAATGCTGTCTAAACATTCAAAAGGCTGTCACATAGGTTGGGATGGACTGCAGATATCTTCAGAGGTAGAGTCAAGATCTTACCAGGAAAAAAATACGGAGCTAAACCAAACAAGGTGAGTATGAGGACAACATAGCATACCTAAATACAAAATTTGAATATTTCTAATTTCCAGAGGGAACAGACAAGCAGTATGTGTGGAAAAGATGGGGCTTTGGTTAATAGAAGGCTCATTGTTAACTGTGGGGTAATTTCGACGCTAAGAAATAGAATACGATCTCAGGTTGTGCTACTATATCAATGCCTCCCAAGGCATAATCCATGGGCCATTCATTATGTAAATTATTAATAGGTTTAATGAGAGGAAAGAATTTTAGGGTCCAATACATTTGGGGAATGATATGTGAATTAGAGTTATTCAAGATTTCAGAACTTTAATGTCTTATATATATATATGTATTTTTTTATTATACTTTAAGTTCTAGGGTACATGTGCACAACATGCAGGTTTGTTACATATGTATACATGTGCCATGTTGGTGTGCTGCACCTATTAACTCATCATTTACATTAGTTATATCTCCTAATGCTATCCCTTCTCCCTCCCCCCACCCCACAACAGGCCCCTGTGTGTGATGTTCCCCTTCCTGTGTCCAAGTGCAGAACGTTAATGCCTTAAATCCACTGTGAATTTCCAAGAGAGTCATATACAGTGAAACATTTTCTCAACTCATTTCATGACAGAGACTCTTTTTCAAGAAGTATCTTGTAGCAAAACTACTTAGCAGGACACATTTTGGGAAACACAGAAACAAAACTATAGTCTTTAAGAAAAGGGGGAATGATGATCTTGGTTTTGGTCAGACCCCAGCTGGGTTGTGCAACGAAAAGTCAGGCATCACAATTTCAGAGGGGAGAACTGGTGAGAGAGCAATCAGGAGGATGTCAGAGTTCTTTAAGTTTGAAACCAATCCATGTCAGAAATGGTTAAAAGGATTCAGGCTATTTCGCCTGGAGAAGAGAAGACTCAGGAAGAGTGAGATAAGTGGCATTAAAATATTTGAGAGTTTGTCATGTAGACCTGGGTAGTGGACAGAGAAATAACTTCTAGATTATTATTAGACCAAATTTTCAGTCTTTAAAATTATTTCAAATGTTCCAAGTTTCAAAATTGCTCAGGCCGGGCTCAGTGGCTCACGCCTGTAATCCCAGCACTTTGGGAGGCCGAGGCGGGTGGATCACGAAGTCAGGAGATCGACCTCGGTGAAACCCTTGGTGAAACCCTCGGTGAAACAGTGAAACTCCGTCTCTACTAAAAATACAAAAAATTAGCCAGGTGTGGTGGCGGGTGCCTGTAGTCCCAGCTACTCGGGAGGCTGAGGCAGGAGAATGGCATGAACCTGGGAGGCGGAGCTTGCAGTGAGCCGAGATCGCGCCACTGCACTCCAGCCTGGGCGAAAGAGCAAGACTCTGTCTCAAAAAAAAAAAAAAAAAAAAAAAAAATTGCTCAAAATTTCCAGTTATTAGCAGCCCCAAAATGGCGGCCTTGGAAACAATGGGATGATGCATTTCAAGGATGCTAGAGCATCACTGGGGTAACCAATCTGAGAAATGCTGCTAGGGGACTAAGTACCATGTGGGGACTTGGATCAGATGATCTCTATGGACTTCTTCAACACTGGGATTCTGGGATTAATTTGCATCTATTCTTGCCCCAGCATTTTTTTACCTGGGCAAAATTATGACAGAATTTCCTTCCTCACCTAAACTCTGGCCTTTCTCCATTAAACAGCTAGATTTTATCATTGGGTGATCATCTGTATAATTATCTTTTTTTTTTTCAAATACAAAGAAAATCCATAGGGCAATACTCACATCAAAAGTTTTCTTGAGCACTTCTGTCTGGATTTTATCAAAAAGATCAAAGTCCTTTTCTTCTACCATCTTATCCCGATAAACTCGATTTGATTCATGCAGATAGAGCCTTATAAGATCCCATGTGGATTTCACACATTCCACTGAGGAGAAGAGAATGCCCTTCAAGGGGAACAGACACAAAAAAATAACGTTAATAACCATCCAGAGGTACAATAGCTAGGAAAACTTCCTGGAGCATTTTATCTAACCTGGGATGATGTCTAGGGCTTGTCTTGCTAAACAGATCATTCTAGTGGAGGGAACACTGAGAAGCTGAAAGGGAGCTTGTAAAGAAAGACCCAAGGGTTGCAGTTAGACAGACCTGACCTCAAATACTTGCACAACCACTATGTGACTTGTGACTTTGGGCAACCACTAAGCAACTGTGTGACTTTGGGCGAGGCATGTGACATCTCTGAGCCTTAGTTTGCTCACTTTTCAAAGTGGAATAAAAATACTGACTTTCTAAAGTTGTCTAAATAATTCAAATTAATATGCCTAAGGAAACAAGCATTGTTCATTTTACATACTCAATACATTGGAATTATTCTTTTGTGCTCATCATAAAAATAACAACTGCAACAGCTATAATTTATTGAAGCCAGTTATGTGGACTAGATGCTATTGAAGCCAGCATTGGACTAGATGCTTCGCCAGATGAAGCTCATTTAATACTCATGATGATCCCATGAAATAATTATTACTAAATCCATTTTGTATAATGTGAAGATTGGAATTCAGAGAGAAAACACGCCCCATTTCATAGAGTAAGTTGCCTTCCTAACTATAATGCCTGGAATTGTAACCACTCCATTTTGAATCACCCACAATGAGGGAAAAAGTGGTTTCTCTGCTATATTTCAATTCCACAGTGCCATTTTGAAAACTGATTCAGATAACAATTGACTATGTAAAATCAGAACTATAACAAAGGGCTAGAAGGGATATAGCTAACCTTGGCAGGTCAGCAATCTATTTATTTATCTCTAGTCAGTTCCCCTTCCTATGTGCCACAGGGTTGGTTTCAAATATTTATCATTCTTTTCAAATTTCTCTGTCATCTTTTTCTGTTACTATTAGCCAAAGTCCTAACCTTCTTTTATTTTACTGAAAGGTGGAGACCACCAATGTTAGAGCCCCTCAATAACCTCAACAAATTCTCTAAGTTCAAGCTCATCTATGTCTGTGCTTGTTCTCATTGCTTGCTTTCTTGTCTTAGAGGGAAAGGGATCATTTAATGGGTCTTTACTTAAATTCATAGAATAATGTGCAGATCCATTAACATAGAATACAAGTCTGGTGACAACATTACTACAATCTGCTTCCTCATGATCACTCTTTTCTTTTTGAGACGGAGTTTCGCTCTTGTTGCCCAGGCTGGAGTGCAACGGTGTGATCTTGGCTCACTGCAACCTCCGCCTCCCAGGTTCAAGCAATTCTCCTGCCTCAGCCTCCTGAGTAGCTGGGATTGCAGGCATGCGCCACCATGCCTGGCTAATTTTTAGTAGAGATGGGGTTTCTCATTGTTGGTCAGGCTGGTCTTGAACTCCCAACCTCAGGTGATCCACCCACCTCGGCCCCCCAGAGTGCTGGGATTACAGGCATGAGCCACTGTGCCCAGCCCCTCATGATCACTTTTACCACTACTTCCCATAAAACCTAGATTCCAGTTTCACAAAATTCCTATTATGTTCTGATCCTGCAAACTTTTCTGTGTCTTCATGCCTTTTGCTTTGCTTGCCATACTCATATTTCAAGATCTAGCTCAATTGAAACCTCTTGTTGAAGTCGCCCAAGACACCTCTCCTGTCCAGCGGCATTCCCTCCCATGTGCCTCACAGAGCCTTTATGTATACGTCTCGATTATAGAAGAATTATTAGTTTCCCAAATTATTTTTAATATTATTTTTGTGACAGAGTCTCACTTTTTGTCACCCAGACTGGAGTGCAGTGGTGCAATCTCGGCTCGCGGCAGCCTCCACCTCCCGGGTTCAAGCAATTCTCGTGCCTCAGCCTCCTGAACAGTTGGAATTATAGGCACGCACCACCACACCCAACTAATTTTTGTATTTTCAGTAGAGACCAGGTTTCGCCATATTGGCCAGGCTGGTCTTGAACTCCTGGCTTCAAGTGATCTGCCCACCTTGGTCTCCTAAAGTGCTGGATTACAGGCAAGAGCCACCTCACCCGTTGTCAAATTATTATTTTTTCTTTATACAGGTTTGCTTCTTCCGGGTGATGGCAAGTGTCTCAAAGGTAGGAAGTTGACAGACTTTATTTAGGTTGTGGTTTATTTTTATAATTGTATTATTAGTACTTAGTAAGTGATAAGTCTAAAGGTAATTTCTCAACAGAAACAATAAAAGAAGCCTTCAAAGTGCTGAAAGAAAATAGCAACCAACCTAGAAATCCAAGACACTCCTAAAATTTTTTAAAAATAAGAAATATATTTTTGGTCAAGTTAAAATTGTGAGATACTTCTCCAACAGATATGAACTAAAGTAAATACTAAAAGGAGTTCTTCAAGCAGAATAAAAATGATCCCAGGTGAAAGAACAGGAATGTACAGGAATAAAGAGCAATGGAAAAGGTAACATATGGGTAACTCTAAAGGAATGCTGACTTACTAAAACACAGATATCAGTGAGTTTTCAAAATACAGAGAATTAAAATAAATGATAGCACAAAAATCAGTGAGAGGTAAATTGTCCCAAGATCCTTGCATTGTATGGCAATTAATAAATATGCTAATTTATAAAAGACAAAAAGATAAAATGATGCTTTTGGTAACCATTAGATGAATAGCAAAAGGATGTATACTATGCTAAAAGAGGGAGAACAATTATAAAAACATACGATTAGTTTGATAGAATACAAGAAGTGAGAAGAAAGGAGGTAGAATAGATAGAATATATTAAAAAGAGCATAAGTAGATTTAATCATAAATATATTATTATATAAAATAACATAGATGAGCTAAACATTGTAATTAAAAGGCAATGTTGTCAGGTGGGACTTTAAAGAACCCAACCGTATGCTGCTTATGGGAGATATACCTTAAATATAAGAATATGGAAAAGCTGAGTGCAAGAAAATGAAAACATGTCATAAAAATATTGACTAAAGATATGGAATAGTCATACATACTAATGTCATACAAAATTGACTTTAAAGCAAACATCGTTTTTAGAGATAAAGAAGGGCACTTAATAAGAAAAAGATCAGTCTGCTAGGAAGATATACTAATTCTAAATCTGTATGTACCTAATAAATAACACAGTTTCAAAATATATAAAGTGAATATGACAAATAAAAGCAAAAATAAACGTACCCACCATCACAGTGAAATATCGTAACATCTCTCTCAGGGACTGAAGGAACAAGCAGACAAATAAATCTAGAAATTTTAGGAATTTTTTAAACAACATGATTTACAAGGTTGCTTTAACTGGAATGTTGATAAAACTATACCCAATATCTGCAGAATGCATTAAAAAAAAACCCTGCACATCGATTATATCTTGGGACATAGAGCAGTCTCAACAAATTTCAAAGGAATAAATCCATATAGAGTGTCTTCTGACAACAGTGGAATTAAAGTAGGCATCAATAAGAGAAAGATAACTAGATAATCTCTAAATGTTTGAAAATAAAGCAATACACTTCTAAATATTCCGTGAGTCAAAGAAGAAATCATAGTGGAAATTAAATATTATCAACTGAATGATAATAAAAATACAGCATATAAAAGCTTGCATGATGTAGCTAATGGTGTGATTAGAGATAAATTTATATAGTCTTATAATGAATGTTTTAGATGAGACAAAGGATGACAATTAATGATATAAGTAGCCATGCCAAGAAGTTAGAAATAGAACAAACTAACCCCAAACCCAAGGTAAGTAGGAATAAAAATTATAAAGCAAAGAGAAAATATTAATAATATATAAAACAGATATCAAATTAAGACAGTAAGAAAGTCAAATGCATAATGCAGGTATACCCTTCAGGTTTTTTGACTAGCACAATTGCTAACTCCCTAGCAAGGATGATAGAAGAGAAAAAAAGAGAAAAGACACACTTAATACCCAACATAAGGAAGAGGACATAATGTCAGATACAGCAGATATTTAAAAGATAATCTGAGAATATTACAATTTTATGCCAATAAATTAGCAACTATTGATAACAAGGATGTCTTAACATGACTGACACATGAAGAAATAGACAATCTGAATAGTCTTATACATATTAAAGAATTTGAATTTATAATTTAAAACCTCTACCAAACAAACCTCCAGGTGGTTTCACCAGTAAATTCTTCCAACATTTAAGGAAAGCACAATACAATGTTTTACTAAATCTTTTAGAGAACAGAAAAAGAGGAAACACTTCTCAAAGTATTTTATGAGGACTTTATAACCTTAGAATATTAGAGAAAGATTACAAGACAATCTTATGAATACAGATTCAAAAATTATATTAAAAATTATCAAATGAAACCTAGGAAAATATTTAAAAAAGAGCATGTAACAACCAAAATGAGTTGATTCCAGGAATGGTTGATTTAATGTTTGAAAATAATCAATTAATTTATCATATTACCAGAATAGAAGAGAAAAACTTTATATAATTAAACAGATGGCAGAAAAATCATTTGTTAAGTTTCAACACATATTCATAATTAAAACTCTTAGCAAACTATACACAGAAAAATATTTCCTTAATCAGGTAAAAGGTACCCAGAAAAACCAGTAGAGAATATCATATTTAATGGCAAACTATTAAAAGTGTTTCCCTGTAAAATCACGACTGTGTCAAAATGCTACTCTCATTGCTTCTCTCCAACATTGTACTTGAGTTGTAGCCAGCACAATAAGACAAGAAAAAGAACTAAAAAAATTTAAGGATTGAAAAGAAAGAAACATAACTGTTACTCTTTAAGTCAAAAAGTAACAATTATTAAAAATAGAGATACACATATAATACTGAACAAAGATACAAAGTGATATTGGCTATACTATTTATATAAAGTTCAAAAATAGGTCAAAATAATTTATGATGTTAGAAGTTTAGACAATATGTAGGGCTGACAAGAGGAGGAAAGCAGGAAAGCATGAATGGAAGGTGCAAAGGAGAACATCAGGGATATATTGAGAATGTTTTCTTTCTTGATCTGAGTGGTGATTACATAGGTGAGATCCCTTTGTGATAATTAACCAAGTTGTATGCTTGTGGCTTTTGTGTATTTCTACTTGTATGTTACACTTTGATAAAAGTTTATTAAAAGCAAAAAGAAATTCCCTTAGGTCTCCTTGGCTCTACCCAGATGTTTATTGCAGCCTCTGTCTCCTTCTTAGCTCTCCTAGGTACCTGCCATATATGAAATTCAGAGGACAAGAAAAAGCAACAACCAGGAGTCCAGACCTTTAGAATTTTGTGTTTTACAGTGAGGCAAGCTATCAGTTGAAGTTTATAAATCTTGTTATAGCCAAATAGTCAGGGTGGTTGACAATTAAGGCTGAGTAAATGTGAGCATGTCATATGCCAACTCTGCACCATCTTAGATAGTTATGTGTTGCACTGAGATGGGAATGGTTAGTGATTTCTGCTACTCAGAGCATGTACTGGTCCGTTTTCATGCTGCTGATAAAGACATACCTGAGACTGGGAGGAAAAGGGGTTTCATTGGACTTACAGTTCCACATGACTGGGGAGGCCTCAGAACCACGGTGGGAGGCAAAAGGCACTTCTTACATGGTGGTGGCAAGAGAAAATGAGAAAGATGCAAAAGCGGAAACCCCTGATAAAATCATCAGATCTCGTGAGACTTACTCACTACCACAAGAACAGTATGGGAAAAACTGCCCCCATGGTTCCAATTATCTCTCACTGGTCCCTCCCACAACATGTGGGAATTATGGGAGTACAATTCAAGATGAGATTTGGGTGGGGACCCAGAGCCAAACCATATGAGAGCACTATCAAATTCTGTTCTGATCTGAACAGAGCGAGGGGAGTACAGAGAAGTTCTGAATTACTGAGCCTGGGATCAAGCCAGATAAAGGAAAACAACAGTGTTCTCTGGGCAGTGCCTGTCTCCTAGTAGACATTAAACCACCCTCTATACCCTTCAATCAGGCCTTTGGTCAGACTCAAGGAGGAAGGGAGTGTTAAATCAAGTTTAGCCTAAAGCTGCCTCCTGATGTGCTTTAAGTATGGCCTAAAAGTTGCTCTGTACATTGTGAACTATGACTTAAAAGGAGGTGTAAATTGACTGTAACTACTCTTGTGCCAATCACTGAGTTTTGCCCAATTGCAGGTGGCCAGCTGTTAAAACTGTGTTTAAATAAGGCAAACACCAAGCTGTAACCAATCCAGCTGTTTCTGTGTCTCACTTCTGTTTTCTGTACATCACTTTCACTTTTCTGTCCAGAAATCTTCTTCCACCACGTGGCTTTGCTGGAGTCTGTCTGAGCCTACTCTGGCCCGGTGGGCTACCCAATTCGGATTCGTGAATTGTTCTTTGATCAGTTAAACACTGTTAAACTTAATTTAGCTAAGGTTTTTCTTTTCACAGCAGGTAGGAGGAGACTGTGGTCAAGCTATGAGCCTGAAACTCTCCTTAGAGTAGGAGAGTGAGGGGACCACGTAGCAGAAGGGAGGCAGCACTCCAGGGATGTTGCGTTCTCCACACTTGGAGCAGCTGACAGCTGGCAGGCTGCAAAGACGCCTGGCTGGGATGCAGACCTCAGGGGGTTTCCACTCAGGCTAACTGAATCAGGCAGAGAAACAGGCCAGGGGAACAATCTCCACTCCCATGTCTCTGCTGTCTGGTTCCTCCTTGATATTGCATCAGTGACCACTACCACAAGGTGTACTCTTTCCTCCGGAAGCCTTTTGTCACCGTGAATTACCTCCACAGCAGTGCTGAACATTCTAGCTGTTCTATCAATGCTGCTGCTTACCATTATGCGATCATGCAGTCACGCTCAAGAGACTGATTTGTCTGTGGCTCGGTTTTGTCATCTCTAAATTGAAAATAATCAGTATTTTACCTTCTAGGGTTGTTGTGAGGATTAAGTGCATTCATAGATGTAAAGGGCTTAGCACTGTGCTCAGTCAATGTTGGCTATTATTACAGACTAAAGTCTAACTGTTAAGTAGGGCCCACTCTGGTCTCAAGTTACCTTTCCAACCTCATCTCTCCTTTCCATATCACTCGTCGTTCCCACTGGGCTAAACTCCTTGCTATTCCACGAGAATTTTTTTTTTAACCTCCCTGACCATTGGCGCTGTCATTGACTAGCTAGTAACTTCTCTGAGCCTCTGTTAAATTGGGATAACAATGTCTATCCCAAAGGGTTGTCGTGAGTATTACATTTCAGGTTGTACAGGGGACAAGACCACTGTTCCAGGCAGAAGCTAAGGTTGGGTTGCTTCTGATAAATGGAGCATAATTGATGCTTCTCCCTTCAGTTCTGTCACTTAGGAGCAGTGTAGATTTGATCAAACAATGTTAACTTCTTTTTTTTTTCATTTGAAAAATCCACCTAGTAACACCCCCACTTCATAGAGCTGCAGTAATATTTAAGAGAAAGATTGTGTGGTGAAAAAGTCTTTCTCAATGAATGCTCATAAAATGGGAGCTAGTTGTGAGTAAGCACAAACTTTGCTGCTGTCCAGTCCTGAGGCCTGCAGAGATGCAGGCTTTATAGGCTCAGAGCTGAGTCTCTCTTGCTGCCTTAACCATCACATGCTTATTTTCCTCATTGGAAATTCAGATGAGGACAGAAAGGTGTGGTGGAAAGTCGTCCAGGCCAGGAACCCAAAGACCTAGATTCCAGTTCCTTTACTGGCTTCCTTGTGCTCCTGGGCAAATATATATGATCTATGTGGGTCTCTGTTTGTTTTTAATTTTTAAAATGAGCTAATGTTTGGGAGCTACATCTGATTCAGGAGTGGTATCCTGAACTAGCCTGGATGTGTTCTCAGAGACTTATCATTCTGAGGGGCTCATTGATTCCACCTTCAGGTGGAGCTTTCCTGGTCCATAGCTCTTGAGTCTCTGAACCAGGGTTTAGTAGGTTTCTGCTTCTTACAATCAGGAGTTCAGGCTGGAACAACCTGGCCTTATGTCGTCAGGGTCTGGAGCTTTGATGGTTTGGCTCAAAGTCCTGCCTGCATAATTGCTCTGAGAAATTAATTACAATTACATGTGCTGTCATTGGAAGGTGGTGTCACTGCCTGATCACTTCGACACTTTTTTATGGGTGTGGCCTCTGCTTGGTGTGAAAGGCATCATTCCCTCAATAATAACCCAGTATTATCTTGGGGGAAGGTCTCTCTACAAATGAGTTTCTGCAGATTCTTGTCCAGAATGGGAGAGTTGTAGACTTGGCTACATGAGGATACTACATCTGACCAGACGGAAGAAAGGGTCTGGGTTTGCTAGATGGCCCTCTGGAGACTTTGATGGTGATGAGCCAAGCAATTGGAAGCAATAGGCAGAGATACGCCATCACTATTCAGATAAGCAGTTGGAAAGATCTGAAACAGCTTTAGTCTAGAAATGAACCTGGGAATTTTAGGACTGAGACCCTCTTAGAGGCTGGCAGATGGCATCTTAGGAGTATGACAATGTGGTTTTTTGAGGAAGCAGAGCTATCTTGCACAGTTTGGGGAACACTCTTTTTCATCCCGAGATCAATAGGTGTACCAATGGGAGATCCAAAATAGTTTTCTTTCTTTCTTTTGGGCCATTTTTCTTCCCAGGCATACTGGACTCATTATATAAGACTATCTCCAAGGTGTTGAGCCTTCTGCAGCCCCCAGGGAACCAACTCAGAGATGCATGCTGCTTACCGAGAAATAATTTAATTGGCAAAGGAAACTCTATTTTATTGAGGGCCTTCCTCATGGAGCCCATGGCACTGTGTGTACCTGCTTATGTTCATGATTACATATGAACAGTGGCTTTGCCTGTGCCTATGAGCTGGGCATTAGCTACTTATTTTTATGAAGAATCGGAGCATCTGGATAATCACTAAGCCCCTAGGGTGTCTCGGAGCCGATGAACTCACCTGGAAAATGTTGGCAAAATCTCTGAGGTTGAAGATGTAGTGGAATTTGATTCCTGTGGGTAGGAAGGTGGTAGCAATTTTCTGGTGGAAGGCGAGGGCCAGATCGATCAGTGGGGGGATGGATTTCTGCAGGGACGCCGGGAAGTTTCCGAGCTTCAGATGCTGAGTGAGGATGATGCTGTAGATAGAGGACAGGGCATCTGCCCCCGGGAAGGAGAGGACAAACACGCTGAAGTGACGCTGTACAGGAAACAAAGGCATGAGCTCAACATCCGTTACCACGGAGTAGAAATCACCGCTTCTGAATTTGGAGATAACAGAAAATTCTTATACAGCCTTCGAATCTATATTTTGGTCCCATCTCTCACACTATGCCCAAATTTAGGTTGAACCTAAAATGACTAGGGGAATAACAGGCAAAGCACCTTCAGTTAAAGATGGCAGCCTGGGGCAGTAGGAAGAGAACTAAACTTGGACTCAGAGAATCTGAGTCCAAATCTGAATTTGATACTGAGAATCCATATGGCCCTGGGAAAGTCATTCATCTCTCTGAAGCGCCCTCATCTGAAGAAAGAGGGATCAAATCAGATGAAATCTATGACCCCTTCCAATCTTGAGACTCTAAGTCTAGGAGTTTCTCTTTTCCCCTAGAGATGCAATTTGGCATTCTATCTGATTTACCATTCTGAGAGGCTGCATGGGGAAAAAGGCCAATTATTATACTTATAATCAAGGGGCATCAGCTCTAGTAAGATAGGATTAGGACCCAGGTCCCATGGCTCCTCCTGTACCTGAAGCCGGGGGTTGATGGTGAAGCTGCCTGCCGTGGGGTTCATACAGGAAACATACTGTACATTTGTGATCTCCTTTAGGGACAGCTTGCTCCGATCATACCTGGAACAGTCAGAAGCTCTAGGTGAAAGGTGTCTGAGGACTGAGGCAGGTGAGTGCTTTGTCAAGGTGCGGTAGGATGTGCCCTACTGTTCATGTGTTTGGGTGATAAAAAAGTCTAGATCCACCGGCAGGGATTGAGAAGAGATAAGAGCATAAGACAGATTCCCAAGGTACCTCCATATCTAAGGAAATAGCATAGGAAGACGAGCCAGCAGGATGGACAAAAAGATAGGAGAAAAATCAGGGGTTCGTGCCATACCAAAAGGCAAAGGAAGCCAGTGTTCTCAAAAGAAGAGAGTGGTCAACCACATCAAGGGCTGCAGAGAGAATAACAAAGGTAGTGACTTCAGCAGGGGTGTCTAAGGGAGAGAATGCAGTCATGGGTTCTTAGCTTCCATCTCTGGTTGGGCCAGTAATGCCCCTTCCTCATCCCTCTTTTCCACTTATCACTAGAGACAGAAACTAAAAACCATGGTTTCAGGCTGCTAAAAGCCTAAAACAAAACAAACCAGAACAACAACAACAACAAAATAAGGCAGCTGGACAAGCTTGCAAAGGATTTCTTGGATTTTGTAATAATGATGCAGATAGTAGTTTAGTAAGAACAGTGGAGGGAACAGAAATCAAATAATAGTGGATTGAGGAGTGAGTGGGAGATAAGAGAGTGGGGACAGAACAGTAATTATAAAGTAATTTTTTAACCCAATAGAATAAATTTATGCAAGTTTATTTTTAATTTATTCTTTTTTTGAGACGGAGTCTTGCTCGGTCACCCAGGCTGGAGTGCAATGGCAGATCTCGGCTCACTGCAACCTCTACCTTCTGGGTTCAAGCCATTCTCCTGCCTCAGCCTCCTAAGTAGCTGGGACTACAGGCATGGGCCCCCACATCCAGCTAATTTTTATATTTTTAGTAGAGACAGGGTTTCACCATGTTGGCCAGGCTGATCTCAAACTCCTGGGCTCAAGTGATTCGCCCACCTTGGCCTCCCAAAGTGCTGGGATTACAGGCATAAGCCACTGCACCCAGCCTGTTTATGCAAGTTTAAATGATGTGAAGCAGCTAATGAGGAGATGGGGACCGATCGATGAGTGGGAGACGGTAGAATGAAGAGGCTGGTGGAAGGTTTGGCCTTAGGTAAGATGTAACAGGAGGGTGGAGGAGAGATGCATGGGGACACGGGTGAGTTGTATAGATGTGGAAGCAAGAAATGGAGGCGGCATCTGTGTTCTCTGAGAAGGCAAGGTCATCAGCTGAGGTGTGGTGGGAAGATCAAAGAGAGGGAAGATGGAATGAAATAGACATTTCTGAGAGTGGACATACTAAGGCCATATGGTAGAATTTCCAGGAAGCTTCTACTTCCCATTTAAGGTTTGTGACCATGAATCTAAAGTAAAACTAGTTAGCTTGACTCTAATGATTGTCCATGAAATTAAGCTGCTCAGATGTCAGTGTGGAGATTGCAAACAGTTCCATAGTTCAAGCATCCAATAAAGATTTTGGGAAGGAAGAGAAGGCAACTCAAGTTGCCATCTTAACTAACATTCTTCTCTCTGAATTCTCTCTTCTCACTCTTTCTCAGCAGCAGATTCAGTATGCGGTAGAAAGGTGAGTCAAAGTTGTCTCAAATCAGTGACTTGCTTTTTTTTTTTTTCCTAGTAAGTTCAGACTTTTGCCATTAAAAATTATGCTGTCGCAAGAGATACTATCCAGCCCTCTGAGCTGCTCTGAAGGCACTGAGGCTGGAAGGTCTGCAGACACGGTGCATGGTACCGGGTGTTTGGTAGTTTTTTTTTTGTTTGTTTTTTTTTTTTAAGATGGAGTCTCGCTCTGTTGCCCAGGCTGGAGTGCAGTGGTATGATCTCAGCTCACTGCAATCTCCGCCTACCAGGTTCAAGCTATTCTCCTGCCTCAGCCTCCCGAGTAGCTGGGACTACAGGCGCCTGCCATCACGCCTGGCTAATTTTTGTATTTTCAGTACAGACGGGGTTTCACCATGTTGGCCAGGCTGGTCTCGAACTCCTGACCTTGTGATCCACCCGCCTTAGCCTCCCAAAGTGCTGGGATTACAGGCATGAGCCACTGCACCTGGCGTGTGTTAGGTGTTATCATTGAAGCACATGCCCAGTGCTGTGGGGCCATGGTGCAGGGGAAGTGGTTAATTCTGCTTCGGGCATGTGAAAAAGGCAACTTCGGAGATGAGTCTTGAAGCAAAAAGTAGGTTTTTTTTCCTTAGATGAGAGCTCAGTGTCTTCTCTGGCTAAATGTTTCATGTGAATATTAGTGCTCCTGTTTGAAGGAACCACTCTGGGAAATAGAGAATTGAATGAGAAATGTGGTTTACCACAAAGATTCCCATCTGGCACCAGAGCTATGCTGAGGTTTGCCGTTCAGGCAGAATAGAGACTGGCCTTCAGCCCTGCCTTAGGCTCTGCTCCCTTGGGCCAGTCCCTCTACATGGGCGCTCTTACCAGTGGCCATAGTCCAGATGCTGCCGGATGATGGTGTGGGGCTGCACCGTCCCGTAGGCATCCACCTCAGGCATGTTCATGTCATCAATGAAATAGATGAGTTTCTTGTTCCCTGGAGGGCCATAGTTTCTGCCAGCCTTCTTTTCCAGAGGCTTCTCCAGGACAGCTGGGGAGAGAGCCAGTCGGTGAGGGAAGGCGGCTCAAATCTCAGATGCCAGTACTGAGACAGCAAAGATTTCAAGGAGAAGCAATGGTGCTGCCTTCATGTGTGCAAAAAACAGCAACGCGAAAGACAACAATAATAACAGCTACTGCTGCTCCCAACAGGCATTCTACAGGACCAGAAAGTGAAACTGAAATTACTAGGCAGTAATGGGGACTGAACACCTCACCACGTGCACTGTGCTAAGTTTTTAGACATCTTAATTACCTCATTTAATCCTTATAACATAACTGTGAGATTAGTATTATCCCATTTTACAGATGAGGAAACCAAGGCTCAAAAGAACTCAGCAACTTTACTGGCTGGATACAAACCACAGTGGTTAAAACTCAAAGACCATGCTTCTTCTGTCATACTTGTGGTCCCCAGTTTTCTTTGTTTACATACTAAAAATGGAAAATATCTTTACAGTCCCAAGGCCAGGTACTCTACTCCAAGGAAGCTTATGAATAGTTGAATCCTGGGTAGAGTTGCCCTCTCTACCAAAGGCAGCAAAAATGCATAAAGGCTGCCGCTCCCCTTCCAGGGCTGGGTAGATGCCCTTTCCTCTCCGAGGCTGTAAGAGAGGCCTCAATGGATGTTTTGCCAACAGTGTTCCCAGAGAGTTCATCTCGTGGGATTTTCCTTGGTGGGATGTAGAAAAAACAGCCTCAGAGAATTTCCCAGATGCTTCCAGTGTCATGAACGGTGCCCTCCCCAGCTCTCAGGTTTCCTGGCTCTCTATCTGAGCACCTTGGTGCCTTTCTGGAGACAGAGTGCAGAAACTCTTTTCTGGAGTGGTTTCTTCAATTATCAAGCCAAAGGAAGGATCTAACAGCAGTTTTCCAGCATGACAGGACTTGTTTAGAACAAACTTAAGTAATAGGGTGGAGATATCTGTACTTTTTCCAGTAAAGCAATGAAATATTTATGAATTGCAAGAACCAACACTTCCTGTTACAGCTGGAAGCTCTGAGAACCATCTGATTTCTTCTCTTGAAAAACAAGTTTGTAAACAAGGAGAAAGTGTCAATAGACATATGAAGGTGACAGATAGACAAGTTCCTTCAAGAAGCTCGAATATTCTAATTTTCTGGTCCTGAGTTAAATTAAGTGTTTCAAATATGAATTAAATTTAAATTTAATTAGCATCCAATTAACATACACTATCAACCAATTAATCACACAACACCTTCTTCCCCCCTAAAGATATAACAACTATATGTGAGATCTGTCAAAATGAAATATAATTCATGGGTTGACAAGGACATGCTTTTGAGAACAGTTCTTCTAATAGGAAATTCTCTCCTTAGAAAGACTTGTTTCTCCTCCTCCCAAGGCAATGATATTCAAATCAACCCCTGGAATTAAGCAGACCCTGTAATTTGGGTTGATTAAGCTCTTTATGCTTTAAAAGGATCGTTGAGGAGAAAACCATGTCAGTTAGCAAGAAGTGGCCATGGAGCGCACGGGATTATCTCAGGCAGATGATCCTAAATTCTCCAGAGAAAGAAAGGGTCCACCAGGAAAGACAGGCACATTGTTGATCCCTTCTTGGCCATGCTGTGCTCCATGTCACACCTAGGATGGAATTACAGTGAGCTACTCTGTTTCCAAGTAGAATTGGAGGAGAAGAAGAGGGTTTGAGTTTCAGGAAAAGTGTTGATGTTGAAGGAGCTGAACGAATGAGACATGTAAAGAAATGTGACCCTCTCGCCACACTTCTGGGTTCTGACTGTTCTCAACAAGCCTGGAAACTCAAGCCCACACCTGGAGCCCAGGCCCAAGGTCGTCTGTACATTCTGGCTGAATTTCTCCTCAAGACCCGTATGGAACAGGTTGGGGTTCAGTCTTTGGCCACACAGACCCGTGTCAGCTGCTGCACCAGGGTGAATGGCCATTCTCTGGATACTATTGCACTGCCATCTTATACTTGAAGGGCAATTTAATTTTCTTCTTTTTTTTTGAGATGGAGTTTCACTCTTGTTGCCCAGGCTGGAGTGCCGTGGTGCAACCTCGGCTTACTGCAACCTCTGCCTCCTGGGTTCAAGCAATTCTCCTGCCTCAGCCTCCCAAGTAGCTGGGATTACAGGCATACACCACCACACCTGGCTAATTTTGTGTTTTTAGTAGAGATGGGGTTTCTCCATGTTGCTTAGGCTGGTCTCGAATTCCTGACCTCAGGTGATCTGCCCACCTCAGCCTCCCAAAGTGCTGGGATTACAGGCACGAGCCACTGTGCCCGGCCTGCAATTTAATTTTCAAAGTGGCTTCCCATTTGTTATCTCTTTTCGCCGTCTCCACTGCTGCCTTCCTTGTCCATCTGCTCTCACCTGGTAACTACACATCTTCCCAAATGGTAAGATGTGTAGCTTTTGCCCTAGACTCCCTACACCATATTCTCAAAACGGCAGACAAGAATACCCTTGTAAAATGTAAATTGGATCACGCCCATCCCCTGTTTTATGCCCTCCAGTGGCATCCTGTCTCACTTGGAGCAAAAGCCAGTTTGTTGACTTCCACTAAACTTGCATCTTTGTTTTTCTCTCCTGTTCTCCTCCTCAAGCTCTGCTCCAGGCACCCCGTTTCTCTTTTTTTTCTTCCCTTTTCTTTTTTTTTTTTTTTTTTTTTTTTTTTTTTTTTGAGATGGAGTCTCACTCTGTCGCCCAGGCTGGAATGCAGTGGCACTGTTTTGGCTGGCTCACTGCAACCTCCGTCTCCTGGGTTCAAGCAATTCTCCTGCCTTAGCCTCCCGAGTAGTTGTTTCTGATCATGAGTCACTCGCTGACCCATGGCTTTGCTCTGGCTGTACCCTCTGCCTCGAATCCTCTTCTTCCAAATGCCAGCACAGTTTGCTCCCTCATACCCCAGCAGGTGTTTATTTACCCAGGTGCTATTTTTCCAGTAAGGTCTTCCCTGGTACGCGCCCTAAAGTTCAAAGCCCCACCTGCTATCCTCTGCCCCAGCTTCATGTCTCTTTACATCACTTGTTACCTCCTAATATATCTTTACTTATTATCTTGTGTATTACCCCATCCATCCCCTTCAATTTCATTATACTATATTTGAACTTTCCACAATTCCAAGTAGAATGTCTTCCTCACTAGATGATAAATCTTTGATGATTTCACTATGATTTGTGTCATTAAGTGAAAGGTATTAGGTGGGAGAGAGCTGTCTTTCTGTAATAATTGTAAGCACAATGCCCTTTGAGATTGGACATTTGATTAGATCTTTTAAGGTTCTGTCCAACCTTGCGGTTTATAATAAACAGGTTACAGAGATTCATTTTACATAAAGTTTCAGACATCTGAGTTCCTATATAATTAGTGTAATTAAGCACTCAAATATTTGTTGAGCTAATAATGCAAATGGCAAGAGAATTCAGAACTGTGATGAGCTTGATCTTTGGCCTTCTCTCTGTACACTAAAACTATAAGCCCATTGATGCCTTAACCAAGCTCTTTGTTCCTACTTTTCTAAACTATCCTGCTTCTAAACCATTCTGTCTTGTGGGTCTTTATGAATTCTTTTGTTTTAAAAATTATTTATATTTTCAAAAAGAACAAGAAGAGACTTAAAGTCTTTAAAGAGACATAAAACAGACCAATTACAATAAAGACTAAATAGGGATTGCTAAACAATACAGAATGAGAAGAAACTTAATTACACTAGTAATGTAGGATGACATAGTTACTGTAAACACGTAAAAATTGATCTCAAATTTTCCTTTATGAACTGCTTGCCTGAAAGCTCAGAACTAAATCTGTGTTTAATTACAATAACCATGTCATCTCACTCAAGTTACTGGTACAGAGCCATCTCTTCTTTCCTCTAAAAATTTTGCAGGCACCAAATTCTAGGAGGCATATATCACAGATATTTATAAAACAGATATCAGGCTACAGAATGGTCTTCAACTGAGATTTTACAGAAGGCATAAAAAATAACTTAAAATTATCTTTTATTATAGTAACCCTCAACAAAACCCAAGGGCGGACCATTATGTTGTAATTTAATGAAGGGAATGAAAGCAGTACAGCTAGGTTTGTGGAGTTCAGAGAAACTGCTGGAATGGAGAATGAACACAGATCTCTGTCTCTCTCAGCTTGAGGTGTCAGTGTTATGAACCTGTGGTTTGTGCATGACTACCCAGTAGTCAATTGAAGGCTGACTTTTTCAATGACTGATGGAAGGGCCTATTATATTGACTATCACAGAAGAAGATATCCATATGCTCTAGATATCAGATGAGTGGAAGCAGAGTTGGCGTTCTATTATGAAAATTAAGATGTATGACTTAAAGTCTTATCAAAGTAGAAGGTCTTCATAGTTTCATGAAATTAGACAGCTTTGGTGTTAACTCATAGGATGACTTTGAGATAAGTCCTTAACACCTCTAAGCTTCATTTAATTAACTTGTTAAAATGGGGACTATCATCAGATCTGTGCTGGACACCATTTCCAACCTCCTTCTCTTTAGGCAGTCTTCAGCTGGGGTGGTCATGAGGCACAGTTTTGAACATGAAGACATAGGCATAAGTTTATAAAGTTCCTGGAGAGTTATCATGTCAGGACATGGGCTCTATCTCCCCCTACCACTTTTTTTTTTTTTTTTTGAATGCAGATGTGATGGCTGATACAGCAGCCATTCTGCCACCTTGAAGGAGCAGCCAAGAGAACAGCAAATATCTTAACATTGATATCACTGTCATTAACCTGATATTAGCAACTGCCCACCTTCAGAATTCCTGTCTTATAAAAAACAGAATATTTACGCCACTAACGTCAGATTTTCCACTACTTGCGGTCAAAAGCCATACTGAAATAGTTTCATAGGCTGGGGAGGATTAAAGAACTAAGGTGAGGAAAGCCCTTTGTACAAGGGTTGACCAACTGTAAACATTAAAGTGTGTGCTATCCATACTGTAAGTCGGAAGCACAGCCCCCACTGGTATCAAGGAGTTCTGAATCCATGTTTAGAGAAATACAATGGAGACTCCACAACTGGATGTAGTGAAAGAGAGGAGAAATGCAGGTATTATCAGCCAGCTGCCTCCTCTATAAAAGAACATCTGATTGGCCCGGCGCGGTGGCTCACGCCTATAATCCCAGCACTTTGGGAGCCCGAGGCGGGCGGATCACGAGGTCAGGAGATTGAGACCACGGTGAAATCCCGTCTCTACTAAAAATACAAAAAATTAGCCGGGCATGGTGGCGGGTGCCTGTAGTCCCAGCTACTTGGGAGGCTGAGGCAGGAGAATGGCGTGAACCCAGGAGGCGGAGCTTGCAGTGAGCCGAGATCGCGCCACTGCACTCCAGCCTGGGGGACAGAGCAAGACTCTGTCTCAAAAAAAAAAAAAAAAAAAAAAAAAAAGAACATCTGATTTTGAGAAAAATAGCATCTGATGGATTGGCAGGATGAATGAGCTGCAAAAAGTCCCCCTGGAGACCTCTAGGGATTGACCTACTGGGTGGAGTTACTGTCTATTTGAAAGCTGGAATATTTTTTCCCAAAACATTATTTCTGTTTTAGCATAGCTTGTGTTAAACTTATTTTTCAAGCAAAAAAGGTTTGCTTTTGTTGTTTTTTTGTTTTTGGCAGTTGGGGCTTAGAAATTATTGTTCAATGTAGATTCTTAAATTTGAGAAGTATGTTGTTAATATGATTATAATAACAGCTTCCATTTACAAAGCACTTATTGTATGCTGGGAATCATTTTGAGTGTTTTACATACTTTATCTTACTATTCAAGAATGAAAAGAATGAACTGTTGATTCACTCAACAACATGGATAAATCTCAAAATCATGCTGAGTGAAAGAAGCCAGGCAAAAAGAGAGTGCACATTTTGTGACTCCATTACATAAATTTCTAGAAAATGCAAACTAATTTATAGTGATAGAAAGCAGATCAGTTGTTGTCTGAAACAGGGCAGGTGGGGGGCGTTGGGAGGAAGGGATTACAAAGGAACGTGAGGAAACGTTTGGAGGTGACGGTTATGTTCATTATTTCAATTATGATGATTTCATGATGTATAAATATTTTGAAATGTATCAAATTGTACACCTTAAATATGTACAGTTTATTGTATGTCGATTATAACTCAATATAGTTTTTTTTAGAAAAGAAAAAATGTAAAAAGATTATGCTGCCTTTCAGTAGGAGAAAGGATGAGCTGTGATTTATTCACACAATGGAATTCTATGCAGCAGCGAAAATATATGAAATAGATCTGCATGTATTAAGACAATGATTAAAATAGTAATGATATGGGTTGGCTGTGTCCCCACCCTAATCTCATCTTGAATTGTAGCTCCCATAATCCCTACGTGTCCTACCTGGTGGGAGGTAATTGAATCATGAGGACGGGTTTCCTGTGCTGGTCTCATGATAGTGAATAAGTCTCATGAGATTTGATGGCTTTATAAATGGCAGTTCCCCCACACACACGCTCTTGCCTGCCACCATGTGGGATGTGCTTTTGCTCCTCCTTTGCCTTCCACCATGACTGTGAGGCTTCCCCAGTCATATGGAACTGTGAGTCCATTAAACCTCTGTCCTTTATAAATTACCCAGTCTCGGGAATGTCTTTATAGCAGTGTGAGAACAGACTAATGCAAGTAAGTTGCCAAAGAAAGGTATAGTATGGCAAATTTAAAGTTTAAGTATGCAACACTATGTATTTTATGGCTACATATTTGTTTCAAGAGTGTAAACTTGTAATGATACACATTGAGTTTAGTACTCTAGTTAATAAGGGGCAGGAAGGAGAAAGGAGCGACAGGGGTGGTGTATTAGCTGTACTTGTTTTTAATTCTATTTTATTTTATTTTGTGGCAGGGATCTCACTCTGTTGCCCAGGCTGGAGAGCAGTGATGTGATCTTGGCTCACTGCAACCTCAACCTCCCAGGTTTAAGCGATTCTCCTGCCTCAGCCTCCTGAGTAGCTGGGACTACAGGCACGCACCACCACGCCTGGCTAATTTTTTTTTTTGTATTTTTGATAGAGACAGGGTTTCACCATGTTGGCCAGGCTGGTCTCGAACTCCTGACCTCAGGTGATCTGCCCGCCTCAGCCTCCCAAAGTGCTGGGATTACAGGCATGAGCCTCCACGCCCCACTTATTAGCTGCACTCATAAGGCTAAGTTCCATTTAGCATAATGCTAACACTTTAGCATCTGTTAAATCTGGATAGTGCTACACTGGCATCTGTTATATTGTTTTCTGTACTTTTGTACATGTTTGAAATATTTTATAATTAAACATAAAAGGTTTAAATAATTCTCTATTCCACCCTCAGCACCCAGTCAGTTTCCCTTGCCAGGGACAACTGCTGTCTGTGTTTCTTTTGTGTCCTTCTGGAGATTGTCTAAGTTTTTATATAAGCATAAATTATGTGTATGTGTATATATTATATATATTTTAAAAAATCATATAAGTGAGTAAATTTTTATATATTTCTTTTTAAACAAGATACAGTTTGGAGCATGCTATATATACTGTTCTATATCTTCCTTTTCTCACTCAACAAAATTTTGGAAATAGTTCCAACTCAGTGCCTACAGAATTTTCTCATTCTTTCCAACATTGCTTAGTATTCTATCATACAGACAATTAGGCTGTTTCTCCCCTTTTACCATTACAGACACATTATAAACATAAATTTGCACATCTGTCTGGGTGTTCTAACTGTCCTTTCAAGCAGACTATGCCACCTCACATCCAACTTTTTCTTAAATACACAGGGTCTCAAGTGCAAATAACGATTAAGACACTGGGCTGCAAAATGAGTTAACGGGTTCATGAAGGAGGTGCAACAGTTTGCCTCTTCATTGAATGATACTAGAGCAGCTGTCTTTTGAGTTTACACATCTCTCTTACATTCAGCTGATTCTCCAAATTCCTGTTTGATACCTGGTTTCTAGCTGTCACTTTTTAAATCGTTGGTAACACCCTTTCTTCTGCCATTTTGTTGCTCTTAAAATGTCTTGGGCTAAGAAGCCCAAATAATCAAGATTGTTTGCACTGTGAACAAGGCAAGAGGAAGGAAGTTCCCATAAGGGAATACAGCATTTTTCAGAGTTAAGGATCTGAGCTTTATTGCATGAATGTTGTAACATATATGCTGCTACTCTGGGCTTCGGCTGACTCCCCAATTCCTGGTTGCCTCTGGACAGGAGAGGTTATGGAACAGTAGCTTTCTCCATCCCTTAGTGTGCTAGGAGGGTTGGCTTCAAGATCTAACGTTACCAAGAGGCCATTAGGGAATTAACAAGAAACAGAAAGTGTTGGGTTTTGGTGAATGCTCAGCTACAGTGAGAGCCAGTTTTCATCTCGGCCCTATTTAATAGCATTTTGAGATTTTTTTGTAGTCACTACTGGGGAGGCTGAGGCAGGAGAATCGCTTGAACCTAGGAGGCAGAGGATACAATGAACCAAGATTACACCACTGCACTCCAGCCTGGGTGAGAGAGCGAGACTCTGTCTCAAGAAAGAAAAAAAGAAATTCTCTGTGTTCTAACAGGAGGGAAGGAGAAAGCCCTCTAGGTGAGAGATCCAGAGTGAGAATGACAGGTCAGGGCAGTGTGAGAAACTCATCTTCTCTTCCTTGCTTCCAAATGTTTACCCTCTATTTAAAGGATATTTTAAAAATATTATAAAACCACTTTAATAGAATTAAATCACTTTTTCTGTTTAATTTTATTAGATTATTAATTTTAATAATTTTAGAATAAATTATTATTCTATTTAGTAAAATTAAATAGAAAATCATTTAAATAGAAAATCAATTAAATACAAAAACATTCCTCTGGAATACTTGAATAGTACTCCTAATGATAATAGTAATAATGTTGAATATTTATTGCAGCTTTCAAAGTATTTTCTTAGCAGGGAAGCAGTATAGCCTAGTGGTTAAGAGCACAGGCTCTGAAGTCAGACTCTCTGGGGTCAAACCTTGGCTCCCCAACTTACTGTGTGTCATAAGGTAGCTTGTTTAACTTCTCTGTGCCTTAGTTTTCTCATGTATAAAATGAAGGTAATACAAATTCTTATTCACAGGGCTGTACAAGATTTAAGAAGTAAAAAAAGAGAAAAGTGTAAAAGTCTAAGTCAGATTCACACTCCTGATAAGTCTTTGATAAATGTCAGTTGTTGTTGTTGCTATTATTATTATTATTAGTAGTAGTAGTGTAGTTGTAACAGTAGTAAGAATTGAGGTAAATGGGCAGAGCTGGTAATCTGATCAGTTGTTGGACTCAAGGCTTGAAAATAAGGGTACATATTTGAACAAGAAAGAGGAATTCTATGAGGCAGACAGCGAACTGCTAAGATTTAAATTAGCCAGACAGGTGAAGTCGGCTTAAGGCCACTGCCAGGTGCTGATGTGATGACTTCGGCCTTGATGGAAGGTTAAGATATGATAGTATTGAGGCTTCATGGAGTAAGGACTAAGCCAGTGGTTTATTGGAGCTGATTATTGAAACCAAGGGAATTGTGCAAGCTGGTTGTTAAACATGACCATTATTAAAAAATAAATTAGGCTGGCTGCAGTGGCTCACACCTGTAATCCCAGCACTTTGGGAGGCCGAGGCAGGTGGATCACCTGAGGTCAGGAGTTCGAGACCAGCCTGGCCAACATGGTGAAACCCTGTCTCCACTAAAAATCCAAAAATTAGCTGGGTGTCTTGGCAGGTGCCTGTAATCCCAGCTACTTGGGAGGCTGAGACAAGAGAATTGCTTGAACCCGGGAGGCAGAGGTTGCAGTGAGCCAAGCCTCATGCCACTGCACTCCAGCCTGGGTGACAAAGAGTGAAACTCCATCTCAAAAATAAATAAATAAATAGGTATAGATAAACTTAAAATTAAGTAAATTATATTGAAAATCATGGTAATAAATATTCAAAACTCATCACATTTTATGACATTTACTATCATGTGTATACTGGAGGTTATTTTCATCCATTGTATCTGTGAAGTGGAAATGTTTATAATGGTGTGCTACTGTGTATCTCTTCCTGACTCCTTGTTCACTGACATTGCATTGGTAGCTTACAATTGGCCACGGTGGGAGTATTTACACCATGGAAATTGGCAAACACCACAAACCAGGGTTTGATTTGTTTTGTAGACTTGTGAAAATATAAGGAAAATGTTAATAATACAGATTATACTTAAAAGTATGTCATGCTTGTTGCTGTGACATTGTGAAGAGCACAAAAAATGGAAGAACGATTCCTTCAGTACTTGAATAGAAGATGTTTACATCTTTGACAAACTAGTAAAGTTCTGATGTAAATCTTTGTTGCTTCATTTTGTCTTACTTGTTAATTTTCATGTCTGAACTACAGTCAGTTGCTGGATTGGGATTGGCTCAGCAGTGGATGAAGTCTAGAGGTGAGTTTGAAATAGGTGAAGAAGTCTCTGCCATCGAAGGGCGGGTGGGGGGAAGCCGGAATCTCTGTCCACATGCTCCAGGCACCTAGCTGCTCTGAGGGGCAGAGAGCAGAGGTGGTGCTCCCCCCCATCAGCATTTTGAGTTGGCTAGACCCTAATCCTACAAGAGCTGGCAAAACTTTGCAGAAAGAATTCCCCCAGGGGCACTGGGGAAAGCAGAGTGTCAGCAGAGGCAACATCGCGGGCTGACTCTGGTTTACACCAGGCAGGGATGGCAGAAAGACTGGGTAAAATGGTCATGGCAGAGCAAGTGGTGGTGCACACGAAGCCTGCTTTGCAAGTCTGCTGGCCTAAGGCCTGGGTGATGTAGCGGATAACGAGAGTGCCAGGTTCACTTTTCACATTATAAGCTATGGCTCCTAACTTATCCAGCTGCAAACAGCTCATATCTAGGTGTGGGGAGGCACTGCAGTGTCACCTGGGAAAGCTCAGACCAAGTAACAGAGTGGGACAAGGCTGTCGGTGTTTGGGAAGTAAGAACAGGGTTTCTCCCCAGCCCTGCCTCTCCCCTCATTTTGTTGGAAGAATGGCTTGGAAGCTTCTCCAAAACAAAGCTGTTTTAGTTAATGTGTTGTTTCCATAAAAAAGGAGACTGTGTCGTAAATGAGTTAAGGGGAGAGAGACTCTGGCAAGGGTAAAACATCACCGGTGGCCCATGTCTATTTGGGAGCTCTGTGTGTAAACACCGGGGAAAAGCAAGCCCCAGGTGGAGTCAGACCAGATGTGTCATGCCTGCCTCACCACTTGGTGGTGACTTTGGGCAATCACATCCTTTTACCTGAGCCTCAGTTTCCCCACCCATAACATATGAGAGATGAATTAAATGATCTCTAGAGATACTTTCAGTGCCGGAAGTCTGCAAGTTCTTGCAAATCTCTCCATGGCTTGTAGCTCTCTTTGTCATCAAGGTGCTGAACTGCTCTGTGTTGAACACCTTGCTCTTGAGGAATTTAACAGACCAGGGAGGAATGTAGAAAGAAAGACCAGAAGCAGTGCTAAGGGGTGCTGGAGGAGCCAGAAAGAGGTGTGTAGGGAGAGGTGAGAAGGGGCGTGTGGGAGGAAGTGCGCAGTGCTGGGGTATGCAGAACTCAAGTCAGGCAGGCACCTGACGCTTGGCTTCAGCTCTGTGTCAGGTGACACGGCCACCCAGATGCCCCCCACCCCAGGTGCCCTGGGCTGCTTACCCTGCAGCATTGCTGACGTGGTGTAGTAGTTGAATGGCACGTTTTTCACCAGGTATGCCTCGGGGTCAAGGCTGGCCAGCTTAGCTCCCACCAGCACCGACTTGCCAGTGCCAGCCGTGCCCACCAGCATGACAGGCCGCTGCCGCGCCATCAACCGCTCCATGAAGTAGCACACACGGATGGTCTCACTCGTGTGCACCAAACACGCCTGGAATGGGAGCACAATAAGCCTGCCAAGGGTGGGCTCTAGGGAGAAACAGATGCACCAGCGGCGTTCCGAAGCATTTCAGAACAGGGGATTCCGTCACGATGGAGCTCCCCAAATAAGCACCGGTCAGGAGTATCTTCCCTGATGTTCACAGTGGGACCATTCTACAGACTCACTCTCTGGGCTCCCCGCAGTTAGGCAGAGAGCTTCCCCGCTCTCCTCTACCACCCGGGCCTCTTTCTCTGTGGCCTCTCTAATGCATTTTAAAATCTTCTGCCCCTGCCATTTCCTCCTCTCTTGAGGAAATGTCCTGGCCTTTAGTAGAATCTGTGACTTCATTACACCCATCATCTCCTCTGCAAAGTCATGGAGCTGGGGATGACTAGTTCCTAGCAAGGACAAATGCTCAGATAGCCATGCGGGGCTGCTACTGGAGCCACTGCAGATCCTTGAGGGCAACTGCACGCACGTCCTCGGCTGCTCAGCTGCACTCACCTGCAAGGGCATCTCGGGGTCAAATTCGAACTGGGGGACGAGCTTGGACCAAGGCTCGAATTTCTTGGTCTCTGGGTCGATGTAATAGTCAAAGATGGTTCCTTGGGAAGGAAACTTGACTGTTTTGAACTCAGTCAGCCACCATTTGCTGAACTCTGCCCGGTAGTCCACAAGCTGCAAAAACAAAGACAGTCAGGGGACAAGGTCCTCCAGAACTCAAGAAGCCCACACAGGAGGCCACGGCGTCAGATAGAAGGTCAGGGCAGGACAACGTGCTCCTCCCTGTGTGGGCCTGCCGGCTAGACCAGCTCCTCCAGGAAGGCAGCGCTGCCCCAAGGGTCAACCCTGACCAAGCCGGACTACGCAGGGGCCACGCACAGGCATCCTTGCTTGACCATGCGGCTGAGCCAGCCTGGTCCTGCCATGTCTTACAGCCACTGAAGGGTGGAGATGGTTGAGGGAGGGAGGTGGAAGAACACGGGGGAGAATCAAGAACTCCTGAAGAGGTAGATTGGCCCCATTCTTCGGTGCCTGAGATTCTCTGCAGTTCCCAGGATGGCAGCCTAAGGTTGGAATGGAATGGTGACTCTTGACACCTGGGGCACAGAGCGCTGCAGTGAGAAGAGCCTCAGAAGGGGTTTGGGTATCAGCTAGGTAACCACAGGCAAATCCTTCTTTCTATGCCTCAATCTCCTCGTCTGCAAAATGAGGTTTCTGGAAAGATTTCCAAGGTTCTTGCAAGAGCTAAAATCCTAGAATCTAGGAGCAGTGGGGGAGACAGAGCTGTACTGGTTTTTCTGACAGAAGGAATAGGTAGAAGCATATAATTTGCATGCATACCTATTAGATAATGGGCCCCTTACGCATGGGGCTGTATACCCAGTGTACTCAAACCATCTTATTGTGTCCAAACACACACACACACACTCAGACCCAAAACATACCCATTACTACTGGCAACTCTTTGGGAGGGCAAACCCATTCTTTAAACACACTGAACTAAGAAAAATCCTAAAGGAAAAAAAAAGTCCCATATTGGTCATTTTAGGAAATATTCATGGAGGGCAGGACAATGACAGTTTAAAGGCTGAAGAGACCAGGGAGCTGGGCACATGGTAACAACTATGAAACCCGAAAAAAGGGCACTCCTCATTTTGCTGTTAAATAAATAGGATTGAATTCTTTTGCTTTAAAATGAGAGTGGAAATGGGTGGTAAGATAAGAAAAGATTTGTTTGATGTTCTCATTCTGATTTGAATTTAGATCAAGGGGACGTTATAACTTCCCAATATTGTTCTCTGGAACCAGAAGCCTAGAGGAAACCCCCATTCTTAACTCCTAGATAATACGCTTCAAGACCTTCAACTTTCTACGAAAACCAGATTTTAGGTTTCTATGGAAACTCTGAGATGAAGGCCACCTCTAGAAGGAAGGAAGGGTGGGTCTTGTTTCCTCAGCCCCGATGCTGCCTTGAGATGCCTGGCAATTTCCCAGCTAAGCCCTTGGCTGGGCCACACCGACATTGTCTCACCTTCCTGTAAGCTGGTGCTTGACCGCACCTTGTACTATAATTGGACACTGTAAAGTCAAGGTGACCTCTGCTGGGCCAGTCCAGTGGTCCTTTCTTTTTCCTTTTCTTTCTTTTTTTTTTTTTTTTTGAGACAGAGTCTTGCTCTGTTGCCCAGGCTGGAGGGCAGTGGCGCGATCTCAGCTCACGGCAACCTCTGCCTCCCGGGTCCAAGCTGTTCTCTGCCTCAGCCTCCCGAGTAGCTGGGATTACAGGCACCCGCCACCATGCCCAAGCCCGGCTAATTTTTTGTATTTTTAGTAGAGATGGGGTTTCACCATATTGTCCAGGCTGGTCTTGAACTACGGACCTCATGATCCACCCGCCTTGGCCTCCCAAAGTGCTGGGATTACAGGCGTGAGCCACCGCACCCAGCCCAATGATCCTTTCTTAATTCCACTCCATGGTATCTCTTCAGCATGGTCCCTTCTGAAGTCCCCATGTCCCCTGGGCTCTCACAGTTCACTGTTTTCTCTCTGCCCTTTAACCTGGAGGACATGAGGACTTTACTGGCATACTGTGGTAGAGCTGGGAACCCAGTGTTACTTCGCTTCATTTTCACAATGCTATAGGTTATCCTGGTTACTTAAAATCACTCCCATTTTATAAAGTGGGGGTTTTATGAAACGACAGAATTGGGAGTTGAACCCAGGTTGTCAGTCTCACAATCTGGTGTTTTCTCTACCTTACGTTTCCGAGAGATTGTTCTCTCTAAGGGCTGCAAGGTATTCAGCCAGGACTTTTTTTTTTTTTTAAATGGGAACTTCTACTCAGGTATAGCCTCCATTTTGTATTTCTGCTTTGCTTTTATGACAGTTTTTTTCAATGTAAGCACCATTGCTGTTCCTGATGTGAATATTTTGACCAAACTCCTACCTTCCTATTGACAGCACTATTTTTGGTGTTTAGCTTTTAATGCAGGCAGTGTAGGGGTCTGGGATGTGCCCTGCTGCTAAAAGCTTTCTCCCTTGTCCTCTTCCCAGGTTGCTGGCAGGGCTGTCAATTGCTTCAAGTGCTCCAGTGCGCAGGACGCCTGGAGGGATGCTTTCTCCGGGGCTTTTAAAAGGCTTGAGGGGATTTAAATTTTTATACCCAGAGTTAGAAAAATTGATCACATATTTTCATCCTGATACTCCACTGCCTGCGCACCACCAATATGAGAGAGTAGCTCAGCAGTCGCTGTCTGACGTTTTCCCAGCCCACAGGTCAGAGACTGCATTTGACGGGGAGCAATTAAACCTATGCATTCGGGATCTCTGTGCAGTTCAGCCAGGTCTCATCCATCCTGCTGAAATCTTTGCCTCCTTGCCTCAAAGGGGAAATGTAAAGCTGTCAAAGGAGTAGTCCACAGAGAAGCTCCAAAGACTACAGAACAGACAGCAGAAAATTCTCAGATGTCAAACTCCTGGCTCATGTATCCTCCTGTCCTTGGAGACTTCCCTTTCTGCCTCCAGGGCATCTGTCTCTGGGGAGGGCAGTAGAGAAAGGTGCACTTCCTGAGAGCCTGCGAGAGCTGCTTTCTGAATTTTGAGCACCAAAGAACACATCAGGGAGTGATGGTTGGTAGGACGGATGTTAACAGCCAGGGCCCTTGAAAATGAAAAAGAAGTTAATTGCAAATTCTTTTTTGTCCAAGTTCACTTTCATTTTGGATTTCTAGAACATGGTTTTGCCTTGGGAGGCTGAAACTTTCTACCTTCCTTTGAAAGAGGCTCACAATCAATCCAGACTGAGAAGAGTAAATGATAACTTTCCAACAATTACAGCTTGGTCTGATCCCCTGTTGCAAGAGAGACACCAGATACGTGCTACAGAACTGAATATTTTTACTAGAAGAATAGTAATAATAAGCACCCATGGGTTGTGCTAAGTACCTTGCATGTATTCATGCTGAGTGATTAGAACATTATGCATTCACTTAGTCCTCGCCACCCTCCTAGGAGCTGGGTACCCCTATGATCATTCTTTGTGCACATGGGGAGAGTAAGGTAGAGAGAGGTTAAGTTACTTTCCTAACGTTCCCCAGATAATAGTGGCAGAGCTACAATTCAAATCCACAGTTCATGTTCTTTTTTGCTTTTATTTTTGCTTTTCTCAGCTATTTTTTAAAATCACTTTATTGTGGTATGACTGATATACAAAAAGCTGCACATATTTAATGCATATGATGTGATGAGTTTGGAAAAAAGTATACACTTGTGAAACCATCGCCACAATCTATGCATAAACCTACATATCACCTTCAAAGTTCCCTTCCATGCTCTTATTTATCGTTGTTATTGTTATTGTTGTTTTGTGCTAAGAACATTTGATGTAAGATTTATCTTCCCTCTTCGCAATTTTTTTTTTTAAGAAAAAGGAAATCTTTCCATTTGCAACAACGTGATGAACCTGGAGACTGTTATGCTAGGTGAAATAAGCCAGGCACAGAAGAACAAATCTGACATGATATCACTTACATGATACAGCTAAAATAGTCAATTCACAGAAGCAGAGAGAGGAATTGAGGTTGCCAGTGGCTGGGGGAGGGAGCAATGGAAGGTATAGGTCAAAGGGTACAAAATTTTGGTTATAAAAATGATTAAGTTCAAGATGAATAAATCTTCTGTACAGGAAAGTTCCTATAGTAACAATACTGTATTGTATACTTAAAATTTGCTAACAGAGTCCATGTTCTTAACTGTCATACAATAATGCCTAATAGCTAGAGTCAGTTATAGGAGACTGGTTTGCATAATATTGAATATTTTTCTTTCTAGATAAAATATCTTTTATTTGGAGAAAAATAAGTAAAGAAAAATGCTGGGAATACAAGAAGGGTTGGGGGACAGGATGCAAGGATATTCCAAGCCACATATCCCTTCTTCCAATCAACATGAGACTATAGCAGTCAACACTATAAGATAAATTCCACTTTGGTTTTCCAATCCTAGATGCTAATTAGACTTTGGTCCAGCCTTCTCTGGACAGCTTTGAGTTTCGCGCGTATGGAGATATGATAGTTAACTCTGGCCTGGTAGGGAGTGGTACATCCTTGTTCTAGAGGTTTTTAAGAAAACTGAAGGGTTTCCTTCCACTCAAGCTTCCACGGCACAGCCTCCTTCCACCCCTCTCTCCACAAACACACCACCTGGCAAAGTAGTGCATATATACCAGCAGTTGTTCAAACTCAAACACTGTATAAGTTCCCAAGAAATCAAAGATATGTTCAGTAGCTCAAAAAGGAAAAGCTCCGAACACACCACGACCTCATGTATCTCACCCTATGAGGTCTGGCTAGGACAACTGATGTCTTTAGCAGAGTAATAGGTAGATGACTAAATAGTTTGCTGCTTTCAAGTCCATTCTGACATTTAGCTGTCCTGTCTTCCAAATCTTTGCTAAAGGATCAGTTTTTGCTGCTACAGACTTCAGTGTGGTTGTTGAGCTCAACATATCTCCTTACCTGATCTTGGACCATTGCTCCGCCGAAAGCCCAGATGGCAGCAAACACAAAATAATGCTCATAAATTTCCTTAGGGCAGTCTGCAGGGATGTCCTCCGTGGTCAGGAGACATTCCAGAAGGTGACACACCATCTGAACCATGCTCTGCTCTGGGATGGGAATGATCTTCTTAAACCTGCAAAGAGAGACCCGAGGGGATCTGAAACACAGAGGATATTCCATTCTGGTGGTGCTGTTGGACAGCTATGGAACCACTCAGTTTCAGTGGACTCATGGTCCGTCAAGTTCTTTGGGATTACAGACAACCAGAGCGCCACTTAAGCCTTTATTCTCATCAGCTGTTCTCGCGCCAGCTTCCTTTGTAAGGAAGTAAGGGCCCAGAGCTCTCCTGAGGACTTTCTCATCTCCTTTCCTCTGACACCCTCCCCCTCCCACTTCTTCTTCCCTCTTCTCTTTCTGTTGATGATCCCCTCTCAGTACCTGGGGAACACAGGTGGCTGCAACAAGTAACTTTTTCGCTCATTTCACACTTTCTGCAATTGTCAAAAAGCACCTCAACGGTAATCCCAGCACTTTGGGAGGCTGAGGAGGGAGGATCACGAGGTCAGGAGATCGAGACCATTCTGGCTAACATGGTGAAACCCCGTCTCTACTAAAAATACAAAAAATTAGCCGGGCACGGTGGCGGGCACCTGTACTCCCAGCTACTTGGGAGGCTGAGGCAGAAGAATGGCGTGAACCCGGGAGGCGGAGCTTGCAGTGAGCTGAGATCGGGCCACTGCATTCCAGCCTGGGTTACAGAGTGAGACTCCATCTCAAAAAAAAAAAAAAAAAAAAAAAAAAACAAAAAAAAAAACGCACCTAAAGAGGCAATTTTGGTGCATTTCTGAGGCTTGCCCTTCTACCTCTTCACCTCAGAGGTTTCCTTCCATTGAAAACACCAAAAACACTTTTTCTGGGGCCAGGATCTTATCTGGGAAGTAGAGTGGACCAGGACAGATGGTTATTTTATACAATCATGATGAACTGAATGGAGTTCTTCAACTGAAAATACACCTCTGTAACTCTGCCCTGGCCTGGTGTTTGCACTTTTAATCTTGGCTTTAGAGGCCTTAATTGAAAGGCAGATATCAAGAGATGCACAAAAGACATCCTATGCCTCATGCAGCAGGAGCATGCACAAGCTCACACACACATACTTTTCTTCCCATAGGTATCCTCATCACACCACATGTATATGCAGAGCACACCACGTACCCACACACTCAGCCCACATTGCCACCTCCCACAGGATGAAGTGTTCATAGGCAGCATGGAGGCAGAGTCCGTTTTCATAACAAATACAGCACTGTCAATGGACACCTTAACAGTCATTTCCCAGCACTGAACCTGAGAGCTGCACAGCACGCCATTCACTTTTTAGCATTTGTGCTGGTTTTGAATCTAATTGCAATTCTTACAACAAATGCTATGACAGTTTTAGAGTCTAGTAATCTAGGTATTACTTCCATGAGTGACGAGAAGACTGACTCCTTGATGGGTGTTCCCTCATTTGTTTGATGTGTATTTGTAACAGACGGATATAACACAACTCTCTTGGGCTCAGTGCTGGATATGCCACCAAGAGGATAGGTGCCAACTGCCCTTCCATTCCAAACAGAGATTCTAGACAACTTAGGTGGGACTCGCAGAGGGTTTTGCAACCCTGGCTTCTCACCCTCTCAAGAGTACAGAGGACAAAGTGGAAAGGCTGGAAGGCCTGGAAATTAGCAATCAGAGTACTAGAGAGAGCTCTGGGTAGGCAATGAGTGTCCCCTCCTGCACAGGGAAGGTAGCTGCTTTCCCCTAATAGCCAGGGAAAGGGGCTTCAATAGGGTTACTCCGAGTTGGTGAAGGACTCTTGCCTGGAAAACCCCCGAGACTTGCTGATCTCCCAGTGGAGAGTGGGGAGGTAACTTGCAGGGGCAGCCTGTGCTCCAGTTTGTCAAAGCAGAGAAGGGGCAAGCATCTCCTGGAATCCAGGTGTGGGCTGTGTGCAGCAGGGGTTGTCTGAGTGCTTGGCTAAGGGATAAGGTGAGGCAGATGGGGTTTGTGTGGGAGCGGGACCTGACCAGCTAGAGAAGCAGTTTCTTTCTTCCAGAATAACAGATGAAAGATTTCCAGTGATGGGGAGGAGCCAAGGAGCTCCCAAAAACTATCAAAGAGAAGTCGGATTTCCCCTCTTCTCTCCACCCCGCTTTTACAGCGATGGGTCAGAAGTCATAGCCAGGGAGCTGGTCACTGGCAGATAAAGGAGAGAAGTCAAAAACACGCCTCTTTCCCATTGCAGTCCTGAGCTGAGGCAGGTGGGGCAGAAGCCTCCATTATGAATGGAGTTTGTTTCTTTATATTTTCACTGGACTAACACACATGTGTATGTATGACTGTGTGACTAGAAGTGATCAGATGCCTTTTTATTACAGAAAAGTCATAGACCTTGACCTAGATCTCATGCAGGGTCAGGAGAAGAACTAGTCACATACAATGGTTTTAAAGGAACAGTAGGAAATAAAATAAAGCTGCTTTATAATTGCCCCTTATGGGCCTGCTTATTCAATAAAAAATTATTATCTGTTGACATGACACGGCTTCGTAGTGACAGGGCCACATGAAGCTGGCATTACAACACTGTGACTGTATAAAATAGAAGGAAGGCTTTAAAGCAAGTGCCTGTTACTAACTGGCTATGATGCCAGGGGAGCATCGCGGAGCTGCAGCTCCCCCATCCGCAGGGTGGCTGTGAGAGTGAAAAGACATCCGCCGGGCGCGGCGGCTCACGCCTGTAATCCCAGCACTTTGGGAGGCCGAGGAGGGCAGATCACGAGGTCAAGAGATTGAGACCATCCTGGCAAACATGGTGAAACTCCGTTTCTACCAAAAATATAAAAATTAGCTGGGTGTGGTGGCATGCACCTGTAGTCCCAGATACTCGGGAGGCTGAGGCAGGAGAATCTCTTGAACCTGGGAGGCAGAGGTTGCAGTGAGCCAAGATCGCGCCACTGCACTCCAGCCTGGGCGACAGAGCAAGACTCCGTCTCAAAAAAAAAATAAAAATAAAAAAAACTAACAACAAAAGACATTACACCCAGAGTGAGCACCCATAATTGAGAGTTCGGGGGAGAGTTGCCTCTGGATAGACTTAATACAGTCAGAATATTCAAAGCTGTTTCAAAGGCTTGTGCATGCACCGGCACACATGCACAAACAAAGACACATGAGCTTGCCATCTCTTGTTCTAAATGCCCAGAGTGAGAAATAGCAGACTTTTAGTTAAAGGATATATGGGACAAGTGTCTCAGGAAAATCCTAAAGAACGGGGATGCAAAGGAAAAGAAATTATTTTATCAAAAAGATACCTGCACTCTTATGTTTATTGCAGCACTATTCACAATAGCGAAGTCATGGAATCAACCTGAGTTTCCATCAATGGATGATTGAATTTAAAAGGTGGTGTAGGCGGGCACAGTGGCTTATACCTATAATTTCAGCACTTTGGGATACTGAGGCAGGCGGATCACCTGAGGTCAGGAGTTTGAGACCAGCCTGGTCAACATGGCAAAACCCTGTCTCTACTAAAAATACAAAAATTAGGCTGGGTGCGGTGGCTCACGCCTGTAATCCCAGCACTTTGGGAGGCCGAGGCGGCCACATCACAAGGTCAAGAGATCAAGATCATCCTGGCCAACATGGTGAAACCCCATCTCTACTAAAAATACAAAATATTAGCTGGGCATGGTGGCACGTGCCTGTAGTCCCAGCTACTTGGCAGGCTGAGGCAGGAGAATAGCTTGAACCCAGGAGGCAGAGGTTGCAGTGAGCTGAGATCACGCCATTGCACTCCAGCCTGGTCTACAGAGCGAGACTCTGACCAAAAAAAAAAAAAAAATTAGGTGGGCATGGTAATGCACACTTGTAATCCCAGCTACTCAGAAGGCTGAGGCAGGAGAATCACTTGAACCCAGGAGGTGGAGGTTGCAGTGAGCCAAGATCGCACCACTGCACTCCAGCCTGGGTGACAGAGCGAGACAACGACTCAAAAAAAAAAAAAAAAAAAAAAAGTGGTGTGTATATATACCTATGTATATCACATGGAATACTACTTAGTCATAAAAAAGAATGAAATCATGTCTTTTGCAGCAACATGCATGGAACTGGAGTCCATTATCCTTAGCAAAATGACCGCAAAATGGATAGTCAAAAACTGCATGTTCTCACTTATAAGTGGGAGCTAAACAGTAGGTATATATGGAAATATAGAGTGAAATAATAAACACCAGAGACTCCAAAAGGTGGGAGGGTGGCAGGGGGTTGAGGGTTGAAATACCCCCATTGGATACAATGTATGCTATTCAGGTGGTGGCTACACTAAAGGGCCAGACTTCACCACTATGCCATATATCCCTGTAACACAACTGCACTTCCATCCCTAAATCTATACAAATAAAACTTTAAAAAACATTTTAAAACTCAAAAAAAGAAAAAAAAAAAAGAACAGGGATAGACTATTTTCCTAAAACCTTACCCTTCTCTGGTTTTCTAACTCTTGGCTGCCCTAGTCCATCTGTGATATTAACTACTGTTTTCCACTTCCAGACTTTTTTAGCTACACGGGCTGCTTTAGCCCATTACATCCCAAGGCCACAGAGCCCATGGGTCACCCACGGACTGAAAGCCTTTCAAAGGCTTATACAAATGTTGAGTTGGAATAATAATTATTGACCCTGAAATAGAAAAACTATGAAATCAAAAGTAATGTTTCATTAAACAACGAAAATAGACCACAATGTCACCTACTTGACTGCAACTCAATTTTTAGGTATACAAAATTCACTTTGAACGTGAGTGGATTTTTCAGGGTGTGGGGCGGGGCATATGGAATGAGAGCACCTGGAGCCCTGTTGCAGTATCGTTTCCTGCAGTCTGAAGTGCTCCCTTCCCCTTGGCCTCCATGCTTGCAAACCATTGGAGGCACAATCATATCCCATGCTTGACAAGCCAAGGAAGAAAGAGGCAGGGATCAACTTCAATGATGGACTTTAGTTTCCGGGAAACATAATCCTGACCCTAAATTGTGGCATCTTCATGGGGCTCTGAGTCACATTGCCTTCACAGCACCAGCCTCAGGGGCCCATTCTTGCCTCCACTACAGGGATGGGTGTCAGATTCACAGAATGATGCATCAAATGGCAACAACAACCATAAAAAGAGTGTAAAACAAAAGCAGGTTCCAAACATGGGCAGCTCCCTGTGCTGACACAGATAGTATTCTTGCTGTAGTAAGTATCCTCTTGGTCAAGAGTGATTAACCTCTTGCTTAGTGATAAGTGGTCAGGGCTTGTTGCTCTTACTTTTACAAACCTATAAGAGGAAAAGTAAACTCACCATATCCAGCAGGGCAGGACTGTCAGATGGTACATTATACCCACATTATCTGGGCCGTGAACACACACAGCCAGGGACGGGGAGTGGGCCCCACAGGTCACCAATAAGTGCCATTTTCACCCCTAGGTCTGTTGATCTGGCCTATGGATTACTTATTACAAATGCAGAGCTGCTTGCCCTGTACACAGAAGGATCTGAGTGTCTGGATTGTAATCTGATACTACAACCCGCAGCCTCCTTCACATACATCCACGTGGCACTCACGAAAGGGACTTTCAATCTTCCTCCCCTTCACTCACCTCACTTCATGCCTGAGCTGACAACAGGCATCCCATGGCCATCCTAATGTGTGTCCCCTTTGCCATCTGCCATGCCTGGAGGAGATCGCTCTGGGAACATCTGACTTTGGGACAGGACAGAACATCAGCAGGACACTAGGTGTGAACCCATGGGCTTTTTATTGCTGCTTTAACTCTCTATCTTCCTTGTTTCTTGGCCTACCTGGTTCTGAGTGTGTCTAGGCAGGTTGGAAGATACTTGTCGAACAAAATGGTTAAGTTGGCTCTCTCTGTCTGGATTTCCCTCTTCTCAATCCAGCTGCTCACTGGAGGGTTCCATCCCAAGTCTGCCGGGTTGATGTACAAGATCCCTGTGAGCACAGAGAATACAGTTTAGTGAATATTCCATATACATCATTATATTTTTCACCCCAGGGAGTTATTTTCTCTGTTTGGAAAATGTACAGAAGACTGGACTGAAAAGAAAAGGAGATTTGGCCAAGATGTGAGCGGGTAAATGGGTTTGCTATTGAGGACCAACTCCAGCGGACTGATGATAGATGGATGGGGAGCAGCTTTGAGAATCCTAGAGAGATTCTCAAAAGCTAGGAGAATGCCCAACCCAGCCTCCTAAAGTGCTGGGATGATAGGTGTGAGCCACAGAGCCCGGCCCAACAATTTTTTTAAGTGCACACTACAGTATGGCTAACTATAGGCACTGTGTTGTACAGCAGGTCTCTAGAACTTACTCATCCTGCAGAAGTGAAATTTTGTACCCATTGACCAACATCTGCCCCTGCCCCCCAACCCTCACCTTTGGCAACTGACATTCTACTCCCTGCTTCTTTAAGTTTGATTTTGCCACACAATTAAAAAAAAAATCTTCCAGTCTCTGTTAATAAATTTGTTCAGTGGAGACAGATGAAACTTAAGGGATAGAGTTGCAATTTTGCACCAGGAGTTAGTGATAAACAGTGATATTTGGTCATCTCCATTGACGTGGAGGCTAGAACTGGCCTAAAAGTAGCCTAAGTTAGACACTTCTGTGCAGAGGATAGTTGTGCAGCTCAAAAGCCATTTCCCTTCTTATTACCACAACATTTCCAAATTCACAAAACTGCACGTGAGGCTTCTGGCTCCCATGTGGAGATTCCTTCTGAGCCAGCAAAACTACGTGTGAAGCCAGAGGTACCTCCCTAAGTGGAGTAGCTTTGTGGTTCTTCCCTTCTTGGGCCGTACCTGCTCTAGAGACAGTTGCTGGAGTGGCTGTGCGCAGGTGGCTGATCTCAAAGAGGAGCTTCATGGTGGGGTTCAGAGGAATCCTCTCATTGCTGGCCAATGTCAGCACCTGGAGACAACAGGGAAGGGCATGCCAGTGAGGAAGGAGGGAGGTGCCTTGCCAGCCTGTGGGGATTTGGCTGATTATTATTGGTTTGGTTGGGATTATGGAGAATTATTTCCTTTATATGGTTTGGCTGTGTCCCCACCCAAATCTCATCTTGAATTGTAGCTCCCATAATTCCCATGTGTTGTGGGAGGGACCCAGTGGGAGACAATTGAATCATGGGAGTGGTTTCCCCCATACAGTTCTCATGGTTGTGAGTGAGTCTCACAAGATCTGATTTTTTTTTTTTTTTTTTTGACAGAGTCTCGCTCTGTCACCCAGGCTGGAGTGCAGTGGCACAATCTTGGCTCACTGCAAGCTCTGCCTCCAGGGTTCATGCCATTCTCCTGCCCCAGCCTCCCAAGTAGTTGAAACTACAGGTGCCTGCCACCATGTCCAGCTAATTTTTTGTATTTTTTGTAGAGACGGGGTTTCGCTGTGTTAGCCAGGGATGGTCTTGATCTCCTGACCTCGTGATCCGCCCACCTCAGCTTCCCAAAGTGCTCACAGGCTTGAACCACCACGCCAGGTCGATCTGATGGTTTTATAAGGGGAAATCCCTTTCACTTGGCTCTCATTCTCTCTGTCTGCTGCCATGTAAGACGCGCCTTTCACCTTCTGCCATGATTGTGAGGCTTCCTCATTTACGTGGAACTGTCAGTTCATTAAACCTCTTTTTCTTTATAAATTACCCAGTCTCTGGTATGTCTTTATCAGCAGTGTGAAAACGAACTAATATATTCCTTCTTTGTGATGAATAGTATTTTCTAAATTTTCTACAATAATCCTCTTTCTTCCTATGCACTCTCCACCACCACCCCTGTGTGTGTGTGTGTGTGTGTGTATGTGTGTTGAGTCAGAAAAAAAAAGTTATTTAAACAGTTTAAGTTGATGTTGGTGATTTGAATGAACTAGACTATATTGGAACAATGGAACTCTTAAAGGAAAAGAACTTACATTTCATATTAATACTGTTCCTTTTATAGTAGTACCTCATGAAAGATCCCTACAAAAAGAATTACAAAACCCTGCTTAAATAAATCAGAGATTACACGAACAAATGGAAAAATATCCCGTGTTCATGGATAGGAAGAATCAAACTCATTAAATGACCATACTGCCCAAAACACTGTATGGATTCAATGCCATTCCTACTAAATTACCAATGACATTCTTCACAGAACTAGAAAAAACTATTTTAAAATTCATATGGAACCAAAAAAGAGCCAGAATAGCTAAGGCAATCATAAGCAAAAAAAACAAAGCTGGAGGCATCATGTTACCTGACTTCAAACTATACTGCAGGGCTACAGTAACCAAAACAGCATGGTACTGGTACAAAAACAGACACATAGATCAATGGAACAGAATAGAGAGCCCAGAAATAAGGCCACACACCTATGACCATCTGATCTTCAACAAAGCTGACAAAAACAAGCATTTGGGGAAGCCTATTTAACACATGGTGCTGGGATAACTGGCTAGCCATATGTGGAAGACTGAAACTGGCGCCCTTCTTTACATGATATACAAAGATTAACTCAAGAGGATTAAAAACTTAAATGTAAAATCCAAAACTATAAAAGCCCTGGAAGACAACCTAGGCAATACCATCTTGGCCATAAGAATGCGCAAAGATTTAATGACAAAGATGCCAAAAGCCATTGCAACAAATGCAAAATTGACAAATGGGATCTAATTAAACTAAAGAGCTTCTGACAGCAAAAGAAATGATCAATAGAGTGAACAGACAACCTAAAGAATGGGAAAAATATTTGCAAACTATGCATCTGACAAAGGTCTAATATCCAGCATCTATAAGGAACTTAAGCAAATTTATGAGAAAAAAACAAACAATACCATTAAAAAGTGGACAAAGAACATGAACAGACACTTTTCTAAAGATGACAATTTTTGTGGCCAAAAAGCATATGAAAAAAACTCAACATCACTGATTATTAGAGAAATGCAAATCAAAACCACAATGAGATTCCATCTCACACCAGTCAGAATTGCTATTATTAAAATGTCAATAAAAGAACAGAGGCTGGTGAGGTTGTGGAGAAAAGGGAACACATTTATACACTGTTGGTGGGAGTGTAAATTAGTTTATCCATTGTGGAAAGCGGTATGGTGCCTCCACAAAAGCTAAAAACAGAAATACTGTTTGACCCAGGAATTTCATTACTGGACATATATCCAGAGGAATATAAATCATTCTACTATAAAGACATATGAACGCAAATGTTTATTGCCACACTCTTCACAATGGCAAAGACATGGAACCAACCTAAATGCCCATCAATGACAGACTGGATAAAGAAAATGTGGTACATACACACCATGGAATACTATGCAGCCATAAAAATAATGAGATCATGTTTTGTTTTTTTTTTTTGGGAACATGAATGGAGCTGGAGGCCATTACCTTAGCAAACTAATGTAGGAACAGAAGACCAAATGCTACATGTTCTCATTTGTAAGTGGGAGCTAAATGATGAGAACTCGTGAACACAAAGAAGGGAACAACAGACAGGACACTGGAGCCCCCTTGAGGGTACAAGGTAGGAGGAGGGAGAGGTGCAGAAAATGTAACTATTGGTACTGAACTTAGTACCTGGGTGATGAAATAATGTGTACAACAAACCCCTGTGACATGAGTTTGCCTACGTAACAAACCTGCACAGGTACCCTCAAACCTAAAATAAAAGTGGAAAAAACAATCAAGTACTCTCTCCAGGAGAGCATACTTTTATTCTAACAATCCTGTAAACGTTAAAGGCATTTTAAAACTTGTAATCTGGACATGCTCTCTAAACAAGCTTACAAACAGCTACCAGCTTAACAGCCACCAGCTAGTTTTTGGAGATGGAGTTTCGCTCTTGTTGCCCAGGCTGGAGTGCAATGGCGCGATCTCGGCTCACTGCAACCTCTGCCTCCGGGTTCAAGCAATTCTCCTGCCTCAGCCTCCTGAATAGCTGGGATTACAGGCGCTTGCCACAACGCCTAGCTAATTTTTTGTATTTTTCATAGAGATGGGGGTTTCACCATGTTGGCCAGGCTGGTCTTGAACTCCTGACCTCAGGTGATCTGCCCGCCTTGGCCTCCCAGGGTGCTGGGACTACAGAGGTTTCATTGTTTATAAAAAATAAAATAGCCTCTCAATGGAACAATATTTGACACCATGAAAGATGTTTGACAGGCTTGGAATGTTTCTGATCTTCAATATCCTTATTCTAGAAGAGCATAAAAAGAAAAAGTAAAAAGATGTGAATGAATGACTTAAGACTGCTTTGAACTCTAAATACTAAAGAGTCTATGTGCAGAACATTCTGATGCAAATTATAATAATGCCAAAACTGGTGTGAGCCATGGCAGTACCATTGATGTAAGCAAAAGTTGCTGCTGGGAATTTATCAGTGCAGAGATGTGTGGTGAAGATGCTGATGATAGTTCCTTACTCTGAGCCAGCCATCATGTGGAATCTAGATTTGCAAGTATGCCTGCCACACTGGGTGACTGGTTTCACAGGTGATTAGAAATGATCTAGGGATATCCCCCAATTTCATACCTTGTTATCATCCATGACAGTATTCAGGGATTCAATCCACATTGGATCTATGTCGCCATCCAGTAAAATCCACTTGGGCCCATCATGGGTGATGTTGGCAAGCTCCCGCATGATGGAAGAGAACAATCCTAAAAGGAACCACTGACACCTTATTTTCCATTTCTTCATTAATCCTCTTTCACTTAAACACAGCTTTCCCCCTTTAGCTACAACACACAGAAGGGGGCGTACATGGAACATGCAAAGGCAGATCAGACCTGGTTTTATTTTTATTTTATTTTACTTTATTTTTTTTTAGATGGAGGCTTGCTCTGTTGCCAGGCTGGAGTGCAGTGGTGTGATCTCAGCTCACTGCAACCTCTGCCTCCTGGGTTCAAGCGATTGTCCTGCCTCAGCCTCCTGAGTAGCTGGGACTAGAGATGCGTGCCACCATGCCCAGCTAATTTTTTTGTATTTTTAGTAGAGACGCGGTTTCACCATGCTGGCCAGGATGCAGATCTGGTTTTATATCTTGCTTTGCAAAAACCTGGCAGTGCCCAAGGTGCATTCTCCCTGTGCTTTAGTCTAACTTTTCATAACATTAACAAGAACAAGAACAACTCCTGATAGTACAAGCTTTTTAAGTGACAAAGTGGATCATTACAGCAAGTAACTATGACATGATGAAACTACATTAAACTTTTTAAGGTAGAGTTTTCATGCTTTGTAATTGCAGTCTTGGCGAATCTTGCCAAACACAAGCTTTGGAAAGCGGCCCATCTGATTCTAATTGTCATTACCTGAAATTTATATATTAATTTGGGCAGAATTGATTTTTATGATATTAAACTTCCCTAGTTAATAGTATGGTACGTCTGTTCATTTATTCACATATGGCTTTATGTCCCTAATACATTTTTACAGATTTTAAAATATATGTGTTTGGTTAAATGTGTTCCTAAATATCTCATGATTTTTATTGCTACTGTGAAAAGAATTTTCTCCTCCTGCACTTCTATTTTTAATTGACTCTTGCCAGTATTGAGAAAAGTTACCAAATTTTGTGTATTTATTTTATGTTCAGTTGCCTTTAATGAACTTTCTTATTAATTCTAGTAATTTTTCAGTAATGTCTAATACATTTTCTAGGTATAAAGTTGCATAATAAACAACACAATAATTTCTCTCCTTTCCTCTAATTTTTTTTTCTTTCCTCCAATTTATACCATCTATTTCATTTTCTTGTCCTATTACATTTTCTAGAACCCCAGTAAGCAATAATGTTGACAATAGGCATCCCTAACTTGTTCCTTATTTTTCATGGAAATTTACTGTATCATTATTCAGAATGACTTTGTTTTCATTTCAGCTTTAGGTACAGAGCATTTATTATATTTTAGGGGTTTCCTTCTATTCCTACTTTACTTAGAATTTTCTATTAGGAATGAATTGCATTTTAAGTATCTATTTAGTGATCAAATGATTTTCCCCTTTAGTTTGTTAATGTTTTATGTTAATACTGTTAAAAACAATTGCTCTATCCCTACATTCCTGGAATAGCTTTTACTTGGTCAAAGGGTATTATTTTTGAGATACTGTTTGATTCTCCTTACTGATATTTTATTTAGAATATTTGTGTCTATATTAATGAGTAACATTGGGTTTTTTTGGCTCCACATAAAAGTTGATATTAATATTATTCTTGCTCTGTAAGATAATTTCAGAGTTATCTTTTCATGATTTTGAAATTATCTGTTTTTTGCTCTACTCTTTTTTAACTTTTTCTTTTCACTAGTTTACTCAATTTTTCTACTTCTTAATGAAGAAATTTTATTAATTTATATTTTGCTAGGGGTTGATTTATTTCTTTTAGTTTTTCAAGTATGTGTCATCAATTAAATATTTTCTTCTACTTTACTCTTGTCTGTTAATTCCAAATTATATGTATATTTACTCTTTTTTCCCATTAATCACTCTCACAATAGACTTATCTTATTGGTCTTTACAGCGAACCAATATTTACATTTATTTATCTTTTATATAATCTGTTTGTGTTCCTCCTAGTGACTAATTTCAGCTTTTATCTTTATCAGTTCCTTTTCCGTCATTTTCTTTGTGTTTAGTTTGAACAATTTCTTATGATGAATATTAACTTCCTTTACTTCCAGCCTACCTTTTATAATAAAGTGAGTTTAAAAAGTTTTCCCTTAGAGGTTTTAGATGGAGCCCATAGGTGTTCTTGTATGAAGTATTTTTTTTATTGCATCCTAGAGAGGTTTGCAATTAAATTTCCTTTTTGATACAGGAATTAAGAGAGCATTTCTTGATTTGCAAGTAGTAAAATCATTTTTGGTGACTTTCTTGCTATTTGTTTCTAATTCTATTCCATTATTATCAGAGAATGTGACCTGTAAATTGATATTGTTGAATTCATTATAGCTTTCTCTGTAGCCAATTACATTTTTAATTTTTGGAAATGTTACATGAACCAATCAGGAAAGGAATACTTTCTATTTATGGGATAAAAAGTTCTATAACTTTGTTATTATATTGAGTTTGGTGATATAATTGCCAATTCCTTTATGTACTTATTTTTCTGTTTACTGGAATTAATTTTGAAAATAAAAAACAGATAACAAATAAATAAATAAAACTAAAATAACCTGTTGATTTGTATTCTTTTAAAGTTATCCAAAAAATTTTTTTTTTTGGTAGACATGGGGTCTCAACTATGTTGCCTAGGCTGGTCTCAAATTCCTGGCCTCAAATGATCTTCCCATCTTGGCCTCCCAAAGCACTGGGATTATAGGAATGAGCCACTGTGCCTGGCCCCTAAACATATTTTAAAGGCTATGTTCCATTTACTTCGAAGTTACCTTGTTCAGTGAACACAGACTTGTGATTATTATATCTTGTCAATTTTCCCAAATTTAATGTATAAATCTAATAAAATTTTAACTAGAATTCAGACTTAAAAGTTTGAATTATATTATTGAGCTTATATTTAATATGAAAAAAGAAGTGCTTGAGACAAGACAATAAAATTACAAAAGATTACTGAGGAGGGACTTACCTCATTGGATATTAAAATATGTTATAAAATGATTGTAACTGAAATAAAATGACATTAGTATAGGATTAGATAAACAGGTGAGTCAAACAGAATAGAAAGCCCAGAATCAGATCTCAATATACATATGCAATTTAGTAAATGACAAGCTGGTGTTTAAATTCAGAGGGAAAGGATAGTTTACTTAATAAATGGTACGGTTACAATCAATTATCCATCTAGAAGGAAATAAAGTTGATTCTGTACCCTGCCTCATACTAAGCCCCAACATAAATTCCAGATGGATAAAAAATGTTAATGTAAAAAGAATCTTTTTTGACCAAATTTATGATACTAGATCAGCAGCTGAAGAATTATAAACTAATAGAAATCCCAGATGCTAAAAAGACTAGACAGGCATAATTTCCTTTGTTAAAAAGAGCATGGGAGAATAAAGTGTCTATAGACAAAGAATAGGTTGGGGAAGCATTAGCAATGCATGTGACAGATAAGGGGTTAATATCTTTGATATATTAAAAAACTCTTGGCCTGGCATCATGGTGGCTTACACCTGTAATCCCAGAACTTTGGGAGGCTGAGGCGGGAGGATCATGAGGTCAGGAGATTGAGACCATCCTGGCTGACACGGTGAAACCCTGTCTCTACTAAAAATACAAAAAATTAGCTGGGCGTGGTGGCAGGCACCTGTAGTCCCAGCTACTCGGGAGGCTGAGGCAGAAGAATGGCGTGAACCTGGGAGGCAGAGCTTGCAGTCGGCTGAGATTGTGCCACTGCATTCCAGCCTGGGCGACAGAGTGAGTCTCTGTCTCAAAAAAAAAAAAAAAACAAAAAAAAAAACAAAAAAAAACCCTCTTAAAAATTGGTAAGAAAAACAGGAAATAAAATCACAAAAGAGCAAATTACTAAGATCAATAAGAAGGAAAGATGCTAAGTCTCATTAACAGCAAAATAAAAATTAGACTCTGGTTGTTAAATCCTTGTGTTCTAGACCTCAGATGAAAGCTCCTAAATTAGAGAAATCCAGAGAGTTTGACCCGGATGTGGTCAGACATTGAAACATCAGGAAGGAGCTGAGATTTCCTCATTCCAGAAGCTACATAGGTTTTAGAAAGAGGTCCTCCTTATCAGCTCAAGGACCTCTTTTTTTCCCCCTCAACTTTCTTTTCTGCTGTCCTCCAGTGCCAAACGACCCTTTACAATGTCTATTGGTGAAGTTTAGTTCTTTGAAGGTAAGGCTGAGATCAGCACCCAGGGTTGGGGGCCTCTGAATCACTGTAGAAAGGAATATGGCTCTAGGGGCCCTCTTGAGATTGAATGGATAATCATCAGGGGCCTGGCATGCGCACAAGGTTCTGTAGCATGCAGCTTCCCCATCACTGCTGGGGCAACATCAAATAGGGGAGTCGTGCCCTTTATAGGATGCCAGACTGCACCACTTCTTTGGGAATGAGCCGTGGGCTTCCCTACCCAACACATACTTGAAGTCTACTGCCAGGCAGCATTAACACTCTACACCACGGCTCATACTCCAGAGTCAGTGAACTACAGCTGAATGCCTATGTTGCTTTATCTTATTTATTTATTTGAGATGGAGTCTTGCTTTGTCACCCAGACTGGAGTGCAGTGGCACGATCTTGGCTCACTGCAACCTCCACCACCCGGGTTCAAGCAATTCTTCTGCCTCAGTCTCCTGAGCAGCTGGGACTACAGATGTGCACCACCACGCCCAGCTGATTTTTTTTTTTTTTTTTTTTTTTTTTTTTGTATTTTTAGTAGAGACAGGGTTTCACCATATTGGCCAGGCTGGTCTCGAACTCCTGACCTCGTGATCCACCCACCTCCGCTTCCCAAAGTGTTGGGATTACAGGCGTGAGCCACTGTGCCCAGCCAGCTTTATCCTCTTTAAATGCACTCTCTAAAAGGCAGCTGGAAGAGGTCCCCAAGGAGGGAGAATATCTGAAAAACTGAAGTTCCCCTGCAAGCCAAAATTGGTTTCTCCCTTTCTACTGGCTTTTTTGTCTCCCTCCGCGGTTCCAAACAGATCAGTCCAATGTTTGCTTCTGCAATTCACCCAACTGCATCCAAGCCCGCCACAGGGACTCTGAGGCTAGCAGAGACTTTCTCCTGGGAGAATCCCACTCTTACCATCCTTCCATTCTCCTGTGGCTGGATTGATGATGCCAAAGAGCTCATCATTTGTGACTGCTTTGGGATTGAGGTCAGTCCAGACGGGGCGCCGTTTCATGATCTGATAGGTCTTGTGCAAGGACCTCAGCACCTGTGACTTGCCGGTACCAGCGCCACCCACCACAAATACAGAGTGCCGCACAGCCAGGAGCTCCTCCAGCTGGACCACCTGAGGAGGCAGGAAATTCAGCCAGAGGGACCAGCCTGTGACTCACCTGCATCCCAACTGCTCTTCTGTGACCCCAGCTGGTGTCTGAAGTGAGACCTGAAGTCAACAGAGGAAGAGTTATCTACCCCAAGATGTCAGGAGGTCTGAAATATAGGGGCAACATGATTCATTTGTTCCTGTATTCATCATTCAGTTATATAATTATTAGTCACCAACCAAGTGCTACAGAGTGTGCCAGGCGAGGGGGATTCAGATGTGATCCTCCTGCCCTCTGTGATCTTATAGTGTGATGGAGAAGAAAGTCATGTGGACAAATTATTCTAAGGTAAGAGGATAAGTACTATCTTAGAGGTATTTATAAGGTGCTGTGGAAACAGAGAGGAGGGAACAATTGATTTTGTACACATAACTTACAAGTCCCCACAACTTAGAAGTTCAATAAAACACATAAGAACTTTCAGCTTATTACTCTATTCTTGCTTTGAATAAATTCACTTTTCTTAAGGTTCTCTTTTCTGGGAGACTACTGACTTCCAGCTCTAATTTGAATTGATTGCTTTCTAGGCCTGCTAACGGCTGTCATTTCAGGATTTTTTTTCTTGATTCTTGATTTTTTTGAATCTCACAATATTTTTCTTGTTTTTCATTCTTGTTTTGCTGTAGTATGTCCTCAAGTAACTTACTCAAAAAGGGTGCATAAGAAGTAACATTTATGAGTCTGAGAATATCATGGATGATAATTTGGTTGTATAGAATTCTAGTCTTGAAATCATTTCCCTTAAAAACTTTGAAGGACTGCTTTTCTTATTCTCAAATATCCAATTTAGCTGACAAGAGATTCTGAGCTCCTTTTAAATTTCATTCCTTTCCTGGATCACTTGTTGATATGGTTTGGCTTTGTGTCCCTACCCAAATCTCATCTCGAATCCCCATGTGTCGAGGGAGGGATCTGGTGGGAGGTGGTTGGATCATGGGGGCAGTTTCCCCCATGCTGTTCTTGTGATACTGAGTGAGTTCTCACGAGATCTGATGGTTTTATAACCAGCATGGTGCAGGGAGGAGGTGTAGCATGCAGAACAGAGCATGGAGTCTGATCTTACACTTCATTTCAAGCCCTTGCTCCTCCACCTGATTTGTAGCAGATTGTTATTTAATTAGATCTGTGATAAATGTTACAAAGGAAAAATGCACTGTGCAAGGAAGACAAAGGGTGTCTGCAGCTCTTTATTTCCCCTCCACTCTTTCTCTCTCTTTCCTTCTGCCTTGTGAGGAAGGACTTGCTTCTCCTTCACCTTCTGCCATGATTGTAAGTTTCCTGAGGCCTCCCCAGCCATGCAGAACTGTGAGTTAATTAAACCTCTTTCCTGACTACCCAGTCTCAGGTATTAATACACTAGTACTACCTCCTCACTCAACTAGGAGACTTATTCTTTTCTCTTGACTCTTGACCTCTGAAATTGCATTATGATGTGTCACTGCACAGATTCATTTGAAGTCATTCTGTTCAGTACTGTCTTTCCAATGTGGATACATGTCTTTCCAGCTCTAGTTATCTTTCTGTTCTTTTTCTAGAATTCTTACTGGTAACATGTTGGATAACCTAAATTGATCCTCTATACATCATCTCACCTCTCGCACTTTCTGTATCTGTGTGTGTGTGCATGTGTGAATATTTTACCATACACACACACACACAATACATAATACTGCTTATAACTTTATCCTGGGATGTTGCCTTTATCTTCCCATCCTCTCACTGAATTTTGAATGCCATAGATGATACAATTTTACATTTAAAAGAGGTCTTTATAATTCTCCAATAGTGCTTTCTTTGTACAATGGCATCTAATTCTTGTTTGATGGATATCATTTTTTAAAATTTCCTTCAAAGACGCTAATTATAACTTGAAGAATATTCTCTTTGTTATTTTCACTGGCTGTTTTTGTTGTGTGTGTGTGTCTGTGTCTGTCCATCTGTCTTTATCTTGCGTGTTGTCGGGTTTCTTCAATATCTGGTAAGCCTCAAGGTTAAATAAGGAGCTGTGCTGTGTTTTCCAGGAGGCTGGGAGGGGTATTCTCCTCTGCTGGTTTTGGGTGTTCTCTTTTGCTGGTCTCTATCCAGGATAGTAGGATTGAGTGGAGGTTCTGTAGATGTGGCCAGATCTTGGCCTCTGTCTTTGTCCTTTCATTTATGGGTGAGTGAGCAGATAGTTGGCATTCAGGCTGAGGTACACCAAACAGAATGGAAGGGCTGTAAAGTAAGGATCCTCCAACTTTCCCTTGTATTCCCTACCATGCATTCCACATTGTGGGTCCCCAGTTAAGAGTGGTTGAAATGAATTGAGTTATTACTAACTAGATACATATTTGTACATCTAAAACAACCCTTTGGATTATGGATGAAGGATAACCCATTATCCTGGACAATAAGTAAGAGATAGAGAAATCCTGGGAGGAAAAACCACATGTACCTTGAGCACAAAGTTGTCCTCAGCCTGGAGCTTCAGATCCACTATCGCCTTCCTAACCAAAGCTTCGAAGTTGGGGTCTCTCCTCCGGGGGACATCCAGGGCGGGAAAGAGGTCCCCGATCAGGCCCATGAAGATGGGCATGTCATCAGTCACAATCTTGGGGATGTTGAAATCCCGCAAGGAGCGCATCAGGACCTGGTCCTCAGGCCGGTCAGGGTCTCCTCTCTTCAGGGATCCTGCCACCACCAGCACGGACTTGATGGCCCGTAGGCCCCAGTCGTAGTGATCCTGTGGGCAGTGTTAGATCAAAGTGACAGAGAGACAGAACACCATGTGCTGGGGTGAGTGTCTGCAGAATCATAGATATGCTATGAGCATTAGGTCACCTCTGAAGCCTGGACAGAGACGTGGGAAGGGATGACTTAGAAAATGATGATCCCAGAATTTAGTTCCTGGTCTAACACTTGCTACTTTTCCAGTTGTGATGACAGCAGGGCAGACACAGAACATACAAATGATGTGGGGGGTCAAAGAGATCAAACAGAACCATTTTCAAACCTATCTGGCTACTCCTTGCACACTCAGCAGGTAGAATTGGAAGGGCTGTCAAGGAGGGAGCCATGTTAACTCTTAGAGATGGTAGACGCTGAGCTTACATGTGCCACCTTGGAGGCCTTCACATTCTATGGGAAAAGAGGTTTAAAGAAGAGCTCCTTAAAGTGGGTTCTGTCAAATATGAACCCCCTGGTCACAGTGCTGCTAGTAGGGTCTGTGGGAGAGTGGACCACACTGCTGATACTAGGCTTCAGGTGGCAGCATGGTGTGGGAAGGAGCTGTAGTGGGCAGAACAGAGCACGGAGTCTGAACTCAGACAGACTTCTGTTGAAGCCCAAGCTCCTCTACTTGATTTGTAGCAGATTGCTACTTAATTAGAGCCATGACAAATGCTACCAAGGAGGCCAGGTGCGGTGACTCACACCTGTAATCCCAGCAATTTGGGAGGCCGAGGCAGGTGGATCACAAGGTCAGGAGTTCGAGACCAGCCTGGCCAATATGGTGAAACCTCGTCTCTACTGAAAATACAAAAATTAGCTGGGGTTGGTGGTGGGTGCCTGTTATCCCAGCTACTCAGGAGGCTGAGGCAGGAGAATCACTTCAACCTGGGAGGCGGAGGTTGCAGCGAGCCGAGATCACGCCACTGCACTCCACCCTGGGCGACAGAGGGAGACTCCATCTCAAAAAAAAAAAAAATGCAGCCAAGGAAAAATGTGCTATGCAATGATGACAAAGAACACAGTGGCTGTACCCAGGATATGGATCAGACTTCCCTAAGGAAATGGTATTAAAGAAGACCTTGAAGGAGTAGAATTCAGTCAGGCACAGACGAAAAAGAAGTGCAGTCAAGGCAAGTGAGAACAGGATGTCCACAGGCTCAGGTGAGAAGACAATCAATTTCAAGGAACTCAGAAAAGATCAATGGAGATGGAGCATCACACGACAGGGAGAGAGCTGTGAGCCGCTGCTGTTGAGGTAGGAGGAGACAGAACACCCTGCAGTATTTAGCAGAGAGTGATAAGGACATTGGTCTCTATCTTGGGACCAGTGAGGAGCGTTTTTAAATAATCACTCTAGCAAGTGGCTAAAGAACAGATCTGAGGAATTAGAAGAGAGGTGGAAAAACTAGTAGAAAGGCAGTTGCAATAGTTTAAGCAAAAGATATGGGTGCTTGGAACTCAAGTGGTAGCAATGAATAGGGAAAGGAAATGAGACTTGTCTGAGAAATATCCAGAACATAGAATCATTAAGGGTTCATTTAAAATTATATATAGGGCTAAGGAAGAGGAAATGGTCCAGGGTAACTCCCAGGGTCCTAGAGTTAGCAAATGAGTGAATGAGGGGTCAGCATACTGAGGCTGGGAACACAGGAGAAGGAAGCTTGGGCTTAGAGCTGACGGAGATCAGCTTTAGACATGCTGAGCTGGAGGAGCTTTTTAAACACTCGGGGGAGCTGTGGTACAGATCACTGAATGTACAGGTTTAGAGCTCAGAAGAGAGGTTTGGGATAAAGCCGTAAAAGTGGAAGTCAACGTTGGGAAAGAACCTAGAGAGGGGATACAATGAGAAAAGTAGTATGAGGAAAACAGGATTTTCTGCATCTTGGACAGACTCCACATGGCTGAGAGAGCCTGTTTTATGGCAGTAAAGGTGATCAAAACAAGATAATCCCAAAGCTCATTGGGGACAGCCCAGGGAAGCTTGGTCATCTATCCTTGACAAAAAGAAATTCTCCGTTCAAGGCAGAAACCTTGCAGGTAATGTTTTGCTAAGGTGCAATTTTTCTGTGAATTTCCTCCTGCCTTAGGTGGAAGCTACAGGTAACGCCAAGCAACTATGAGAAGCTCAAAGCTGGTTAACACTTAACCTGCTTCCCTAACCCTCCTCATCTATGCCCCTTCAGGTACAGACCATTTCCTCCAGGGGTTTTTATTGGCCACTGTAATGTCTCTCATGGGACGCTGGTGTCTGTGATGTGTTGCTAAGTATTCTATTACAAAATGGAGTTTTGAGGTTAATTTTGAAAAATGCAGAGCTAAAAAAGTGAACATAAATCATTAATATGGAAGTGTTCAGAGGTTTCGACATGCTTATGGGTACAGTGACTTTCTATGAGAAAGCTTGAGTATGTTTTCCTAATACATTTGTTCCAGAACTTTTCCAGAGCTGGGGCTGTTGCACGGTGCTTGGTTGTACAGCCTCCCTAGAGATCCTACCTGTTTGGAGAGAAGCTCTTTGCACAACTGGTAAAGAGTGATGAACTTTCTGGCTAATGACTGGGCTTCAATGAATCCTTCTGCCACCAGCATGATTTCACAGATCAATTCAAAGTCTGGAACCACCATTGCACAAGGCCTGAGTATAGAAAGACAGAAGGCCCAGTCAGTTTCCCAAGTACAGTGTTGAAGAGGAGACTGCAAGAAAATAAGCACTGGCCGAGATCACACATGGAGGCATCTGTGAGTGCAAAAACTCATGGAAAGACCTGAGCCATTATTTCATCTAAGACTTTCAATTTATTCTATGTGCTGCTGCAGTTAGCATGAAGACTTTCAACTTAGAGATGAGTTAGCTAAGGATAAAGGAAATGAAGTCGCCTTCTTAAGGGGCTGGATAATGTTAGCAGGCAGGGGCAGACTTGGAGCTACCACTCAAGTCTTGTGACTTGAGTTCAGTGTGTCTTACACAAGGCATGAATTAGTAAAGCAAATTGCCTAGAATAGATTCAAGGCTTAGAATAAGGAATTGAGTTTCTCTGGGTATCTACAACAAACTGAGAGTTCCCCTATTCTTCATCCTCAAAATGTGTGTCTCCTCTAATCCTAAACACCCAGGGCTTATCCTGTACTTATTTGAACACAAATGTAAATTTCTCTTGATGAGGCCTAAAGTATGTATTAAGTGGGTCCAAAAGTAACTGTGGTTTTTGCCATTACTTTCAAGAAACTGAGAGTTCCCCTATTCTTCATTCTCCAAATGTGTGTCTCCTCTAAGCCTAGACACCTAGGGTGTATCCTGTACTTGTTTGAATACAAATGTAAATTTCTAATGATGAGGTCTAAAATATGTATTAAGATGGTGCAAAAATAATTGCGGTTTGTGCCATTACTTTCGATAGCAAAACTGCAATTATGTTTGCACCAACCTAATACTTATTAACCCTATCTTGACACAGAATGGCATATACAATAATATAGAAAGGGATTTATAGAAGGCTTTGTTGTATTTTTTTCCTCTGGCACTAAAAACATCTGATTTTAAAATTACTTACATTTTTTTAATTTGTTGGGTATGTAATAGGTTGTTACATTTATTTAATTGCATTTTCCCTATACTGATATGAAATTTTCAAAAACATTTCATTCGAGCACATTTTTTCTTGAAATATTTTACATTGTATTCAAATTCAAAGGAGCAACCAAATGCTGCTTAAATTCTCAAAATTATTTTGCAACCTGAACATATGGGTAAATATACATTTGTACAACAGAACACTATGCAGCCATGAAAAATAGTGGTGTGAAAGGTAAATTATATAATGACAAAGAAACATTAGTTAATGAAAGTAGGATACTAAACTATATATAGTCTGATCCCAATTTTGAAAAAGAAATGCGCTACTGTTGCAGTATTGGGAAAAAAAATGCCAAATGGTTACACTGATTGTTCCTGGATGACAGGACTGGGGGCGGGGAGGAATAGGGGCTCTGGGTTCAAACTCTAGCATTCTGCCGCTTACTAGTTGGTTCACTAGCTAACCCTAGTAACTAGGGTTACTACCCTGAGCAATTTGCTGAATGCATCTGTTTCTTCACTAAACACTGGAGAAACTAGTACTACCTCATAGGGCCTTTGAGAGAATTAAATGTAAAAGTAGATGTTTGTACTTACTATTTTGAAAAATATGTTTATTTCCAAATTTCCTTCTATGGGTATGTGTTATGGACTAAATGTTGTGTGCCCCCAAAATGCAATGTGATGGTATTTGGAGATGGGCCTTTGGAAGGTCATTAGGTCATGAGGGTGGAGCGCTACCCAGAGAGCTAGCTCATCCTCTTTCCTCCATGTGAGGATACAGCAAGAAGGTGGCCGCCTGCAACCTGGAGGAGAGCCCTCACCAGAGCCTGACCGTGCTGGCACCCTGCTTTTGAACTTTCAGTCTCTAGAACTGTGAGAAATAAATGTCTGCTGTTTAGGCCGCCCAGTCTGCAGTATTTTTATTATGGCACCCTGAACTGGCAAAGACAATTCCAGTCAGCAAAAAAATTCAGCAAGAAAAAAAGGTAAGAAAGAATTCTTATCTGGGTGATCACCTACTTCTATAATCATTTGTAACACAAGGCTTATTTAATAATTACTTTGTAGAAACAAATGGTCAACAATGCAGTTTTCTGTAGCACCCGTTTAGACAGCTTGTTGGCATTCCAGCAGCTCTTGCTTAACACAGGGACCTGGCTGAAGAAGGAGAAGGCCCCGTCACCCCAGCGACACGGGAATTTGCCATGACTGAGAGAGTGAAGCACTCAGGGAGCTGCCCAGCGATCTCCTATGCCTCTGGAAATCCAGTAAAGTGTTGACAACCTCTCCGGACAGACAGCACTGTGTTTATGAGTCCAAAAATGAGACAAAACAGTTTTGTCATAGCACCCCACAGTCTATCTCACTTAGGTAAAAGTTCAGTAACCAGAAGATCAGAAGCCATGAAGCATTCTTCAGTTTTCTCTTTGTTGGGCCAACTTTTCTTTTCTGGAAAAAGAATGCAGCCTCCAGCTACTTCGATGAAATGTATTTGTGTTTTCTTATCAAAATAAAGAAGAGTTTAAAATATGGCAATGTCCACCGGTAGCAAGGGTGAAATAAAAGAGGTGCTCTCATGCGTCGCTACGAGGAGTGTAATTTGGTACTACTCTTTTTAGAAAGCAATTTGGCAATGTGTATCAAGAGCCTTAAAAATGTTTCTACCTATTAACACAGTAATTCCACTTCTGGGAAGCTAGCCAAGGAAAATAATCATACATACGGAAAAAAAAGATTTATATGCAAAGATGTACATTACAGCATTATGCATAAATTTATTTTAAATGTTAGAAAGTCTTAATATTTAACCATGGGGGAGTAGTTAATTACATTGTAAACCATGCACTTGATAAAAAAGTATGCAGCCATGAAATGAGATTTATCAAGAATATCTAATAGAAGAAAATATTTAGGATATGATTATGAGAGACTACGAAATAAAAACAACACGAAACTATGTAGACCGCAAATGCAGGCTACCAACGTATGGATTTAAAATGTATATACAGAGGAGAACAGAACACAATTAAGCAAAAAGCAATTTTACTGCATTAAAGACATTAAAGAAGGTTGTTACAAATCTACTTTTCCAAATGTTCCAAATTTTCTTTAAAATATATGTCACACATTTTAAGTGGAAAAATGAAAGAAACTTCTCTTTTGGGGCTTTTGCATGGGGCAGAACTGACACTCACCTGAAGAGAGACTTGAGATTCTCTGGCAGCTCTGTGCGGCCAGCATAGCCTGGGTTCATGGTGATGAAGATACCGACAGAAGGATTCAGGCTGATCTCCTCCCCAAGGAAGCTGAACCACTGCTTCTTATCTCTAATCGCATCTTGAATGCTTTTTACCTGGTGAACCAATCAATCAGCGAGAAATTCCTCAATTGCCTTTTAGTGGAGGGATCATAACTAAAGCTGGAACCCTGTAGTCACACACAGCACGAAGAACTGTCCTGTGGACCCTTTCACTGAAAGACAGGCATGATGACCACACCCCAGACCCTTTACTGACAGGCCCTGGTTGCATGTCTAAAAGAAATCTGGCCACTGCTAGGCACAGTGGCTCATGCCTATAATCCCAGTGCTTTGGGAGGCCAAGGCGGGCAGATCACTCGAGGTCAAGAGTTCAAGACTAGCCTGGCCAACATGGTGAAACCCCGTCTCTACTAAAAATACAAAAATCAGCCGGGTATGGTGGTGTGCATCTGTAATCCCAGTTACTCGGGAGGCTGAGGCAGGAGAATTGTTTGAATCAGGGAGGTGGAGGTTGCCGTGAGCCGAGATCATGCTACTGCACTCCAGCCTGGTTGACAAAGCAAGGCTACGTCTCAAAACAAAACAGAAAAATGAATCTGGCTGCCCACAGCCACATTTATGACACTGTGGCTAAGAGCATGGGAGGGAACAGCAAACAGGTGTTTAACTCCCTGAATGTGGGTTCTCTCTGTAGTAATGGCTGAAGTGTATTAGGGCTGACCACTGGCCGGACACAGTTCTGACCACTTCTCATGTATTAACTCATTTGAGCTTCACCATGCTTGGAGGGGGGCACTTCAATTACATCATCCCCATCTCTGATAAAACAGAAGCATGGTGAGATGGAAACACTTGCCCAAAGCCACACAGCTACTAATTGGGGCATCAGGATTTGAATCCAGGCAAATGGATCCTGCAGCCTGTGCTTTCAGGTATTGTGTGATGGTGAGGATGCCATAGTTACCTGCTGAGCTTGTTCTAAGTAAATGAAATAAAGTCTGTGAAGTACATAGCCTAAAGAAAATTGCTTAGAAATACCAGCTAACATGAGGGATACCCATGTGACCATCCTCATCGCAACTGTGGTCCCTGTCTTGGTTTAACTCCTCATAGCCATCCCCCAGACTATACCTCCAGAACAGGTGACCCTTTACAGATGGAGCAAAGGTAGGCTGGGTCAGACACAGAGGGCTGTTAGTGCTTTTTTCTTTAGAAAATCAGACTTTCTCTTAAATGTAGACTGGAGTCAGAGGAGGATTTATCCTGAAGCTTGGCCCAGTCAGATATATGTTCTAGATTACTCTCTAGCAGTGGGAGGAGAGGCAGAAGTGAAATTCAACCATTTATTGTCACACCTGGTGCTTGGAAATGCATAAGCAAAAATGATCAGCAACAGAGAAAAGATGAAAGGGACACACTTTCAGGCTAGCCCACAGCCTTGTCCAGCCCGGCCCCAGAAGGTCTTTGGGAATTTCCAGCCTCTCAGGTTCTCGGAAGCAAAACCCAAAAGCTGGGGCCGGTGCAAGGTTTTGAATGAGCCTCAGCAGGTCGGCTAAGTCCAGGGTGCTAGAAGAGCAAAGGGTAGCCTAGTTCTGTGGAAATGGGGCTGTAGGGTTGTGTGTGTGAAACGGTGGGAGGGGTGGGTGGGGGGCAGCTGGACCATCTACCACTGGGCACGGCTGTCTCCAGAGTACACAGTTTGCCTGGATGCATGACAGTTCTACAATTAGGATTCAGCTCCCTTCCCAGAGTGAAGCGCTAATGACTGTATGCGTTTGAGCTCACAGCAATTAGTTTGAAACTGAGACTTCTTTTCTACGTGCAGAATATCAATGCCATCCTGGCAGAAGCAGGCTTCAGCAGCCAGGACGCTGGCCAAACAGATCAAGCTCTGCTGGTTTGCGTGGGGCTCACAGCCCAGCCCAGCTCTGCCATGGAGCCTCTTGCAGCCTTCATCACCCTGCAAGTTACGTGACTGGCAAAGGCTGGTTCTCTCCTTTGTCCCCAGTCTTCCCATCCATAAAATATACAGAGCACTCGCCTTATTAGGGAGTGGGAAAGCAAGTTTAATTAGCGTTTATAAGTTGCTCTGCTACCTTTGGGCGAAGACTAAGGCACGAGCCTGGGACCTTTTCTGCTGTTCATTCTGACTCAGCATTCTCTCTCGAAACACCGAAGCCCAGAAACCTCACGCTCAGCAAGAATTTATGATGCACTTTTGGATTGGAGGCATCTGTGCTTTTGTGTAAAATTCTGTAGAGGGGCTCTTGAGGGAGAGTGTTGAACAGACTCAAAGATGCAGTTAATGTTGGAGCATCGGTGCTCATAGAAATTTTGGTTAGGCTGGCTTGTACAGGACAGGCTTTAGCAGCAACTGCGGTCCGCAGAGCAAATCACTGGAACATAACAATGATCAGGGTCCAAGAGGCCTTGATAACGTCCAGGTCCTGGGAAAGGCCAGAGGGTCTTTCAGGATGCTTGGAGGCAGGGAGGGGGAAGTGGAGAAGCAGGTGAACTAGGGATGTATGGATTAAATGCAAGCCCAGCCAGACGGAAGTACACACACAGGTCGTTTGGCAACTGATAGCTAAGGCTGCCAGGCACATCTCACCCATTGGGATCTGTTTCTCTATCGAAAATGCATCGTTTTCTGAAGATCTTAAAGCCACAGTGAATAACAAAAAATAATAACTGACATTTTTGAGCACTTAATATGTACGAGGGACGATCCTGAGTATTTTCTGTGAATTATTCCATCCCAAGCTTTTAACAGTTGTCTAAGATAGGTAGTCTCAGATCTTCATTTTACCGATGAAGAAACTGAGGCAGAAGGCAGTTAAGAAACTGTCCTATGTTTATGTAAGATGTTAGCATTAAGGGGAGGCTAAAAGTGAGATATGTAGAAATTCGATGCTATTTTTACAACTTTTCTATAAATCTAAAATTGGTTCAAAATAAAAAGTTAAAAGAAAAAAAAAGAAACTTGCCTGAAACCCCACAGTTGGTAAGTGGAGCAGCTCAAGCTTAAAAGCCAGGCAATCTGGTGCCGAAGCACATGCTTTTAGCTACTTCCCCCAAAGGCTCTTGTACCAGAAGGAGTGCTGTGCCAGCCACAGACCAGTTTCTCATCAAGCATATACGTTTTCAGAGCAATTTGTTTTACTTTGAAAACTATCATGTTTGTTATAATTTAGAGGCATACTTTCCACAAAATAAGAAAAGACAGTTTTGCCACCCATTAAAAAGACAAATAATCACGTCTGTAATCCCAGCACTTTGGGAGGCCGAGGCGGGCGGATCACGAGGTCAGGAGATCGAGACCATCCTGGCTAACACAGTGAAATCCCGTCTCCACTAAAAATACAAAAAATTAGCCAGGCCTGGTGGCACATGCCTGTAATCTCAGCTACTTGGGAGGCGGAGGCAGGAGAATCGCTTGAACCTGGGAGGCAGAGGTGGCAGTGAGCCGAGATCGCGCCACTGCACTCCAGCCTGCGTGACAGAGTGAGACTCCATCTGAAAAAGGAAAACAAAACAAAACAAAAAAACAAAACAAAAAAAAATGGAAAGCTATGTAGGAACCGGTGTTCTCAACTGGGAATGAGTTTGCAATCCCTCTCTCCCAGGGGTCGTGTGGCAATGTCTGGAGACACTTTTGTTGTCACAGCAAGGAATGGGGGTTGCTGTCGGCATTCAGTGGGTAGAGGCCAGGGTTGCTGCTCAACATCCACAATGCAGAGGATAGATCTTCACAAAACAGAATGATCAGCCCAAAGCATCAATAGTGCTTAGGTTGACAAGCCCTGATCTAGACCTAACATTTTACCAGTGAGGACTCTGAGGCTGAGAAGACATAAGGCACTTAACCTCCATCCCACACCACGTGTCCTTGGGTCCAAACCAATTCCCATGCAAATTCTTAGCTCTACCTCCAAGATAAATCAAATCAGAAATTCTGGGAATGGGGTCCAATGAGGTGCGTCGGAACAGGCCCTCCGGGTGATTCTGATGCACGCTGAAATTTGAGAACCACTGCAGTCCAGTCAATTCTTACATTTCTACTCATCCCTACCTCTGCCCACATGGCCCCATTCATAGCTGCATACTGACCTCCCTCTCTCAGACGGGAGGGTGTTGAACAGACTCAAAGATGTAGATAACTTCGGAGCATCGGTGCTCATAGAAATTTTGGTTAGCCTGGTTTGTACAGGATGGGATTTAGCAGCAACTGAGTCTGCAGAGCAAATCACTGGGACTTAACAATGATCAGGGTCCAGGAAGCCTTCACAAAGTCTGGGTCCTGGAAAAGGCCAGAGGTTCCCCTCTCTCCCTCTCTCAGATGAGCCTGGGTCCCCCACTTCCTTCTGCCCCACCGGGCCTGGAGAGGCTTTGCCCCTGCAGAGCACTGGCTGGGACAAACTGGCCTCAGTCTTGGGGGTCTTGATGTGAACCCAAACTCTACAGTCCTCAGCGGTGTTTTCCTCATTTTTCAGTCTCTCTCTCAGCTCTGGTTCTCAAAATTTGCTGAACGTGTGAACCATGTGGAAAGTTTTTAGAAAGTACCGATACACTGGTCCTATTCCGCAGGAATTAAATCAACATCTTTTCGGGGTGGACACTGTGCATTACTATTTTGTAGAATTACCCAGGCCATTCTAATGTGCAGCCAGGGTTGAGATGACTGTGCCAGAGCGGCACAGTCCCCGATTTTATTGTGCGTAGTAATCACTGGAGGGTGTGTTAACATGAAGATTCTGTTTCAGCAGGTCTGGGGTGGGGCCTGAGACTCTGCATTTCTAACAAGCTCCCAGGGGATGCTGGTGCTGTTGGCTCACAGTTTGAATAGCGTGGGGCTACATGACACCAGCCATGCCTGGCACCCTCTGCTGTCACTCTCAGGGCACCTACCTGAAAGTCAGTGAACTGTTCTTGCCACTGGGCCACGCTGCCCCATCCCAGTTTCATGGCCCACAATTGCCCCTCAGCCAGATGGTTTTACTGTCTTTTTCCAGCCTCTATGGTCCTTGCAATTGCACATCTTTGATGGAACTTATTTTCTGCCTTATCATTTGGATAATTTGCCCAGGTTTTACTTTTTTTTTTTTTTTTTTTGAGATGGAGTCTTGCTCTGTTGCCCAGGCTGGAGTGTAGTGGCACGATCTCGGCTCACTGCAAGCTCCACCTCCCGGGTTCACACCGCCATTCCCCTGCCTCAGCCTCCCAAGTAGCTGGGACTACAGGCTCCCACCACCATGCCTGGCTAATTTTTTGTATTTTTTAGTAGAGACGGGGTTTCACTGTGTTAGCCAGGTTGTTAGCCAGGTCAATCTCCTGACCTCATGATCTGCCCACCTCGGCCTCCCAAAGTGCTGGGATTACAGGCGTGAGCCACCGCACCTGGCTAGGGTTTACTTCTATATATTGCAAGCCAGCCCTGACGTCCAGTGGTCAACCTTGTTATCTGCACAAGCCTTGTGTGCCCGTCTGACCATAAGAGCTGCATTTCTTGCATGAGGATGACATCTTTCCCCTCATGACTGGAAGCTGCTGATCACAGAGGGTTCTGTCCCTGTATCCTCCCACTCAGGCTAGGGCCTTGTGTCTGACTCACTCAGTGAAGTATTAAGGCCATGCTGTCTCTGTGCAGGTGACATACTTTAAGGAGGTCATGGGCTAGCCCTATGCTACTGGGATCTTGGCTTTTTCTCGTCACCCCTCTACCTTGGCCCTTCTATTCTAGGAGAGTGGCTCATTTTGTGGTCCCCTGTGGTCATTCTCTTTTCAAGTCTTTGCCCCAAATGCCATGTGCTATTTAACATCCTCCCTGGCCCGCTCCACGCTTCCCACTGCAATGGCAGATTGAAGTCTGTTGCCTTCGGGAAATGCAACCCACTCACCACTTTTTAAACATTTTAACATTTCTGGGTTTTTTTCCCATTAGACTTTAAGCTTCTCTTTAAAGGGTGTTACATGGGAAGCTCCCTCGGCTCTGAGACTGGAGCATTTGTTTGGTGCCTGGAGTACTTGGAGCCCTGCTATGGTGGGCCCCCAAGTCTTTGCTGACTGATCTTCTGCTTCTACTTGCTTCCTGCCTCTGCCCAACCCATTATTGGGGCTTGTAATGCAGGGAAGAGAAGAAAGTGCCAGGAAGGCCTGGCCACAGGGCATGGAGGGGAACAGGGCATTGGGTTGTGTCCTCGTGGCACATGTCCCCGGGCGCAGATAACCCAAAGCATAGACAGCTGATTGCAATAGTAAAGAAGATATTCCAGAAAAAAGTAAGTAATATCTTAGACATTTTTTAAACAGCAGAGTAATTTTTTTTTGGAATTGACACACTGGTGTTTTTCCCAAGTGGCTATGTGACTTTGCTTGACCAGTCTCATGGAGACATGAGAATGTCCACTGACAAAGATGCTGTGGACCAGCAGCATAATCGCTTCTGTAGGAGTTACTGGGAAGAGGAGCACAGACGGACAAGCAGTGGAGAGGAGGAGAGGGGAGGGTGGTGGAGAACTGTCAGCAGCTGGTGTGGCTTCTGAACCAATATGCCAGCCTGGATTGCCGTGTGAATAATTAGGTGCAATTTTCTCCTTGGATGGGTATTCGATTTCAAATGTTACCCGCTCAGATTTTGCCTGGGCTGTTGTCAGACCACTTTCTTGAGAAATGTCTCTGATGGGTATATTCCTAGATCAGAGTGTGACAGTATCAGGGACCCCCCAGTTAAACTTATTTCATTTGATTCCAGAAACAAACAGGAACTAAGTGATCTTAGAGAATGCATTGCTGACCTTGTGTTGCGCAGCTTCAAAATAAAGCAAATTCAGTGTCTATCTACTATCCAGGGGCAACAATGGCTGTTGGGCACTGCCTCATTGATTAGTACATTGTTAAGCTTGATAAGATAGCTCGAGGTTGGTCCAGCTCAGAAGGAGTGAAGGGCATAGAGAAGACCTGTGAGAACTGTAAACTAGTTCAACCATTGTGGAAGTCAATGTGGAGATTCCTTAGGGATCTAGAACTAGAAATACCATTTGACCCGCCATCCCATTACTGGGTATATACCCAAAGGATTATAAATCATGCTGCTATAAAGACACATGCACATGTATGTTTATTGCGGCACTATTCACAATAGCGAAGACTTGGAACCAACCCAAATGTCCAACAATGATAGACTGGATTAAGAAAATGTGGCACATATACACCATGGAATACTACGTAGCCATAAAAAATGATGAGTTCATGTCCTTTGCAGGGACATGGATGAAGCTGGAAACAATCATTCTCAGCAAACTATCACAAGGACAAAAAACCAAACACCGCATGTTCTCACTCATAGGTGGGAATTGAACAAAGAGAACACATGGACATAGGAAGGGGAACATCACACACTGGGGCCTGTTGTTGGGTGGGGGGAGGGGGGAGGGATAGCATTAGGAGATATACCTAATGTAAATGACGAGTTAATGGGTGCAGCACACCAACATGGCACATGTATACATATGTAACAAACCTGCACACGTTGTGCACATGTACCCTAAAACTTAAAGTATAATTTAAAAAAAAAAAGAGAAGACCTGTGAGACCAGGATGTGAACCCTTTTTCCCTACCCTGTGTATCCCGGCTTCTACTTCTCTTCAACCCATTTCCTGCAGTGTTCAGATAATAATGATGGTAATCATCCTCATCACTATCACAACCATCATTATCACTATCATCACCACCATCACCATCATTGCCACCACCATCCCCATCATTCTCACCATAATAACCACCATCATCACCATCATTGTTAACATTATAATCACTGCCATCATCATCACTGTCATTATCAACGTCATCACTGCCACCACCATCATGACCACCATCACCCCCACCATCATCATCACTATCATCACCATCATCATCACCATCACCATCATCACTGACACCACCATCATCATCACCACCATCATCATTACCACCATCACCATTATCATCTCCATCATCATCACCATCATCACCACCACCATCATCATCATCACCGTCATCACCACCACCACCATCATCATTACCACCATCACCATTATCATCTCCATCATCATCATCATTAGAATCATCACCACCACTACCACCGCCATCATCATCATCAGCATCACCATCATTAGCATAATTATCACCATCACCACTACCATCATCACCATTAACATCATCATCATCATCATCACTAACATCACCACCACCATTATCATCATCAACAAAGCATTTATTGAGTGACTATTCTCTGCAGGGCTTTAAAAAACAGTGCTTTAGAGATATAACTCATTTAAAAATTATTACAACTGCCTCAAGGAGGTGCTATTATTAACTCCCTTTACAGATGTGGACCTTGAGACATGGATATGCTCAAGGTCACACAGCTAGTAAGTGGCTGAGACAGCATTGAACACTGGCATTATTCCTTATTCCAGGTTGTGAAGTGACCAGCCAAAGGTGAAAGCAGCCAGGAAACATATTTGATTTCTTATAAAAATCTGGATGTCCGGTCTCTCTTTAAAACGTAAAAGATCTGGCAACACTCAGCTTACATCCTTACAAGGCAGAGGTGTGCTGGTAAATTTTTAACAACCAGCTCTCCAGGAGAGCAAAAACGCCCTTGATTTGTAGAATTTGGCAGCTTTCATGATGGAAGGACTCTCACCATAGCCCATTTCAAGCTACACTCATGCAATGCCACTGACATGCACACAACCAGCTCTTTCAAGCCAAGCTGGTCAAGGGTTTCAGTCCAAGAGTGTCCAGGCTAGCCATTTGTCTTCCTTCCTCTACTAACTGCTGCTGAACAGAACAAACCCAAAAAAAGGGAAAAACCATATTTCACCACTGGAAACCAGGGAAGAGCCTCACGTTCTGGCAACTTTCAGAGCTTCATCAAGGAACAGTTTGGACAAGAGTCAGTGGCTGTCAAACACAAGAGATGGAAAGACAGGCCACCTTGGAGCAGTGGTGAGTGAAGGGACCCAGCAGAGTGTCTTGACTGCCTGTGGCTTTCAGGGCAGCTGGAGATGAAGGTGGCATGGATTTGCGGATGGTCTGAGCCCTACTGCTGTTCAGCTTTGCGTTTGCTTCAGTGCCCCACCCACAGCCCCACGTCCACACCTACCTGTGAAAAGGTATGGGATGAGAGGTGACCACATGTGAGACCTATGTGGATGGAAGCTGGCTCCTGCCAGGGCAGAGGGGGACAAGGATGATGCTGGCTCAGTCATCTTTCCCCGCCAGGGATGACCTTTTGCATGATGTTTCCTCCCACCCCCCTTCTGCCACCCTCCCCTCAATCCCGCACTCTTGCCTTAGAAAAATGTCAGTCAAGCTAAACGCTTTCCTTATTCCTTTGTCTGGACCTGAAAGGATTACAGAAACCTGTAGGGACCAAAGAGTCTCTCATAGCTACATTTTTCCTTTTTCTGTACTGTGCGCATACTGCTTTGGAAATAAAAGCAAACACAAGCAAAATTAAACCATTTTTGATTATATGGTGTGCGGCACACACTAGGAGTACCAGGCACATAATTGTCCCAAGCACCTCGCCACAGCTTTGATCATCACATGGTGCCCTTGTGATTGCTTTGCTCTGTTAAGGGCAGGATGGGGGTTCTGAAACCAGCCGCCCCTAGCAGGAGAAGGGGGGTGCTCAGCCTGCAGGGAGGCATGTGGAATAGAAGCTGGCAAACGATGTGCTTTATCTTGGAGATGGGGTTCCTGGGGGGAATGGAGCCTGTGCAGCTGCAGTAAGAATCCTTGGGAGAGACTCTTGACTTGCCCTCAGCCACCAGTTTTCCTACTGCTCAGCCCCTCCTTCATATTGCTGGCAAATAGAGGGGCAATCTCCCTCCCAGATGTCTCTGGGGGTTCTCTGATGCCTGCTGAGGAAGGCATTTCCGCCTGCTACTATTGGGTTCGAACTTGTCTCTCTGGCCTTATTTTCTCCTCTGGCATTTTACCCACTAGACACCACATCAGTGCCCACATCTGCACCTGGACAGTGTTGGTGGGGGCACAGGGTGCACATACCAACCTTACCACTTTCCAAAAGTCTACCCATGGACAAGATACAGTTCTCCTCTGATGTTCAGCTTTTCCACATACATAATGGGGAGAATAGTGGCTTGTAGGGCCATGGTGGAAAGACGTGAAAGATCTTTCATGATGTGAAAGATGATGTATGAAAAGTGCCTGGTACAGAATTTCAACAAAAGCTTATTCAAACGTTCCCCCCCTTCACCCTCCTACTGCTCCGATTGTTCATGGGATCCTGACCCAAATCCAAAATCCTCTCCATCTTTTCAATGTAATGCATTTGGAAGTCTCATCTCAGTCAGAATTTAAGTCACCTCTAGAACATTGAAAGTACTCACGTCTATCTCAAGAGCTCAAGTTTTTTTTGTTTTTTTTTTTTTAGGTCAGAGATCACATTCCATTCAACTGGGAAACTTCACCTGTCTTTTGCATAACACTTACTAGGTTGTAGGTGTTTAATAAATGCTTTCTGGATGACTTGAAAGACAAGGGGCATGCTTACATAAAATCTCACCCCAGAAGCGACTTCATTCAAAAACGATTCATGCCATATTCCTCACTTTATTAAGCTGAGCGTGGTGGAATAACTTTCCCAAAGATTCCAATAGGAAATAAAATAACTGAAATTTAAGCCTTGGTTTATAACCAAAGAACATGGCCTTTCCGAGGAGCTGAGCTCTGCCATCTTCATGTTTCTGTGCCCAGATGAAGCAGGCAGGACAGATATTCTTTCTCTCCATTTTACAGAGAACGAAACAGAGTCCCAAAGCCAGTAAATGGTTCTACTTTGGTGGGTAACAGAAGGATACCCATTTTGGAGGACAGCTTCCCTGGAGCCTGATTTTAGAGGATGGAGAAAGGGGCATGAAATGACAAGGGAAAAAGGGACGTAGATGCTCAGGAGAGGTAGAAAACAAGAGGACATAGACTTCCGCAGTAATCAATATGAAGACCACAAGGCTCCCACCAACTTCTGGCCCTTACCTGCACTGCCACCACTGACAAGACCTCCACGGAGATTCGATTAAACTCATCAAAGCAGCCCCAGGCACCAGTCTGAGCAAGGCCTTTGTAGATGTTGCCACAAGACTGCAAGAAAATGCACAAAGATTAAATTACCAACGGGCCAGGCTTATCAATACATGTTGAAGCCATTCTCCATCCCCTTTATTATAGATACTTCTAGTCCCCCTAAAGACCACTGGTCAGAAACTTGTATTAAAATTTCAAGAACAATTAAATGTTTGATGGTTATGGGGTGTCAACAGAAGTCACAGGATTAAACAGAACCTTTTCAAGACACTTGGATGAAAATCCCTTTAAAATGTCATCAGGGTTGCATTATTGTTGATTCGGTAGCTTTCAAAATCCCAGGAAATGAATAAAAGATGATTTTTCTTATGCTATACAGACAAAAAGCCTTCCACCCAGCCTTTGTCATGCACTGATGGAAAAATTTACGTCTGTATCTTTAAATTTATGCCCAACCACCCAGGTTTTCCAGAGTGGTGAGGGAGCTGGAGACAAAGACAGGGGGTGATAACATCTGTTAAAAAAACAAAAACCAAAACCAAAAAACAAAAACACATACACACAAACTAAAGGTAAATCTTTTCAAATGAGAGCAGGGAAGGAATTTACAAGGGAATAATGCATTTCTGTCCTAAAAGTAAAAACCATCCTGGGCATTCAATATGAACTGGTAAGTCACGGGGCAACCAAAAAGATAGGTTCCTGGGAGACACTCACAAGGTCATTGGCAAGGAGACGTCATTAAAATGCCAGGGAAATGCAAATAATGGAAAAGTCCCATTCATTTATTCAGCGGGTTTTTTTTTTTTTTTTTTTTTTTTTTTTTTGAGACGGAGTCTCACTCTGTTGCCCAGGCTGGAGTGCAGTGGTGCGATCTTGGCTCATTGCAACCTCCACCTCCCAGGTTCAAGCGATTCTCCTGCCTCAGCCTCCCGAGTAGCTGCGATTACAGGCGTGCACCACCATGCCTGGCTAATTTTTATATTTTTAGTAGAGACAGGGTTTCACCATGTTGGTCAGGGCTGGTCTCAAACTCCTGACTTTGCAATCAACCCGCCTTGGCCTCCCAAAGTGCTGGGATGACAGGCATAAGCCACCATGCCCAGCCTTCAGTGGGCATTTTTTGACTATCAGCTCTGTGCACCGATCATGTGCTGGACATAGGGGAGCTCAGTCTAAGAACTTTTGGTCAGGTTGAGGAGATAAGGTATATACATAAAAACAGGAAAATTACTGCATCAGTAGTGGTTCCATTGAATAATATAGACCACAAATGTCATATTCACAGAAGAGAGGGTCAGAGTGCTCCTGAGTGATCAGTTTTGCCAAAGAGGTGAAAGTCAGATGGCAGCACAACAGTACTTCACAAAGTTTATTCCGCGGAACCACAGGCCTGAAAGATGCTCTTCGAAGAAAGGGCTTTTTGGTCAAGCAAATTTGGGAAACACATTCTTCAACCCGTTTTGGCCTACTTACAATTTGTATTAGCGTTTAAGGGCCCTGAGAAATCCTATAACAAAAACATTAGTTTCACTGCATTACATGGCTAGGATTATTTTTCCTTCACATAACCCCTGATTTTCTCAGAATGCACTCTGGCAATTATTGGTATAGTGTAAAGGTCACAAGATTAGAGTCAGAAGATATGGGGATCTCACAGAAAACTACATGCTTTAGGACACACACAAGAAATGATGGCTTTATAGGATAGGAGTATCTGTATAGATAGAATGGAAGGGGTAAGGCTTTCCAGGAGGAGGAAGATTATGGAAGAAATACAAGCAGAATAATGATATGTGCAGAGAAAAATGACAGAGCCATTTTGATTGGAAAGTTGAATTACTAAATAAAGTCATGGTTGTAAAAAGCCTTGAATTACTATGAGGGATCTTTGGAGGTTTGCAGCAGAGAACATGAGCAGAGCATTGTTATGAGAGGATTGGTCTAACTGCCACATAGGCTAGGTTGGACATTAGGGCAGACTTTAATTTTTTTTGTTTGTTTTTTTGAGATGGAGTCTTGCTCTGTCACCCAGGCTGGAGTGCAGTGGCGCAATCTCAGTTCACTGCAACCTCTGCCTCCCAGGTTCAAGCAATTCTGCTGCCTCAGCCTCCCAAGTAGCTAAGATTACAGGCGTGCACCACCAAGCCCAGCTAATTTTTGTATGTTTAGTGGAGACGGGGTTTCACCATGTTGGCCAGGCTGGTCTCGAACTCCTGGCCTCAAGTGATCCACCTGCCTTGGCCTCCCAAAGTGTTTGAGTTGCAGGTGTGAGCCACTGTGTCCTGATGTAGGGCAGACTTTGAAGGAGAAGGGAAAAATAAAACCCACCTTTCACTGAGCTTCTGGAATTAAGAGATTTCTTTTTACTTTCATATCAACAAATATTTATTGAGCATATACTATGTGCCAGAGATTGTTCTAGGTCATGAAGAATCAGCTGTGAACAAGATAGACGATGCCTCTATTCTCATGGGTCTCATATTCCCATAAGGAAAACAGACAATGAGCAATAACAAATCAGACAGTGATAAAGTCCCACTGGAGTCTTAAAATGAGGGTGACATGGAGACTTCAGATTGAGCTGTCAGGGACATCCTGTCTGAGGAGGTGATGGAAGTTCCAGGCGTTGTGTTTGTGTACCTTAAATCAGGGGTCCCCAGCCTCTGGGCAACTGTCCATGGTCTGTTAAGGAACCAGGCCGCACAGCAGGAGGTGAGCAGCAGGTGAGTAAGCAAAGCTTCATCTGTATTGACAGCTGCTTCCCATCACCTGCATTATTGCCTGAGCTCTGTCTCCTGTCAGATCAGTGGCAGCACTGGATTCTCATGAGAGCATGAACCCCATTGTGAATTGCACATGTGAGGGATCTAGGCTGGGTGATCCTTATGAGAATCTAATGCCTGATGATCTGTCACTGTCTCCCATCACCCCCAGTTGGAACCAACTAGTTGAAGGAAGAGAAGACCAGGGCCCCCACTGATTCTACATGATGGTGAGTTGTATAATTATTTCATTGTATATTACAATGTAATAATAATCGAAATAAAGTGTACAATAAATGTAATGTGCTTGAATCATCCCGAGACCATCCCCCACTACCACAGTCCATGGAAAAATAGTCTTCCATGAAACTGGTCCCTCATGCCAAAAAGGTTGGGGACCACTGCCTTACATTATTCCATTTCATTTGCAAAACAATCCAAGTGTCACAAATACTAAGTGGAAATTCAGAAATCAACATCCATGTTTATTCACAATAGTTAAGATATGGAATCAACCTAAGTGTCCATCAATGGATGAATGCATAAAGAAAATGTAGTATATACACACAAAGCAATATTGTTCAGCCATTGAAAAGAATGAAATCCTGTCATTTGCAGCAACAGGGATGGACCTGGAGGATATTATCTTAAGTGAAAGAAGCCAGGCACAGAAAGACAAATATCACATGCTGTCATTCATATGTGAGAGCTAAAAAAGTTGATCTCATGGAGGTAGACAGTAGAATGATGGTTACCAGAGGCTGGGAAGGAGAAAATGAAGAGAAGTTGGTTAATGGGTACAAACATACAGCTAGACATAAGAAATAAGTTATAGTGTTCAACAGCACAATAGGGGACTATGATTACTAATCATTTATTTTATATTTCAAAATAGCTGAAGAGGAGATTTGGAATGTTCCCAACACAAAGAAACAATAAATCTTTGGGATGATGGTTATCCTAATTACCCTGATTCGATCATTATACTACAATGTATAATGATATTCATAATTATTATTGATATTATTGATAAATATTATTGATAATATGTGCATCAAAATATAACATGTACCCCATTAATATGTACAGTTATGATGTATCAATAAAAAAGATGTTTTAAAAATTCAATTTTTAACAAGCCGGGCACAGTGGCTCACGCCTGTAATCCCAGCACTTTGGGAGGCTGAGGCGGGCGGATCACAAGGTCAGGAGATCCAGACCATCCTGGCTAACACAGTGAGACACCGTCTCTACTAAAAGTACAAAAAAAACCAATTAGCCAGGCGTGGTGGCGGGCGCCTGTAGTCCAAGCTACTCGGGAGGCTGAGGCAGGAGAATGACGTGAACCCAGGAGGTGGAGCTTGCAGTGAGCTGAGATCGTGCCACTGCACTCCAGCCTAGGGGACAGAGCGAGACTCCATCTCAAAAAAAAAGAAAAAAAAAATTCAATTTTTTACAGTGATTTTGAAAGCTTTTCAAACTGCAGACCCTTTTTATAAAATGAAAACTCAAAACATAAAATAAAGGAAGTGGAGTTTCCATAGGTGGATGCTTGTCACCCCTATGTTTCTCCCCCCCACCCCAGGGCCTGTGGCTGAACCCCAGGACCCTAAAGTAACCCATGTGTTTAGCTCACCACATATCTCCTGGTCCTGTCAGCGAGGCTGGGGCATTATCTTGCTGTGGGATGGTGAGCTTTGGGACTAGGCGAATGGCAAGAATAGGGCAAAGGCCTGGAAGTGAGAAGGGTGCTGAACAATCGACACTGGTGACCGATTAGAGGTAGGGAAGGAAGGACATGAAGTAACCCAGGTTCCTGAAGTTTTCCACCAGGATCTCAGGGAAAATGAGATGATCCTTCCTGATGGTGGGGAATCTGGCAGGGAGAAAGGAAGAGTGCTAACCACAATGCAAGAGAAGGGCATTCAAGAGATGCCCACTGCCCCATTAGAGAGAGACGGGACTAGGACTCCGGTGAAGCTGGAGAATAGACATGGCTTCATAAAGGAGACATAGGTATACACATCACACTGGAAATTATAAAAGAGGATCAGCAAATGAGACCGAGGAGCCAGGAGACCAGAGACTCAGGAGGAGGACTGTGCAAGTATAGCATTTCCGAAGTGAAGGGAGTAGGGTCTCAAGGAAAAGTGTAGTATCCACAATATGGCTGCTACAGAGAGGGTTGGAAATAATTCCAAACACTTTCAGGTTTGGAACCATTTGATGTCCCTGCAATAGCATCTCCAAATTGAGGTCAAGAGGGGAAAGTATTACAGCTATAATATAAAGGATGTTTCAGCACTGAAACTGCAGTCATTTTCAGAGAAAGTGGCTGGTTTTATAGGTTTTCCATCCAGGATAAGAGAGTAAAGCAATAACTTTACCTTTGCTTCAAGTCTTTGCGCTGTTCTCCTGTCCTCCCCAGCTCAATGCACACCCAGTCCTCATGAGCTAACTGAGGTGATGCGGCTTATAGGATTTCTAAGGCAGAGGGGATAGCAAGGGCGCTTGACCACAGCCTAGACTCTCCTCTTCAACCTCTCCCTTTGCTTCACCACTGACTGCCTGCCCATATTCCCGAGATATCACTTACCTTGTTATATTTTAAGCCTCTTATGCTTTTCCATGTCTACTACCACATCAGCTGGTTCCTCATTCCCTCTGGTTTGAATGACTGAGATGCTCTCACCAAAACCTATTCCTGCTTCCAGTCTCTTCCTTTCTCATTTCGTCTGACTTCCAATCTTTATGCTTTTGCTCCAGTTCCGAAGCCTGCAGTTCCTTTCTGCATCCCCCACTTCAAGGTGAGATGCTTTCAGTGGCTTTCAGTCCTTCCCCTCCTTATCTCCTGTTTTTGATCCTCTGTAAGGTAGCTTAGCCCTTGTTCCGCATTTATTTCTAGCTTTCACTATGGACAGACCTGAACAGAGTATATTGCTGTGAGTGTCATGAATGACACATCGAAATCTCCCCTGGAGAAGTGCACAGCAGCTCTTCCTGACCTCGCACCCTTTTTCTCCTCTCCCAGCCGGGTCCTGTGAGGAGGGCTCATGGGGTGAAGTCAGAATGAGGGCTGGGGACAGATATTGGCCACACATAGAACTTGGTCATGGCTTTAAAGCTGACATTCTAATGGGTTAGAATGTGTGAAAATGCCACATGCTCTCTCTGTCACCAACCCCAAAACTGAGCCTTGGTTGGGTATCACGTCCTCCACATGTCTTTCCTGACCAGCCCACTCTGTGGCTCTCCCCCTACTCTGGAATATTCCAGGGCCTAAAGTTTGTAGGGCACATGAGCACCCAGGGTTATGCTATCTGAGTGTTAACTAGCTCCCCTGATGATATCATATATCCTTTGTCCCTCCAAATAAAATCGGGTTATACTATCTCTCTCTTTCTCTCTCTCATCAATCATTCATCTATCATTTATCTACCTAAAATCCATCTACCATCTATCCTCCATCCATCTCTCTCTCTCTCTCTCCCTCTCTCTCCCCATATGATCTGTTTTTGGCATCCTGCACAATGCTCAGCACATGCTGAGGAAAGGCAATACTCAATAAATTAATTGGATTGCGAGTGTTTTACCATAAAAAATAATTCTGAACAGCCAGAAAACAAAGGTAGAGGAAGTTTGCAAACAGCTTAGTGGGGCTGTTTGGTTACCTGGGATATTTGGTGTCCAGGAAGGGAGCACCTCCCTTCTGGCATGTTTCACTGTGGCTATGCTTATTTATGATGTTCTAACCTGTGTCTAGCCTGTATTCCATGGAAGCTTAGCCTATAGTTGAAAAACAAACAAACAAAAACAAAAACAAAAAACAAAACAAAAAAACAAACAAAAAAAACAAAGATAGACTCCCCCGTTCACCCTGTACTTTTAACAAAATTGGTGGGGTTAGGGTTCAGTGATTGGTTTTGATAGAATTGAGTAAAATGGCCATAGTGACCCCTAGCCAACTCACCATTTCCTGCTTGCTATTCTAGGTATGACTTTGAAGAAATCTGGCTGATTTTCTTCAATCAATACACCACGTCTTCTACATCCAAATGAGTGTTTCTTTCACAATGTTCCCTTTGGGAGACTCTACTTACTTTGGCAGTGCTGCTGCCATTGCTCAACTATAGAAAAATCTAGAACATAAAATTATCCCTAAGGCTGAGGTCATTTCTATAAAGGGGGGAGAAAACTCCACCTTTCTGTTCCAGCCTGACTTAAAGAGAAACATTATCTTAATGTGTTCATCAATAAAAGCAACTGTGCTAAAATTTAGGGGATGAAGACCACGTGGAAGACAAGTTTTTTGGGTCTAGATCCTTGCTTTGTTTACTTAACACGAGAAAACATGGTGCTACAGGACGCTGCAACTCTACACAACAAAATCATGCTACAGAAATGATTAAATTATAGAGGATGAATCTCATTTACAGAGTGCTATACGTGGTAACGGCAAGCATTATTTCTAAAATTATAACTACATTAAATTTATTTTACAGTCAATATAGCACATGACTTTTATATATAAATGTTTAATCTATTTAATGCAACTTTTTTTCACTGCAAATTTATTTGCATGTCATCCTGCTGACAAAAGGGACTTAAGGCAGTTTACAAAAACACATACAATATAACAAAAATAACGAGAGAGGGAGATAATCTGTTATTACATTTTTGTTTTACCAGGGCCTGTCGTGGGGTGGGGGAAGCGGGGAGGGATAGCATTAGGAGATACAACTAATATAAATGATGAGTTAATGGGTGCAGCACACCAACATGGCACATGTATACATATGTAACAAACCTGCACGTTGTGCACATGTACCCTAGAACTTAAAGTATAATTAAAAAAAGAAAAAAAAAGAAAAATTGGAAAATAGTTCTCACAAAGAAAAAAAAGAAAAAAAGAAGCTATATAAGGTTCAGTTGTGAGCAGAATATTTCTAGCTAAAGAAGTGACCTCATGGGCCTTTTGTTTCTCTGGCTTTTCTCGGTGACTCAGAACCTGGAACACATTGGTTCTTAAAAAATTGTACGTGCCTGAATGAATATTAGCTTTGCACTTGTCTTCTGTGGGCGTCTGTGCTCTGAGTCGGGGTTGATTAGCCTGCTTTCAGAAATCACGCCTGCCCTTGCAGAATATTCTGCCCCTGTTGATATTCTGGGGAATGTCCACTTCTACAGAAGAGCACAAATACGTCAAGCTTTTATGTGAAGACAAGTGCCTTCATCTTGGCTACTTGTGAGCCTTTCTGTGTTTCTAGGTCAAATAGGGAAATTAGGACTTTGGATATATGTTCAGTTTCTTCATTTTGCAGGTAATAAAAGAAAGATCCAAAAAGATGAAGTCAGCCATCTGTGGTCAGAGCTCATTGGTGGAATGAGAATACAAAGGGCTGTGCTTCCTCATCACATGAAAGCCTTATAGGGAGGCCAAAAAACTCCAGGGTTCAAACGTCCAACTTTACCACGAAGGAGCAAACTGAGACCTCCTGATCTGGGCTCCGAGACCTGGGGAAGCTGGGTCAGGGTGGCACGGATGCGTCTTAGCCTTGATTTGGTGCCCTGAGTTCCTATCCCCCACCCCCACCCCCAGGAAGCCGGGTGGAACTGTACCTTGTAATCCATCTGCTCCGAGCAGTTGAACACATAGACCAGGATGCCCAGTGCGCGGCCCAGGTCCTTGGTGGTCTCGGTCTTGCCTGTGCCTGCAGGTCCTGCGGGAGCCCCACTCATGGTCAGGTGCAGGGACTGGGTGAGGGTGATGTAGCACCTGCCAAACACGGGAGGGCATAGGTCATCATTCTTGGGGGCCCAGTGAGATAGGACTAAGGCTCAAGGCCATGTGAGATCTGGCATAGCTTCTGAAAAGAAAGCCAAGAGCCCTGCCCCTTTTTCCCGCTCCCCACAGCACTGTGGGGAGGACTCTTTAGCGGGCAAGCTCATCACAGTGCTCCCTCCATGCAGGGCATCAGAGGCTCCCTGACAGGTTCTTCTTCTGGGTCTGCTTGCTCCTCCAGCTCTGTTTCTCACTGTTCCCCTCCTCTGAAGCTGCAAACCTCTGCAGTCCAGCCATATAGAGCTCCGTTCATCTGCCAGACACACTAGGACTGAGCTTGTCCCTGATCCTCCCCCAATCATCCCCCAACTCTTTAAGTCGACCTGGATGATGTTCCTCTTTAATCTTTGCCTGGCTAATGGCCACTAATTCCTCAGGACTCACATTTGACTTCACCTACTAAGTGTTCCTGGATCCCCCAACACTGGGGTGAGTGAGCAGAGGCTCCCTCAGCTGAGCTAGTACTCCACTTGAACTTCCTGTGACATATGTTGTATATATCTTCAGTATATATCTTCATAGGGTTCATGAAGGTAGGGCTATATCTTATTCATTGTTTAATCTCCAGAACTTAGCACACTCTAGGCACATACAGGCCCTCAAAAACTATTTATAAAACACAAATGAATCTGTGAATGAATGGATCACATTCAATCCATTTAATCCTTTTGGGACTCTTTTTACCAGTAACAATAAAATAAACTCAGCTTTAAGCTTACTTCTGGTACTATTAAAAAGGACTTATATTTCTTAAAAAGTAATAAAGCATACCATATGATTCAGCAACTCCCCTCCTAGGAATTTACACAGGATAAATAAGAATACATGTTTACACAAAGACTTGTGCGTAGCACAATATCTACCTGTTCGTAGCCCTTGTTCATAGCAACAGTATTCATAACAGCAAAAAGCTAGAAACAACCCAAATATCTATCAACAGTGAATGGATAAGCAAAATGTGGTAATTCGTAGAGTGTAATACTCTTCAGCAATATAAAGGAATGAAGTACCAAACATGCTACAGGATGGACGAACCTCAAAAACATTATGCTAAGTGAAAGAAGCCAGATACGGGAGTTTGTATGTTGTCAGGCCGGGTGTAGTGGCTCACATCTGTAATCCCAGCACTTTGGGAGGCCAAGGCAGATGGATAGCTTGAGCCCAGGAGTTTGAGACTAGCCTGGGCAACATAGCAAAACCCCATATCTACACACACACACACACAAATGAGATGGGTGTGGTGTAGTGCGCCTGTAATTCCAGCTACTTGGTGGGCTGAGGTGGAATGATTGTTTGAGCCTGGGAGGAGGAGGTTGCAGTCAGCTGAGATCATGTCATTGTACTCCAGCCTGGGTGACACAGTGAAACCCTGTCTCAAAAAAGAGATTATATGTTGTCATTCCATTGATATGAAATGTCCAGAAAAGACAAACTGAGATAGCCAGCAGATCAGCGGCTGCCTGAGGTTTGGAGTGAGAGAAGGAAATTATTGCAAAAAGGGTGAAGGAAATGCTCTACAGTTGGATGATAGTGATGGTTACACAACTCTGTCTATTTACTAAAAATCATCCAGTTGTACATTGTACACCTGCAATGGGTGAACTTTAAGGCATGTAATTTATGCCTCAATACCTCAATAAAGCTGATACAATTGTGCCACTGTTCTAACTTTTTAATATCTAGCAAATCAATACATAGACTCTCAACTTCCAGGCGGGGCCATGTGAGGGGGTGTCCAAAATTAATTCTCTTTGTTTCTGAATCTGATATTATGAGATGACCAGAGACTCTGAGACTCTGAAGACACCATCTTTATGTCAGATGGTGGCTGGGTTTCTACTGACTTGACTAAACCTTGGACCGAAATGTTTTTTTTTTTTTCCTTTTCCCTTTAAAAAATAGAGACGGGGTCTCACTATGTTGCTCAGGCTAGTTTCGAACTCCAGGGCTCAAGTGATCCACCCACCTCAGCCTCCCAAAGTGCTGAGATTATAGGTGTGAGCCATTGTGCTCAGCTCCCAGATGGTTTTGAAAGTCTTTAAGTTCCCTTTTTCTCCTTCAATTAAGTGCAAAATTCCCTTATCTGTTTCAGCCTTTGAAAGGCTGAATGTTGCCCTTCAGACCTGCCACAAGGCATGATGAGGTGAGTCAGGGTTAGGGTGAAAAGTTGGGTCTCGTCTTGTCCTTCTTGGCCACTGTTACCATTTGGTAACACTTCTCTTCTCTCTCAAGCATTTCCAGCTAGATATTCATGGAGCCCTATGCGTGGCCTCACCTGAACCTGCCCTCCTGGGCTCTTGAGTTTCTGGCTCCAGGTGGATCCCATGCCTGCTATCTCTCCCAGCCTTGGGCTTCCTCTACAACTGCTCAGGGCCTGCCATGGCCCCCTGCCTCCCAGGAGGACAAGCTGTCTGAACTAGCAGAGTCTTCAATCCCTGACAACTCACCTCATCACCTTCCTTCCCTCTCATTGCCTTTCTGTCCCATAGCTGTCCCCTCTGCCGGCTGAGGGTGCATCACAGGCCTCTTTTCTCTGGAGCTGCAGGGCTCTCAGGAATTTGGGAGTCCAGAAATGCCAGGTTTCACAAAAAGAGAAGTTGCATAGAAAAAGTTAAGAGTTCCTGAAAATAAATACATGGGACTGGGTCCATCTCTTTTTGAGCATCTGCTGAGCTTCTGATTATCTTTTGGGGGAAATGTCAAAATATCATTGTCTTCCCCTCACAAGAACAGAACTCCAGAGATGGAAGGGATTTCTAATCTCCCTATTTTACATATGGGGAGACTGGGGTTCAGGGAGGGAAAGTGGACAGTCTGGTGAGTTTGAAGGCAGGGTCAGTGGGGCTTTCCCTCAGGCCATGAAAAAAAACGCAAAAAAGAAAGACAGGGCCGGGCACGGTGGCTCACGCCTGTAATCCTAGCACTTTGGGAGGCCGAGGCAGGGAGATTACCTGAGGTCAGGAGTTCGAGACCAGCCTGGTCAACATGGTGAAACCGTCTTTACTGAAAATACAAAATTAGCTGGGCATGGTGGCACGCACCTGTAATCCCAGGTACTCGGGTGGCTGAGGCCAGAGAATTGCTTAAACCCGGGAGGCAGAGGTTGCAGTGAGCTGAGATGGCACCACTGCATTCCAGCCTGGGTGACAAGGTGAGACTTCATCTCAAAAAAAAAAAAAAAAAAAGAGAAAGAAAAAGAAAGAGGCAGTATTTCTGTTTGTCACAAGGGAGGCTGCCATGACGCCTGGGCCACTGAGCCAGCAGCAAGTCCTTTGGGACATATCCCTGCTCTAGGATTCTCTCTGAGGTCCTGTTAGAGCGCTCATCTCTTCAAACACCCAAATCAGCTCCTCTGATGTGCTCCTGCTTGCGAGTGTGGGCCAGCAGACCATGTAGAGCTGTTTCAGGCACTGACTCTGGAGTGACAAAATGAGTTCGAAACTTGCCTCACTATGAAGTGTCCGTGAGACTCAGCCAAGTTATTTAAACTTCTTTGTACCTTAAAAACAAAAGCATCCTTAAGATCCATGACATTGCATTTTCTTTGTACAAAGAAACTTAGATAAATTTGCTGCTTCAAAAGCAGTGGCAATTATGACAATGGCAAAAGATCCTTAAGGAAGAGAGATCCTGGCCGATGAGTCCCAACATGGATATGGATTGATTTAGTTTGGTTCCAGTGGGAACACAGGAACGTTAGCGTTGGAAGGGATTTTAAAGGTGAGGCCGTTTGACTCTTTCACCATGTCAGGTGCTCCCCCTTTAAATCCTTCAAATATGATCATATAGTCTTTTCTTTCAGTGAGGCACAGTTTACTATTCTAGGAGGCAGCCCATTCCACAGTGGGCTGGTTCTAATTGTTTGAAAGGTCTTCTTAACATCGAACTAAAATTAGTCTTGCTTTCCTTGGGCAAATAACTTCTACAGGTTTTGTTCTTATCTGCCCCACCAGGGTCTTATGAGGATACTATGAGACAAGATATTTGAAAGTGCCTTGAAAAGTAGGAAACCGACAGACTTTGAAGGTATTATTTTTGAGGCAATAAATTCTTTTTTTGGTACAGATATTCAACTGGAAGATAAAGCAAATATCAAAGCTGCTATATCTTGATTTCAGCTATGAATAGCCTGTGCTTATCACGGAAAAGTGGTCCAGATGATCCTAGAGTAGGTGGAGTCATAGTTGGCTTGTATTAATTTTCTATTGCTGTGTAACAAATTACCACGCACTCAGTGCCTTAAAAGAACATCCCTCGTTATCTCACACTTCTGTGGGCCAGAAGTCCAGGTGCGTTCTCTGCTGAGGGTCTCACAAGGCCAGAGTCAAGGTGTTGGCTGGGCTGGACTATTATCTGGAGGCTTTGGGGTAGAGTCTACTTCCAAGCTCATTCAGGTTCTTGGCAGAATTCACTTCTGAGGTCCCTGTTGGCCAGGGGATCTCTCAGCTCCTAGAGGCTGTTCTGCCACCTTGTACACAGCCCCTACCACCTTCAAAACCAGCTATGGCATGTCAAATTCTTCTCATGCCTCAAATCTGACTTCCCCTTCTGCTGGCTGGGGAGCCAGGAGAAAGCTCTGTTTTTAAGGGCTTATATAATTATATTAAGTCTACCTAAATAATTTTCCTTTGCCATATAACAATACACAACCATGGGAATAATATCATCACAGTCACAGTTTTTACTCACACTCAAAAGGGAAGAGACTATAGAAGGGTGAGGGTCCTTAGAGATCATTTGTAGAATTCTGTCTACCACATGGTTCAATAACCATAACTGAGGAGTGACCATGAATGCAACAGTATCTACCTTCAGGGAGGCCCCGAGGCATACTCAGCTCACTGATGTTTAATGTCTTCACTCATAACTTGAATTAAGAAATAATTACTAGATAGACGATAGAACAAATTTCTAAATAATATTAACAGTGAAAAAATGATGGGACAGACCCAACAAAATCCAATTTAAGAGGGATGAATGTAAAGTAATCTTCCAACCATTTGGATACATGCAGACTGGAGGAGATGTGGGTAGATGAAAATCCATGTGAAAAAGACCCAGAGCTTTCAATAGGTTTCAAGCTCAACGTGAGAAATCGCATTAATAGAAATTTCCTTTGCACTAACCTAAAACAAATCCGTTCCTTTGATAACGCTTTAATATTTAAACTTTGAAAATTTTTTGTTCTTAGCATAAATGCCCCCAATTCTAGGATCTGTTCCTTATACCAACTGGTTATGAGATTCTTCATCATCCAGTGCTCATCTTTTCCTTTGCCTATGCTAATTGGTAAATGTCTTTCTCAAAATGTGACAGAACTGAGAGCAACGCCACCCATATCATCTCTCTAGCAAAAATTATAGCATGCCTAGTAACTAAACTTGAGTAGTTATAATTACACTTCTCATTATTTGTCTGTCTCAAATATGATTAGAAATTCTAGGAGTGATTTAGAAAACCCAAGAAAATCAAGAGTAAAACTTTTAGAATTTGTAATACAGGGTAGTAAATGAGTAGAATGGAAGATAAATATATTGTACAAAAATCATTTTTTCTCCTGTACACAAGCGAAAAGAAAGTTAAAGATAAAATGAAGTTAGGCAAAGATTTCTTAAATAAAACACCAAATGCATGGTCCATAAAATAAAAATTCATAAGTTGAACCTCATCAAAATTCAAAACGTTTGCACTTCAAAAGACACCATTAACCTGGTGAGGTTGAGGAGAAAAGGGAACACTTATACACTCTTGGTGGGAGTGTAAATTAGCTCAAACATTGTGGAAAGCAGTATGATGATTCCCCAAAGAGCTAAAAGCAGGACTACCATTTGACCCAGCCATCCCATTACTGGGTATATACCCAGAGGAATATAAATCATTCTGCCATAAAGACACATGCATGCATATGTTCATTGCAGCACTATTCACAAAGCAAAGACAGAGAATCAACCTAAATGTCCATTAATGACAGATTTGATAAAGAAAATACGGTACGTATACACCGCCGAATACTATGCAGCCATAAAAAAGAAAGAGATCATGTCTTTTGCAGGAACATGGATGGAGTTGGAGTCTATTATCCTTAGCAAACTAATGCAGGAACAGAAAACCAAATACCGCATGTTCACACTTATAAGTGGGAGCTAAATGATAAGAATTTATTAACACAAAGAAGGAAACAACAGATACTAGAGTCTACTTGGTGGGGTGGGTGAGGGAAGGAGAGGAGCAGAAAAGATAACTAATGGGCACTGGACTTAATACCTGGGTGTTGAAATAATCTGTACCACGAACCCCCATGTCATGAGTTTACCTCTGTAACAAACCTTTACAGGTACCCCAAAACCTAAAATAAAAGTTTTTTTTTTTAAATAACTCATTTTTTTTCTTAAAGCTTTTTAAGAAAAAAAAAATGAGCAAAGACTGGGACAAAATATCTGCAAACACATTTGCAACATATCCAGAATATACAAAGAATTCTCAAACTCAATAATAAGAAGACAGACCAAACAATAGGCAAAAGATATGGGCAATTATTACACTAAAGAAGATGCATGAATGGCTAACAAGCATGTGAAAAGTTGCTCAACATCATTAATCATTAGAAAAATGCGAATTAAAGTCCAAATGTCATATTACTTAACAGCCACCAGAATGGCTATAAAGAAATAAAACGGACAATAGTAAATATTGTCAAGGATGTGGAGAAATGGGAATCCTCACATGTTGTTGGTGTAAATGTAAAATGGTGCAGCCACTTTAGAAAACAGCTTATCAGTTTCTCGAGAAGTTAAACATAAAAGTACCATAACAATTTTCCTCCTAGTATTCACTTAAGAGCAATGAAAACATGTCCACACAAAGACTTGTACACAAACATTCAGAGCGGTATTGTTTATAACAGCCTCAGCTGAAAATCATCTAAGTGTCCATCGGTTGAATGGATAAAGAGCATGTGGTATATCTATAAAATTGAATATTATTCAGAAATTAAAAAATAACCAACTACAGACACATGCTCTGCCATGAGTGAACCTAAAAAATATGGGAGTTTTTAAAATTATATAAATTTAAATTTATATTATAAATTTAATATATTTATTATTGAATAATAATATTAATAAATTTATATAAATTAAAATTTATATATAAATATATATATTTATATATAAATATATATACAAATATATTTATATATATACAAATATATATATTTATATATAAATATATATAAATATATATATTTATATATAAATATATATACAAATATATATATTTATATATAAATATATATACAAATATATATATTTATATATAAATATATATACAAATATATATATTTATATATAAATATATATACAAATATATATATTTATATATAAATATATATACAAATATATATAATAAAAACAAAATCTTCTATAGCAACTACAACTTTAAAAAGACCCAGAGATCACATTCAGAAATAACCAAAATATAAACTTTTCCAAAAAACATGATTGCACATATGAATAAACAGAAATATACCACATATTATAAAGATGGCTGTTTCTTCCAAATGAAGTTGAAAGTATTAAGGCATGCCAATCAAAAACCCCAGTGGTTTATATTTTTGAATTTGTCATTTGAAAGAAGAAACAGAAGTGCTAAAAAAAAGAAAGTGGAAATGAAGGTAGATGATGCAGAGCTTTACCCTACAAATATTACAACTCAGGATAAAGCAAACATCTTTAAATACTGTGGCACAGAGAGGGACTGATAGACTGATGGAACAGAATACATAGTTTTGAGGTAGACTGATGAACTTAGAACTTCAAATATGGTAGAGCAAACATCATAAATCATTAAGAAGAACTGATTACTCACCAAAAAACATTAAGCCCACTAGTCACTTTGAAAACAAAAGAAATAACATTATATACTCCCCACTGTCATTCCTGTGGGATTTCTTTGCCCAGAATATCACCCTTTGGAGAGCCATCTCTCCTCCACAGCTTGTATTCTGATGGGCTGTCAATCATACCTTTCCTATCCTTGGGGCTGGGGGACGAGGCTCAGGATGGGCAAAATACTCAATCTCATTGGCTGCAGCGACTGGCTCAGAGATGGGCACATGATCCAAATAGGACCAATCAGAGACCTCCCTCAAGGAATCTGCTATACCTGCCAGGCAAGAGAGGGTCTATCTTCCTTCTGAGTGAGAAGTTATAAAGGCATAGGCATAGAGACCATCTTTCCAGCCTGTGCAAGAAATAAGTCAACATTCAGAAGAAGCAAAGTCATGATATATGAGAGAGTTTAAACCCTGATATCTCCTAGTTTAGGTCCCAGAGCTGGTTATTACTGCAGCAAGCTGGACTCATTTTCCAGATGTGTGAGATAAGTCTTTTTTCGGCCACTTCTATCACTGGTAACTGAAAATGTTTTCACAAAAATGTTTTGACTCACTTTACTCAGTAATCAAAAGATTTCCTAAATGATTAAAACAGGTTAAAGGAAAAATTAAAATAAACTAGGCTAGAATGAAATATAGTGCAATATTAAATTGATCTTAAAATAAACATGGATTTTCTAACCACAGAAGTGATAAAAGAATATCCCAGAGAAAAACGGGCAATAACAGTAGTAAATAATTAACAGGAGAAGAAAATCTAATAGCTAATAAACACATAAAAATGTTCAACCTATGAGCAATTAATGACATCCAAATCCAAACTTGATACAATTTTGAATAATAAAAGTAATAAAGTAACAGTAATACTTAATGCTAGTCAGGGTGTTGTGCAATTAATACTTTAATAAACTACTAGTGAGAGTAGGAATAACAGTTTTTCACGAACGATTTGAAAGTATGTGTCATCTAATTATTCTGCTTCTTGGAATCTATCCTAAGGAAAAATACAAAATTTTTGCTTAAAATTGTACATATAAGTGAGTTCATACAGCTTTATTTTTAATAGTGAAAGCTTAGATGTAACTTAAATAACCCATAATATGGTTATGTTACATAAATTATGGGATACTTATAAATAGACTATAATTCAGCCATTAGAGTGTTTTAGAAAAATATTTAGAGAATATACATAATATAATGTTAAATAAAACAAGCAATCTATGAAGTTTTATATATAAGATATGATCTCAGTTTCAGTTTTCAACATTCTACATGTAGAATGAAACAAACTACATATTAACAATGGCTATCTATGGGTGACTTTTATTTTCTTTTGTACAGAATACTAACCTTTCCAAATTTTCTCCAGCAAAAACATGAGAGAAAAACTTAAAGAGAGAGCATACGACTTTTGCTAGCTGTGTCCTTGCCCAGAAAATCACCTTGAAAGACTCTTGCATCAATTATATTTCACCTACTTGCAGGAGTTCCTGAGAAATTAAGGGGTACTCAACATTGATAAGCAGTTGATTAAAACAGTACTTAACACAGCACAGGGCAGAAAGGTGCATTTGTGTGTGAAGGTGAAGGAAGGGGAGCAAAGCAGGAGGAGATCATCCAAAGGTCGAGAAACGACTTATGAGAATTGCTTTTGTTCAGCCTGAAAAAACATTTCCATTTAGTTCTTCAACTTAGTGTGGTGCCGAAATCCTGTGACAAGGACTGAACCATCGCACCTATTTATATATTCAAGTCCCATCCAGGCAGTGGGAAATTCCAAAGAAACAGGCATAATCATTTGGATGTACTGTAAAACGGGTGAGCTTTTAATGAATGTGCAAAGGTTGTATGGATCAATTGTCCATTTGATTAATTCTTCGGGCAGGAGAGAATTAAATGTACTTAGGCTACACACCAGTAAAAGCTGAATGCTTTTTAAAATGTGATTTTCTATGTTGAGGCCAATTTTTTTCTGTGCAAAAAACATTTCTTGAGATAATAATGGAAGTCAATGAGAAAATGCAATTTGCCATATAAGTATTCAGCTACATACTACTTTGTCAGAAAAGCAACTAATGCGCAAACAAGGTGAAGGTCTGTATAGTATTCACCATTATTTTAGCTAACCTTCCTTTCAAGTTCTTATTTGCATCATTTCACAGTAGAGGCCATAAATCCCTATTTCAGAAATAATGCATTGTCGAAACTTTACCCTTTCCCTCTATAAGGTATTCAGCACTAGTATACTAGAGACCTCTAAATCCAAAAGAGGTAATTATCTTCAATTCCTGGGCGACTGCGAAGGCCCAGGGAAAAGACAAATCTTGTACTTTTTATCACTTGGAATGATAATGTCTGATATGTTGGTGGAAAGGATGGAAATATTCTGAAGGCCGGGCACATCCCTATCTAGAGGCTCAGGAATCATTTCATTGCATTCACTCAAGGAGTATTTCTTGAGTGCCCATTGTGTGCTAGACACAGTGCTAGGTCCTGGGAGTAGAGAAGAAATGAAGGTCAATGTTATCTCGGAACATACAGTCTAGAGCGGGGGATAGATTTATCAAATTGCCCAAATACATAATGGCTTCATTATTCTGTCCCAAGTGGTATAAACTCCCAAACTATTAGCTTATATTCCAAGATAGGCAGACCTCACTGCAGTAGGGAAGACTGACTGTACAGGACCTCCTTCCTGCTAATGACTGAGAATGGCCCTAAAGACAGATACTAGAGGAGTCCAGTCTGAATGAAAAGGTGGGAACCACTTTTCCTTTAACCCAGACAGGATGAGCTCCTCCAACTAATTGGCCCAAGTAACACCTGTTAAGACTCCACGCCCCCCACCCCCAACTCCAGTTGCTACTTCCTTTACCATCTAGCTACAGAGAGATCGACATCTCCCTCTGCAGAGGTGCTATTTGCATTTGTCTTAAGCTGAGGTAGGGAGGAAGATGGATTCCCAGCTAAGAGCAAAACACAGAGTAGCTGTTTCTTCTTCACTGGGAGCCAAGACACAGACAGACACACAGACAGAGTCCTGGACAGACCTTGCCCCTAAGTCAACTTCCCTTGCTTGATTCTGTCTAATCTTATGATCTGGGTCCTCAATATTTAAATGTCATTCATTCATTTGATGATTATTAATTCAACACTTACTAGGGGCTGGGGACATAACAGCAAACACGATAGACAAAGGTTCTTGATTGCTAGAGGTTTACATTCCAAAGGGGAATGCCAACAAGGAGGAGGCAAGCCAGGCCATTTCAGAATGGGGGAAACATTAAGATCAACAGAGGCTCTGTCAGGGTTACCTGCTCTCTCTCTCTCTCTCTCTCTCTCTCTCTCTCTCTCTCTCTGTGTGTGTGTGTGTGTGTGTGTGTGTGTGTGTGTGTGTGTGTGTGTGTGTGTGTGGTGGGAGAGGCTGCCTTTTAGAAACAGTGGTCAGGGAAGGCCTCTGAGGACAGAGAGTAGAACAAAAGCATGAGACGGTACCAGTGGAACAGACGGCCTTGAGAATGGCATTGCAGGCAGAGGAAAGCATGTGTGTGCAGGTGCTGAGGTGGAATGAACTCCAGGTGATCAAGGAACAGAAAGGAGGCCATGTAGTTGGAGTGTAGGGAGTGAGTCATCAGGGTGGCTGATGGGGACTACCAAGTCTCATGCAGAGTTCACATTTTGGTCCATGCAGAGTGGAGAGCCACTGGAGACAGTGATGTGCCCTCTAAGGGATATCACAAAAAAGAGAGATACAGAGTAAGAGGGAAGCAGTTCGAGTCGGACTCTCCTCTCCCCTTCCAGACTGGGGAGGAAAATGAATTAAAGAAATGAAAAAGCAGAGGAATTATCTTGACCATCATGCTTCAGCTATGAGGTGTTGAGCTATGAATCGTGCTGGGATTTTCAAGTACTTACTTTGGATTTTCCATGTCCTATTCATTCCATGAACACAGTGACTGCAATTTAACTGAATTGGAAATATTTATCAAATACTTGGAAATATATTTGAGGATTTGACTAAAATACAAGTGATATCACTGAGAACAGGAAAAGAGAAAAGTCAAAAAATAGCACAGATTCTATCTGGTCATTTTAACTGTAACTCACAATTTCTGACAATCTCTTCATTACCTACAAGTCATTCATCTCAGTGAACCAGTTATTCAGACATACAATTCCTTTTGGGGAAGAGGAGGTTTAATGTTCAATGGAATTACAAGGAAAGGGTATGAACTCCCAGCAGAATTTACAGAAATCTCAGTGGAATTAAAATATCATTTCTCCCATGCATCATGACCTATTGTTCTGCCCTCACTGTCCTTTACCTGTGTTGTGCTGTCAGATGAATCTTCATAAAGTACAGATTTCACATTCTGATGAAATTTCTCAATAGTTTATCACTACTTACTGGATAAAGAATATATTCTTCATACTTTATATTCTGACTCCTTTATGGCTGACTACCTCCCCCAAAGTCGGAACTCCCTCTTCCAGGAACATATCTTGAGTTTTCCCATGTCTGTGACTTTGCCACCAATATGCCATTTTCCAGCAATGTTTATCAGTAACTCCTTAACTTTTGGGGATGCATAGCATTTTAACAATTAATGAATGCTGTATATCCTCTTAATAGAAAAAAGTTACGTGTGAACAGATTTCTATACAATTTCATGGACACCTGGACAGTAATCTCATAACCTATTTAAATCCTACTGGAATCCAATACATCCTTCACGCTCCAGGTCAAATACCATCTCTTCCCTGAAGCCTTTCCAGTTCTTTTCCTTCTACTGTGAGTGGGGCCCTCTGTGCTCAAAGGGCTTTCTGCTGAGTCACCTGCTTGGAAATTTGTTGCATATGGCCTCGTACCTTATTTTATACTATGGCCTTGTACTTTTCCCCTTGGTGATATTTAAATTTTTATCTACATATGTCTTATTTCCCTCATTAGAATTGGACTTTAAGGGCAGAAAATGTTTTAGTCATCTTAGTATTCCCAGTGACTTGTTCAGTGTCTGGCGTGAATTCATTCATGTGTGAATTAATATAAGTGATGGAAATACTGTCTTTCTAAAAAAAACATGCAAGCTCCTAAATGGTTGGAACTACCTTGCTTATTTCTTTGCATTCCCAGGTAAGAGGTACTGAATAAATGTGCCAGTTAATTGATCAATTGATTGACAAGAAAATAATAATAGGGATCGATTACTGAGCACTTATATACTAACCTCCTTAGGAGTATTACTGTCTTTTTTATGTGCTTGTTTTAATGAACCATATTTATTTTTATAAATATGCCTGGAAAGCAAAATACATTATTCACTTACTTAAGAGTTCTTCATTAAATTGCACCATGACATTTTCAAGAGAATCGTTTTAGAAAGTTATTATAATCTTTGTGCAGTATAACATTCCATGGTATATTTCTTAACTTTAATGAATATAGAGAGAAATACTTCTTTGTGTTTTGTAAATGGAGGTGAGGGGGTTACCAGTATGCTTTTTAAATTGATACATATTTGACATATTTATGGGGTATATGTGATATTTTATTACATGCATAGAATGTAATGATCAAGTCAGGGTATTTGAGTTATTCATCATCTTGAGTATTTATCATTTTTATGTATTGGGAATAACTGAAGTTCTCTCTTCTAGCTACTATGAAATATACAATACACTGTTGCTAGCTATAGTCATGCTATTCTGCTGTTGAATGACAGAACTTATACTTTTATCTAATTGTATGTTTGTATCTGTTAACCTACCTCTCTTCATCACCCTCCTACTCTCCCTCCCAACGTTACTGTCTTTAATCCTTACAATAATCATGGAAGTTGTGAGTTACCACTTCCATTTCACAGATGAGGAAACCAAAACTTAGGTCAATGTTTTTAATAATCAAACAGCTGGTATGTGTTAGGGCTGGTGTTAGAACTCGGGTGTGTATGACCATTTAGTAATTCCTCAAAAAGTCACGGCTCATTGATTTGCTCTGGGATTTGTTCCAAGAAAGGCTCTGCCCTACATCCTTTCAGTTTCACTTTAAACAGGCTGTGTTGAGTCAGGCCCTTTCCCTGTAGCTCTATGGACAAATAGCAAGTGACAGGGACTTTGACCCTAGATGCCCACTAGCTGGCCTGAACCAGACAGCAGTAAGGCTGTCAGTGGTTGACACCAGTGCTCACCTGTCAGTCAAAGGTGTGATCACCAAGCGAGGTGTGTTTCCCAGGTACTCATAGGAATACAAAAACTGGGCATCACAGATGTTGGCAAAGCAGTGTTTGACCTCGTCATCCCAACGATGGCGCAGCTGAGACAGCCAGAGGAAAGCCTGGGCATTGTCTACCTAAAGAGAGAGTGGTAGAGTAGGTGGGTGAATCATAGGCAGCAGGTAGTCCCTTGGCCACAAGACACATAGGGGTCTGATGCCTTGGCTGTTGACTGCTGCTAAAGTGTGCAGCATGCTGTGGCCACCACAGCATAGAAAGCACAAGCTGCTCTGATTACAGGGTTCTATCCCAGCACTTTGGGAGGCCAAGGCAGGCGGATCACCCGAGGTCAGGAGTTTGAGACCAGCCTGACCAACATGGAGAAACCCCGTCTCTACTAAAAATACAAAGTTAGCTGGGGGTGGTGGTACATGCCTGTAATCCCAGCTACTTGGGAGGCTGAGGCAGGAGAATCACTTGAACCCGAGAGGTGGAGGTTGCGGTGAGCCGAGATCGTGCCATTGCACTCCAGCCTGGGCAATAAGAGCGAAACTCAATCTCAAAAAAAAAAAAAAAAAAGTAGGAGCAGCCACTGTGATCCTCCCCCAGCTGTCTGGTCAGTGCTGTACAGACCCTGGGGCCCCCATATTTTGGCTGTATGTGCTGTTCTCAGTGTAGCTGTACACAAAAGTGGGCATCCCTGGATGTTTGGGACCCACCTTCTGAGCAATCATCTTGGCTACCACATCCCGGGCATGCACATCGATGGTGCATATAGTCATAATCTTCTGCCGGTCTCCCTTGGAGAGCTGGCCAATCAGCATGGTGATAAGGGTTTTGAGCTGGGCCACTTGCTTCTTATAATAGTCCTTCATGGCACTCTCATAGCCTTCCTCCAGCCTGGCAAATGCCATGCCCACTTCTGTTGTCCACCAGATCTGAGTACAGGTCAGGGCCACCTGTGGCAGCAAGAGTTGCCTAGTAAAGCTGTTATCATGGCTGTTTCCAACCAACCCACTCATCACACAGCAAGGGCTCAGGATGTAATTGTGTGGGTGACATGAGCCCCATCCCTCCCTCTTCCACCAGCACTGACTAAGTGAACCATATGCTCTAAACCCTTGAAGGTGTGAAGTTGTTGCGGTACAGGTGGGAAAAGCACTTTCTGCTCCTGAAAAAATGTATCATTCGGTTGAGAAGAACCCAAGATTGACTCTGATCAAGGCCGGTGCCTTCTAGAAATTGTGACGGGGATGAATCAGTCTTTTACTTCCCAAAGGTAGCAACTTTCCCAAGCTTGGGAGGATGACAATATGTTGCCCAACCATCCCAATGACACCCAGTCTTCTGCTCCTCTGTGGTCTGACAACCTAATTTAGTGAGCCACTGCTGATCATCTGTGGCACACATTTGCTCTTCTACCATACTTTCACTACATTTTAAAGATATTTTAAAACCTTAAAGTGCCTATTTTTAAGTGCCAAGATGAGAGATATTGAAATTCAATTGTGGTTAATATGATTTGCATTTTCAGAGATTAAAAATAAATAAATAGAAAAAGCAATTGAAATACATATTTCTTCTATTTGCTGGAAAGCTTTGTATGGAACATGCATAACTTTGATTACTCATGGTGGGGAATTTAGATCCATTGCTCATCTGTAGTATCATTTGGTTTGGGGGACACCACTCTAGATGACATTTACTGCAATAGGAGGAGGCAACACATTCTCTTGTCTCAAAATTCTGATACAGGTAAACAAGGAAGCCTGATGGGATTTACTCCCTTTGTGAAATGGAGAATCTCATCGTAGTAAACAGCACCATTTCTGTTTGTCCATTTTTCCCTTTGAGTTTATGTCCCATTAGATTTTATTAAAGAAGCTCCCCCTCATTGGCAGCCTTACTGGGATAACTTGAGAGGATGTT